>NC_000010.11:96355216-96658246 GCF_000001405.40 Homo sapiens | reverse complement strand
CTTTTAGATGATGGACTCTCTGAAGGCAGGGTTAGTGTCTGATTCGTCCTCGGGTTCCCTCAAGTACCTAACATATTTGGCTGCTTGTATAAGTGGTTAAGGAATGAATAAGAGCAAACCCCAAAAATAGACTGATGAAACTTCTCTCTCCTCTCAACCATTCTATTTTTTTTTTTTTTTTTTGAGATGGAGTTTCACTCTTGTTACCCAGGCTGGAGTGCAGTGGTGCAATCTTGGCTCACTGCAACCTCTGCCTCCCAGGTTCAAGTGATTCTCCTGCCTCAGCCTCCCAAGTAGCTGGGATTACATGCATGTGCCACCACACCTGGCTAATTTTGTATTTTTAGTAGAGACGGGGTTTCACCATGTTGGTCAGGCTAGTCTCAAACTCCTGACCTCAGGTGATCCGCCTTCCTTGGCCTCCCAAAGTGCTGGGATTATAGGCCACCACGCCCAGCCCTCTCAACCATTCTTAACCATTTTGGGATTCTGTCCCTCTTTGGGGATCTGATGAATGCTTTGAACTATCTCCAGAAAAGTGCAGGCAAATGCATACACATGTGCATGCACACACACACACACACACACAATCTTGCACACAACCTCAGAGGTAGGTCTATCAATTAACAGATTCTGGTTAAGAGCCCCTGCCTTAGAGCTCTGGTAGGTTCTCAGCAGCATCTCATTCTGTGCCAATACCACACACATTTGCACACCCCTGCTCACCAGCCCTGACTCTGTGCATGCTCCAATCTTTCCGTGGTACAGGTGTTGCCTGTGGAGCCTGGTTAGATTTATCTAAAGTTTGTTGAAAATGATTGCTTTTCACTTTTGCTTCCAGAGGGGATACATTGGCTAGCCATAACCCTGAGACCTAGTGGCTTTCTGGACAGTGCAGGTTTTACTTGATGTTCCAAGAATGACCTTTAAGTGGACAGTCCCTACTTGAACCCACCTAAGGGGAAAGGGCCTTCTTCCTTTCCTCACTCCTCTTCATCCCTGCAGGAAGTCTGCAGGTAAAGCTTCCGGAAACCCATTGGTTAAGACTAAACCTGCAGCCTCAGACTTTCTGGCCTTCCCCTCCATGATTGTCATCCCTCTTGCTGTCATTCTGCCCTGTGGCCTACATGCTGTTTGGCTTGTCTTCATTAGGTCGCCTTTCATGATTTCCTGAGTCAGTCCCTTCTGCTTGTATTGGTTTGACATTCAGAGCCGTTTCCTATTTTGCAATATTTGGGGCTCTCATGGGGTGGAACATGTCCACAGTTCTCCTTCCTGCCGTTCCCATTCAGCGGTGTCCTCTATTTTGTAGATTCTGGCTGTGACTCAGTCACTGACACTGAGCCTGAGGACGAGAAGGTTGTTTCCTACTCGAAGCAGCAGAACCTGCCGACGGTGACTTCACCTGGGAACCTGATGGTGGTGCAGCCGGACCGCATTCGCTGTGGGGTAGGCACTGCTGGGGGCCTGGTAGCTGGATGTCAGCACTTGGGCTTTTCAAATGCATGCATTTGTTGCAGTAAAGAGAGTGGTTTCTTGTATTGCACCTCAGTATAATTGCAGCCTTCCTTTGGGATTTCTTTTGAGTACCCTGTTACCCGGGCCCTGGAGACACCCAGCTCCCCTGAGTAAGAGAGAGACTAGCCCAGGGAGATGTGTGTCATCAGTCTAAGACTTCTGTTCTATGGATCAGTAATAACGTAGAGCACCTAGGAGACCAGCAGACAGGAGCATTCCAGACACTAACGCTAACCCTAAAGTTAGAGGCCTGTGTCTCTTCCTGGTAGCCTAGTGCTGGGAGGAAGGAAATGCATCTTGGGCATCTGACAGCTTGCTTCTCCATCACTGGCCACTGCCATGGCCCAAGGAAGTGCCTTGAAGCTTGACGGCTGAAACCAACTGGCCAATATTGCTTTTTAAAGGGATCAGATAAATGCCATACATCATATGACTAGCATTTTCAGGGGTGGGGCATACATTACAGATGACTTGAGTGTGAGGGCCCAACTGATGAGCCACTGCCATTTGAATCCTACCTTAGTACTGATGGTTTTTCTTTATTTTTCCTTTCCTAATTAAAAACGTGTGGCATTTATGATAGTTCAGAGCAGCAGAATGCTTCCTTTATGGATACAAGCTCTTTGCTAAGATGGCTTTGCAGGCTCCTTGAGGCGAGACAGCGTGGGAGCCTTGGCAGTGGGCAGCACTGGCTTCCTCACCCTTGTGGGTGGTTTTGTGCAGGCTGAGGCCGTGAGGCATTGGGCAAGCACTTCCTACGTGGGGTTGCCAACTGTTTCTTTGGGCCAGATTTAACTGATAGTCATTGTATTAGTCTGTTTTCACGCTACTGATAAAGACATACCTGAGACTGGGAAATTTACAAAAGAAAGAGATTTAATTGGACTTACTGTTCTACATGGCTAAGGGGGCCTCACAATCATAGCAGAAGGCAAGGAGGAGGAAAGGCATGTCTTACATGGATGGCAGCAGGCAAAGAGAGAGATAACTTGTGCAGGGGAACTCCTCTTTTTAAAACCATCAGAGCTCATGAAACTTATTCACTATCATGAGAACAGCACAGGAAAGACCCGCCCCCCCATAATTCAATCACCTCCCACCAGGTTCCTCTCACTGGGAATTGTGGGAGTTACAATTCAAGATGAGATTTGGGTGGGGACATAGCCAAACCATATCAGACATGTTTGGTTTGGACTGCACAGTGTTTATTTATTTATTTTTTGAGACAGAGTCTGTCTCTCTCATCCAGGCTGGAGTGTAGTGGTGAGATCTCAGCTCGCTGCAACCTCTGCCTCCCAGATTCAAGCAATTCTTGTGCCTCAGCCTCCCAAGTAGCTGGGATTACAGGCACACACCACCATGCCTGGCTAATTTTTTTTGTATTTTTAGTAGAGACGAGGTTTCTCCATGTTGGCCAGGTTGGCCTCAAACTCCTGGCCTCAAGTGATCCATTCACCTCAGCCCCACAAAATGATGGGATTACAGACATGTGTCACCATGCCTGGTCTAGACTGCATAGTATTTTAAAAGTTAGGCATTGGCTGGGCACAATGGCTTACACCTGTAATCCCAAGACTTTGGGAGGCCGAGGCGGGTGGATCCCTTGAGCTCAGGAGTTTGAGACCAGCCTGGGCAACATGGTGAGACTCCCATCTTTATTTTTCTATTTTATTTTAAAAAGTTAGGCATAAAAATCTGTGTTTCCAGCTTCCTTTGAATCAGAATCTGGTCATATTAGGCCTGAGATGACTGGCGGGGGCCAAGCAACCCTGTACATGGGCCATGCATCCCCCAGTTGGCGGGTCCCCACAGTCCCTGTTCTTTATACAAGGCCTATCTCACTCCTTTGCCTTACTGGCCATGCCTTTGTGGACATTTCCATTTTAAATCTTCCCATGCCACTTTCTGCTTTCCCCATGCCCCTCTGGTCAGGCTGTTGGGTGCCCATGGGTAAAGGGGGTTGCCACCAAAGCATTATCTCCTTCACTCTCCTCTGTGATTTTTCCAGGCTCTCATTCCTTCTCCTATCTTGACTGCCTGTTATCCCAGGATTCTTGTTGCCGATTTCAGGCTTCTGGATCCTGGGGAGAGGGGAAGGGGCAGGCCGGGGTTTGGTCCTGACTGTCAGTAGAGGAGACACACATTCTCATTGGCTCCTCATGCTCCCTGGCAGAAGGTGTAGGTGGGACAAGGCTGGGCCTGCAGCAGGAGGGACGACCACCACAGCACATGTGTGTGCAGCCTCAGCAGCCCCAGGAGCCAGGATCACCCCCCACATCACGTGTCATAAAGTCCAAGCTTGCCACACCCTCTCATGGCCCTTGTCATGAAGGGCTAATCTGAGGACTTTATAGCAGAGTCTTAGGAGGAATATCTGGGGATTCGCTATGGCCAGGAATCTCTCCTTTCCCCATGTTTTTTGGAGAGCCTGCCCTCACCAGTTCAGACTGAGAGGCTCATTCCCCCCACGTAACCAGCACAGCAGAGTCAGTCCATTTGGCAGGCTTAGTGTGAGATCTTAAAGCAAGCTAAAAGAGCTATTCGAGGCGCTCGATGGTTTGGGAAAATTAATCCCCCGAGAAGTTCTTTTTGCCCAGTGGTAAAATCCAGGACTGCATGAAGAGCAGAGCCCAGGAGGGCTTCTCTCAGGCTGCAAAGTGCACGGGTGTCACCTGGGCATCTTGTTATGATGCAGACTCTGGCTCAGTGGGGCCAGGAGGGGCCTGAGACTCTGCATTTCTAACAAGCTTCTGGGGGATGCTGATGCTGCTGCTCCCTTGGCTCCGCCTTGAGTAGCAGGACTGGTCCAGAGCAGGGCTTCTCAAGCTATCTGTGGCGAAGGACTTCTAAAAAGATGTCCAATTCTGAAATGGACCAATGATTTCATTAAAAACAATGCAACAGAAATGCT
The DNA here is from genome assembly GCF_000001405.40 of Homo sapiens. NCBI lineage: Eukaryota > Metazoa > Chordata > Mammalia > Primates > Hominidae > Homo > Homo sapiens. Next base: position 96,653,817 of record NC_000010.11, on the reverse strand, counting down.
ATGCAAAATGAAATCAAAAGACATATAAATGGCCAGGCGCGGTGGTTCACGCCTGTAATCCCAGCACTTTGGGAGGCCAAGGCAGACAGATCACCTGAGGTCAGGAGTTCGAGACCAGCCTGGCCAATATGGTGAAACCCTGTCTCTACTAAACAGAGAAAAATTTGCCGGGTGTGGTGGCAGGTGTCTGTAATCTCAGCTACTAGGGAGGCTGAGGCATGAGAATCGCTTGAACCTGGGAAGGTGGAGGTTGCAGTGAGCTGAGGTCATACCACTGCACTGCAGCCTGGGTGACAGAGTGAAGCTCTGTCTCAAAAAAAAAAAAAAAAAAAAAAAAAGTGTATAAAGTATCGGCCTTAAGGTTTTTTTTGTTTGTTTTGTTTTGTGTGTGTGTGTGTTTTTTTTTTTTTTTGAGACAGAGCCTTGCCTCTGTTGCCCAGGCTGGAGTGCAGTGGTGTGATCTTGGTTCACTGCAACCTCTGCCTCCTGGGTTCAAGTGATTCTCCTGCCTCAGCCTCTTGAGTAACTGGAACTACAGGCACCCACCACCACTCCTGGCTAATTTTTGTATTTTTAGTAGAGGCGGGGTTTCACCATGTTGGCCAGGCTGGTCTCAAACTCCTTACCTTGTGATCCACCCACCTCGGCCTCCCAAAGCGTTGAGATTACAGGCGTGAGCCACCGCGCCCAGCTAAGTTTTATTATTATTATTATTGTTATTATTATTATCAGCTTCAACAGACATAAAATGACTCCATCCAATTGCTATAAATATTTACTCTTGGTTTTTGTGACTTGTCTCGTTGGGACTGGTAGCAAACAGTTCACTGCCCAGCACTGGACCACTGAGTCCACCCTGTCCCCAGAGATTCTCACTAGGTAGAGCTAGGGCAAGAGAGCTGGGGAGACCCTTGGGCCCAACACCCTACGGGGATCTGAGAGGGAGAGGGGACAATGACCGGCTTCCCGTTTCAGGCAGAAACCACTGTCTATGTTATTGTGAGATGTAAGCTGGATGACAGGGTGGCGACAGAAGCAGAGTTTTCTCCTGAGGATTCTCCCTCTGTAAGGATGGAAGCCAAGGTGGAGAATGAGTACACCATTTCAGTGAAGGCTCCCAGTAAGTAGTCCCCTGTGAATGTGATGACATAGGGCTTCATTGCTTATTTGCTATGCTGTCACCAATGCCACCAATGCCAGGTATTATCATCTTAAATATGTTTGCTACTTTGATTTTTTTTTTTTGAGACAGAGTCTCGCTCTGTCTCCCAGGCTGGAGTGCAGTGGCATGATCTCAGCTCACTGCAAGCTCCACCTCCCAGGTTCACGCCATTCTCCTGCCTCAGCCTCCCAAGTAGCTGGGACTACAGGCACCCACCACCACACCTGACTAATTTTTTGTATTTTTAGTAGAGACGGAGTTTCACCATGTTAGCCAGGATGGTCTCAATCTCCTGACCTCATGATCCACCCGCCTCGGCCTCCCAAAATGCTGGATTACAGGCGTGAGCCACGGCACCCAGCTACTTTGATATTTGTTAAAGAGTAGTCCATTGTTTTCATATGCATTTCTTTGATTACTAGTGTGGGTGAATATTTTTCCATGGTCTCTGTTGTCGCATTTCCTCTTTTGTGAATCTCTGTGGTTGGTGTTATTTTTAATTTTCTCTTGCCCCCTCAAAACCCCTTCCTGTGGTATAGCATCCCGCCCCAGGGAGAGTGCGTAGTCATGACAGCAGCTCATGACTTGCAGTGAGCCAGTTCAGCTGCCCCAATGTGGCAGAAACACAGTTTCACCTCCCATGATTTTTCCCTCCTTCTGTGACCACTGGCCTTTGTGTAAAGTGCCTTAAACCCGAATTTTCTTCCTGTTCATTGAGGCACTGGGCCTACAGTAGTGAGTAAAAAGATGAAAATTTTTTGAAAATTAAGTTGCAAACCCAATGAGGATAAATTGCTGTGGCCCAGAGCCCTGCCATGTGCTGGTTTGCTCACCTGCTACCTCCACCCTTTCCCTCACTCCCGCCCCAGCTCACCTCCAAGATCTTTCTTCCAGCCCCCAATTAGTGTCCTCACCACTCAGATGGAGTGTGTATATCCACAGCCACTTTTCCCTGGATGCTTGTTTTTCCTGGGAATTTTGATAGTGTCTTTTCTTCTGTTCAGACCTTTCATCTGGGAACGTTTCTCTGAAGATATATTCTGGAGACTTAGTGGTGTGTGAAACCGTTATCAGCTATTATACTGACATGGAAGAAATTGGGAATTTATTGTCCAATGCCGCGAATCCTGTGGAATTCATGTGTCAGGTAAGGATATTACAAGGAAACCTGAGATTTCTGGGCATGTAATTTCTGCTCATGGCTTATCAGTCTTGAATCTGCGGGATGGAAGAGAGCTGGATTTCAGATCTGACCATCTTCACTTTTGTTTTCAGGCCTTTAAAATTGTGCCCTACAACACAGAGACCCTTGATAAACTGCTAACCGAATCCCTGAAGAACAATATCCCTGCAAGCGGACTGCACCTCTTTGGAATCAACCAGCTGGAAGAAGAAGATATGATGACAAGTAAGTTGACAGTCAAACCTCAGGAAACCAACGTGGGCTGATTCTAGCCTGCTGGTTTCAGCATCCCATCAACATACGCGTTTACCTTCTGCTGTAACTCTTCTGGGTCCCTTCTCTATAACCTATCCTGTGATAAGGACTCATTCTTGACTGGTTAGCCTCATTCTTCTCAATTGCAAATCTGAATACTTTACCCCCTTCTCAAAACACATGTGGTGGCTTACGGAGGAGCAGGAAATGAGTGATTTTAAATTGGTTTGGCGTAAGCCAATGGAGCTTGTTATGATTATTCCTCATAGGGATAGCATGAGGAACAGGTAAGCTAAGTACTGTCAGGGGAGGTTCCCAGTTGCCTTCTAGATAAAATCCAAACTGCTTAACCTGTGAACAAGCCCTCATCTCTCTCCACACTCCCTCTTGTCTTTTCTATGCTTTGATCTGCAGGAGGTATGAGCTTTTTTCACCTGTCTCTTGCCACTTAGACTCATGGAAAGATAGTCCTTCCTTCCTGCCTTGGTTGCTGTTTACCTGGCTAACTTCTCTCACTTCCCTGTAGCAGCTTAGGTAGCACTTCCCTAGAAGACCTTCTCCAAACCTCCAGTAGGTTCCATTCACCTGCTTTGGCACCCCCCGACCACCAGCATGTTGGGTGCCATTGACCTAGCACTCCTCAGCTGTGTCTGTCTTCTTTGCTAGGCTGTCCGCTCAGTGAGGGCTGGAACTGCTCCTGGGTGGCTGGCTCTTTGTAGGCTCTAAACAAGTAGTTGTTTAATGAGGGAGGAGCAGCCTCTTGTGCACATGTGACATGCTGGGAGCTGAGAGAGTCACACCCCTTGCACGGGGATGATGCTTGGTGTTCTGGACAGGATGCCTATTGTAGTGTTTCTGTGGACACCACCGTTCCTTCATGCCATGGTTGCACTACACAAATGGGACCCAAGTCTCTGGTTACCTTCTGCCTACGTTCCATCCTTCTGTAGTCTAAGAGAACCATAAGGGTGAGTTTACATGACTTTCGAGGCCTTCTCCTGGGGGACTCTCTTTCGTATTGCCTCTCCCCATTTTCCTACTATGGAATGTTCTTGCAGCACTTTTGTAGATGTGACTATTCTCTATTAAGTTTGGGGCTTAGAAGAAAGTATTTCATAGCCTGACAATTTGAGATCCTGGGAATATTTTCAGACCCTTCATTCCAAGGTCATATTTGGAATAGAAGGCTGGGTTTGTCATGTTAAAAAATATACATTTGTATATAAATGTATGTCTATAAAGTTGTTGGGCTTAAAAATAAACGTTTATGAAAAAAGAGATTTGTCCCCAGCTCCGCAAACACAAACATGTCCATTTTCTTGGTTGAGTTTAACTTGCTGTATTCAGATGTCAGTAGGTGGAGGGGGTCCGTGGGGACCCAGCACCTCTCTGGAGTACTTTGCTTTTCACCAATTAGAGAGTGAACTGACGTCCTGGTGGGGCTTGTGTGCATTAAGACCAACATTCAAAATCTCTCCTAAATAGGAACCCTGCTGAATACTATCTTACTTATCCTCCCAGGTCCTTTTGAGATAGTCTGGAAGTATTTTCTGGTTGAGAACTAAAGGCAGCGGAAAGTCTAAGGAACATACCCAGGATTACTTGGTGTACTTATCATGAAATTAGGAATAAGGGCTAAGAGGATGAACTGCTTTCTTTTAATCAGCACGAAACAATAGCTTTAAGAAATACATGCTCTGAACTTTGCAGAGAAGTTCAAAACATGATTCCTATTGTACTGTGTGGCTGCTAGTTAAGCCTTTAAACAAACCCGGCACATTTTGAACTGGTACTTTTTCTCAGGATTCTCCAGTCCTGTTAGAGAAGATGGTAGGGTATTCATTATTAGATTTGCTAATTAATTAAAATGTTATGGCCGGGTATGGTGGCTCATGCCTGTAATCCCAGCACTTTGGGAGGCCGAGGCAGGTGGATCACTTGAGGTCAGGAGTATGAGACCAGCCTGGATAACATGGTGAAGCCCCATCTCTACTCAAAATACAAAAATTAGCTGGGCGTGATGCACAGCTGTAATCCTAGCTATTTGAGAGGCTGAGGCGAGAGAATCACTTGAAACTGGGAGGCAGAGGTTGCAGTGAGCCAAGATCGCGCCACTGCACTCCAGCCTGGGTGACAGAGTGAGACTCCATCTCAACAAAAAAAATTATGTCCTCTGCATCTGAGGACATGATCTTCAGTGGTGTCCTGAAGGAAGCTGTTAGATGTTAGGTCAGTCAATCAATAAGTAATGGCTGAGTGCTTTCTGTTGCCATGCTAGTCTTGGCAGCTTCATCTCCATGAACAAGGGCACCCTGTGCCTTTATTTTTATCTGCCTATTAAGTTTTCCTTGATAATTTTCAGATCAGAGGGATGAAGAGCTGCCCACCCTGTTGCATTTTGCTGCGAAGTATGGACTGAAGAACCTCACTGCCTTGTTGCTCACCTGCCCAGGAGCCCTGCAGGCGTACAGCGTGGCCAACAAGCATGGCCACTACCCCAACACCATCGCTGAGAAACACGGCTTCAGGGACCTGCGGCAGTTCATCGACGAGTATGTGGTAAGGTCAAGGCAGGAGGGGCCCAGGATTGGAAATGCACTCTGTGGTAGTATGGCTGCCCTTTCACCCAAAATACGAACAGATTTTATCTCTAGCATGTCCTCATGTACCTCTTCTGGCCATGGGCAGTATGTGTGGGCTTAAGAAATGAGGTCTGGAGTCACATGGACCTGGGTCCAAATTCCTGTACCAACACTTGTTAGCCTTGTGACGTTGGGTAAGTCACGTATCCTCTCTCAGTTTCCTAATATGCAGAAGGAAGATAATCATAGTTTGAGTCATAGAGTTCTTTTGAAGGTAAAAGGAAATCATTTCTATTAAGCACTGAGGTTCACCCTCACAGAATTTACAGAAACCTTTATAGAGTGAATCTGCTGAAGGTAGAGGCTGATCATCTCCCCCCACCTCCTCACCTGCCTCCAGGGCACCATGGTGGGATGCTCCTAGCTGCCTCACCCGCCTTCAGGCCCCGGTGAACTGTATTAGGCTTGGTTTCTTCTTCAGCAGAAACCTCAATAAAGCTGTGCACCTGGAAAGGCATCAGGGCAGCAACTCTAAGGCCCACCTCCTGCTGACAGCCTCGCTCTCTCTTTCTAACCCCCTGCCTGGGTCCCATGTTAAGACAGGCAGGTATGCCCAGTTTATCTGATCATCTGGTTTGGGGCCCTCAGCTCCTCCTCAAACATTGACTTCTGGGTCCTTCTTTGAGGCTGATCGCACCCCACGTCTACATCTTATTCCATGCCCCAATATTGCCTCTGATGCCTAGGAAGCAGCTGCTCTTCCTGATCCCAGTCCCTCGTGGTTTTCCTCCTTCTTCACAGACTCCCAGAGGGTACCTGAGAATAGCTCAGCCTCTCGCATGGGGCTGTGACCTCACAGGGAGCAATAAACACAGCCCGGTCTTGCTCTCGACCTCCAGACAGGACAGAGCCTGATATCTCCCCAGAAACTTAACTCTCTGCTCTGTGTTGGAAAATCTACAAGACAGTGATTCACGGAGGCACAGAGGGGACTTCCCAGTGTTTACAGGTGTATAAGTGTTTTGAATAAAATGGTGTGAGTCCTTTTTTTTGGGCGTCACTGACACAAATAAGTCTAAAAGGTGCTCTCAGTCTGGGTGTATTTACTCAGTTTTTTCTTAAAGTCACAAATGTACCAAATGTAGCATTTCATTTCCATGCCAATAGTTTTTATTAATAACCTACTGTGTTCATAGTAGTAACTAGTATTTATTGAATGTATTTGATTTGAAAATGTATTATCTCATTTAATCCCCACCACAATCCTTTGAAGTTGACAGTATTGCAAGCCTTACTTTACAAAAGAGGAAAACGGCTTAGAAAGGCAAAGTCACTGTGCTTAGGGCCACAGACTATTCAGGGCAGAGACAGGATTTGCACCTAGTTTGATACTGAAGCCCGGGCTTGTTATCCTGTTGTATTTAACTGGGATGTTTAAAGATGCACTTTCATTTTGTGCCGAAGTCAATCTAGGTCATACCATCTTTGCTTTCTCCCTGTGGTCACCTTCAACCGATGCAGCTTCAGCATTGTGACCAAAAGACTGTCCCTTTGTGTTGCTTATGGCCTCTTAGAACTGTCCCATTTCCTTTTTTCACCACATCAAAACCAAAGGTGAGATCTGGAATCTCCAACATTTCACAGCTGTCATCTGTTTTATTGGGTCTCGTGAGGAAACTAACGAAGTGTCAATAAAAGATTAGCTATCTTAGGGTAGTGGTGGTGAAAATGAGGATTTTTGTGGGTTGATGCTGAAATAAGGATTGTGAAACACCAAAGTTTCTTACCAGGAAAAGTTGTGCAGAGGTTTCAGGGAAGTCACCTCTCTGGCTTCACAATCACATGGAGGCAGGATGGCAGTGGGAGGCAGGGGAGAACCTTTCTGATGTCAGGACACTTTATCCAAGATCATCTCTCCTTTTGGGCACATAGGACATAAAATCGAGGCTGGAACCCCTGGAAACTGTCAGGGTTCCTGACAGTTTGGAGGAGACTGCTGAAGGAACAGGGGCTAGTGTGCCAAGCTGCGGAGTGACCTCTGACTACACACAGGGCGAGAACACCTTAGCTGCATTCCTGTTCAGCTCATTTGAATTTCTGCGTGGCTAGTCAGTAAAGGTCACACCTTCTTGTGTCATTTTTTTCCCTTTGGAGGAACCACTAGGGTGTAGAAGAAGTATCAGAAATCAGGATTGCAAGCCCTTGAGTAAGATACTAGATTTTTGTGAGCTTTGTTTTTCTCATCTGTAAACTAGAGAATATTATACCTTTCTCAAGCAGTAGTGGAATGGATTACAGGAGATAGGGTATAGGCAAATACCTAGCATTGTACCTGACATTTAAAAGGTGCTCACGGGAAAGTATTTTTTTTTTTTTTAGACAGAGTCTTGCTCTGTTGCCCAGGCTGTAGTGCACTGGTGCGATCTTGGCTCACTGCAACCTCCACCTCCTGGATTCAAGCAATTCTCATGCCTCGGCCTCCCGAGTAGCTGGGATTCCAAGCGTGCTCCACCATGCCCGGCTAATTTTTGTATTTTTAGTAGAGATGAGGTTTTGCCATTTTGGCCAGGCTGGTCTCGAACTCCTGACCTCAGGTGATCCACTTGCCTTGGCCTCCTAAAGTCCTGGGATTACAGGTGTGAGCCACCACATCAGGCCATGGGAAAGTAATTTTTAATTTGTATCCTCTGGTCAGTGGACATTTAACGAGTATTTCCTGAGTGCCTAACTCTGTGCTTAGTGTTGTAGGAAGATACGAAGATTAAAACAAAAACGTGAAATAAACTAAAAAAGGTGGGAAGCCTGGCCTCAAGGAGCGTTCAGTCAGGTGGGAAAATACAAATACACACAACCAGTTGTAATCCTGACTCATGGGAGCCTTTACTTTGCTGGCCACAAGTGCCTTCGGGGGCCAAGTTCCACCCGGAAAGTCAGGCTGCCTCAGGGCGCCGTGGGCCTCATCTTCTCTTTCAGGAAACGGTGGACATGCTCAAGAGTCACATTAAAGAGGAACTGATGCACGGGGAGGAGGCTGATGCTGTGTACGAGTCCATGGCCCACCTTTCCACAGACCTGCTTATGAAATGCTCGCTCAACCCCGGCTGTGACGAGGATCTCTATGAGTCCATGGCTGCCTTTGTCCCAGCTGCCACTGAAGACCTCTGTAAGTAGCACAACCCAGTTCTGCTTCCACCTTTCTGCTGAGAAACAGCTTTTTTCATTCCGGATGAAGATGGCGCGGGGCAGTCCCTATGTACCCTCACTTCACCCCAGAGAGATGAAGGTCCTGTTTTACACAAAGCTAGGGCTGGAGTCATGTGCTGTGACAAGCAGAATTCTTCTCCAAACTTCCTCTGTTATGACTGCTGGGAGAGTTTAAGCAAATATCTGGAAGTCAGAATTGATGAACTCATTGCCTCGTGATCTGAGAGGCCAAATCAGTGGCTCTCAGCCCTCAGTCTCCAGGGGTCCTTTTTATAACAAACATTTTCCTACTCTGACATGAGGTTTATGTATTATATAACCTACCTACATATAAAATTCTCAGAAATCAAATATACTGCCCTAATTGAAATAGGAAAGAGAAATTAAAGAAGAGGACATACTCAAACATGCCTGCACCAGAAGTCATGACAAAAGAGTCAGATGCAGACACACTCAGAATCACGGTCAACGGCTTCAAACATTGACTGACACGTTTGCAGTCTTGGTGGCTCAAATGATGGGAATAATGTTGGCATTGGCACCTGGATTTTCCTAGATGGTGAACAACTCTTTATGATTTCCTTTCCATTTTCATAGAAATTGAATTTCTAAAAAATTAAGTGTTTGCAAAAATAAGATGTGTTTATATGTGAAACAGTTTAGGTTCTAGGCTCAGAAAATAATAAGCAGATTTTTTGGGGGGCGAGGGGTAATTTGATTTTATTGCATTAATATATAGTAAGCTTATTTTCAAAATATCATTCTTCAGGATCATGATTTTTCTTATAAACTGTCTAACAAACTTTGCCCACTTTTTATTATCTTGTTTTTTCCAATGCAAAAGTAATGCCTTTTGACAAAAGTGAATGAGCAGTAGAAGTTCCCCTCCAACACCTAAACTCAAAACAAAATAGGAATCTTTAACTGAGTTGAGAGAAGTTCTGTGACTTGTGACTCCCAGCCAATATGGCATTGGTAATAATTAGTAATAAAATGAGGTATATTTGTCTATATTTTTGCTTATATCTGCTGACATTAAATTTAAAAATACAGACATACTTGTACATATACACAGATATGTAGAAATATACACATAGGTATAAATATGTATCATACGTACTTTTTAAAACTTATGTGTATGTCTAGGGAAATATTTGAAAGTCACGAGGGACATGAAACATCTCTTCATTGGGCAGGGCTGTCCCACACATAGCAGGATGTCTAGGGTCCTTCCCCCTTTTCCTAAATGCCATCTCCTTGGTGACCACCCAAAATACCCTCATAGATTTTCCAAACGCCCCCAGGGGGCAGTGCCACCACCCTTGAGAACCGCTGATCTGGGTAACAGTGGATCTGATCTCCACGCACGTACTGGAGTTGAAGCAGGAGACCCACACAGCAGGCCCTCTAAGAGGCTTATTCATGTGTTACCATCATTCGCTACCAAATGCTAAGCATGCGGAGGCACCACCGGAGACTTAGCCCTCCTTCCCTCTGGTTTTCATTAATAGATTCAAGGAAGAGAAGTATCAACCAAGGTATCAGCATTATGGATGGGGGAATTTCTGGAATGGGCTATATTGAGTGTTACAAGCCTTCAGCCTGAAAAGAAGACAGTAGGGCCCTGGGCCCACAGGGAGGCGGGCCTGACTTTCCCATCCATGAACTCATGGAAGAGCAGGCACCAACAGGATGCCTTGGAGAGAAGGCATAGGTTGGTCAGAGGGCCAGAGGCAGTCTCTGATGCCAGCAGGCCTTTGACACTGACCCCAGAACCTGCAAGATGTGGTCCAGAGGTTGTTAGGTGTTTGCCATTCAGATTGGGTGCTCCTTTAGGGGAAAGAGCAATAAAAGCTCCTCTCCGTCACCTAACTGGGAGGCTTAGAAGTGCTGGTGGAAGCTCTTCCAGAATGAGCTGTGCCTTGGCATGGATGTGGGGAGAGAAAGCACCATCGCTACCATCCACACCCTTGATTTCGGACCTGAAGTCCGAAAGCTACCCCACTAAGATGCTTTTCTTACCTGCACTTTACAAATGGGGAAACAGAGGCACAGAGGGGCTGAACATTCCCAAAGTGTCACAGCCAATCAGTGATAGAGCCCAGATTTGAATCCAGATTTCTCTGTCATTAGGACCATATTCTGCAGAAATTGTTATCCAACACCATGCATTTTAGTCGTGGTTCCTTTTGGAAAAACCATCTAGCCTCTATAGCCTTTCTTCCCCTATCTGCAGCTCCAGATATTGGATAACAAAGCAGCCTCTGGCGCCCCCTAGCCTTGCCCATCATCCTATCCATATACCTAATAAGCATGTCTGGAGCATCTAGTACATTTCGGTTACTGATGTCTTCTGGGTGTTGGAGATACAGGCGGGGAAGTGGGTAGGACCCAGTCCTTTCCATTGTGGAATAGGGACTCACTCACAAAAGAACACTTGGAGAACCACCAGTACCCACTTGAATCTGGAGACTGCATCATCCTTTCTGCCCTGTGTCTTTGCTATGAAACTACTGGACAATTAAAGAATGCCCTACTTTATTGGCAGTTTAGTGTTGACAGAGCCTTACACTTGCTGTCCCCCTGGATGTTCTAACACATGCCATGCTCCCACCACAGCACTGGAAACCTGCAGGGAATGCCACAGGTGTCTCTTCCATTATTCCTGGTCTGCTGGGCCCCTCACAGCAGGATCAGTGAGGTTTACCAGGGCTTCCCAAGGCAGCAGTGTGCTCTGGAGCTAGCCTGGTTTGTAGCCAACTGGCAACTTGTGAAGTCACCCGGGCCAGGGGGCTTCTGGATGCCGTGTAGCTGGAAGGAGGCTACCAGCGGGGAGGCAGCCTGTCAAATTTGGCTACTTTTTGCATGGGAAAAGGAAACCCACCACATTTTTCTTTCTTTTCTTTTTCTTTTCTTTTCCTTCCTTTTTTTCTTTCTTTCTACCTTTCTTTCTTTCTTTCTTTCTCTTTTTTTCTTTCTTTCTTTCTGTTTTTTTTTTTTTTTTTTGAGACAACATCTGGCTCTATTGCTCAGGCTGGAGTGCAGTGGCACAATCTCAGCTCCCTGTAACCACTGCCTCCCCAGCTCAAGCCATCCTCCTACCTAAGCCTCCCGAGTTACTGGGACTACAGGTGTGAACCACCATGCCCAGTTAATTTTTTGTATTTTTCATATAGATGGGATTTTGTGATGTTACCCAGGCTGGTCTTGAACTTGTGAGCTCAAGCAATCCGTCTGCTTTGGCCTCCCAAAGTGCCGGGATTACAGGCGTGAGGCACCATGCCCGGCCCACATTTTTCATTTCCCCAGTTATGTGAACTCTGAATTTTCTAACTCTAGACATGGTTTGGTTTGTGTTTCTGTCTCTGTGGCGTCAAGTTTAACCTTGAGAATGATCGCTTACCTCCTGGCTCAGAAGCAGCAGCAACTTGGACCTGGGGAGGAATAATTTATTTTACTAACAGTGGCTCTGTAGGTGACAAGGCAGCTTAATTCATAAAGAAGTAGGATAAAGGACAAACTGCTAAATCTAAAATGCGTATTTGCAGCACCGCCCAGCAGAATAATAACTTGGAACATCTGGCAGCCCTTTAAAAGTCCATGGACTGCCTGTATCCCCGTGATCTCATCTGACCATCCCAGGGTTTAGTGAATAGGATGATCTCCATTTCACAGGAAAGAAAACTAAGGCTCCAAGATTTAGTAACTTACTTAAGTCCCATCAAGGGAGGACTGGATCAGGAATCTGTGTCTTCGAATTCCCAGGAGGCAAATCTGTCTGCTGTCCCACTGGAATGTAGGGCTCTCCTGGCCTGCCCTTCTAGGGTCTGCATTTGTCAGCCCTGAGAGGGACACTTACACAGGAGCTATTTCTAAATGTCTAGATTGCCACGTTTATCAGTGCCCCACCATTGACTGTGGTAACCCTGGAGGCTGAAAATAACCATATTAAGGAAATTAGGCTGTGTTCATTCACTCACTTGCTCACTCACTGATTCGCTCACAGGACAAACAGGCTTTAGGGTGGCAGGCTTTAGGCCACTTTCAGATCACTGCTTTGGAGATCACCTAACTGTTGTTGGGACAAATCTTTCTGACTTGAGTTTGGGAAAGGGGTGGTAATGAGGTTGCTTCTCCAAAGAGAATCCAAGGCAACCACCTGAGTTGGAAGCTTATAGGGGAAGCTCCCAGTGTTAATTGAAATGGGGCTGGAGAGAGGTGTTGGGTTCTGACCCTGAGATTGTACAATTCTGCTCCAATCTCTTCTTCCCCTGAACTTGCTTGCGTGGGTGTATACATGCACACGCACACACACACACACACACACACACACACACACACACACGGCACACTCACAAGTCTTTAGTTTAGATATGCTGCCACCAGGTGGTAACTACGTGTCTTGTTATCAAACCTTCAGCTTTGCTCCCAATTCTCTTAAGAATTTTTTGATCAAGGCCCCACAGATCAGCCGGGCATGGTGGCTCATGCCCGTAATCCCAGCATTTAGGGAGGCTGAGGCGGGAGGATTGCTTGAACCCAGGAGTTCGAGACCAGCCTGGGCAGCATAGCAAGATCTCGTTTCTACAAAAATTTTTTTTTTTAAATTAGCAGGGCGTGGTGGCACATGCCTGTGGTCCCAGCTACTCAGGAGGCTCTGGTGGGAGAATCGCTTGAGCCTGGGCGTTCAAGGCTGCAGTGAGCCATGACTGCACCACTGCATTCCAGCCTGGTAACAAAATGGGACCCTGTCTCAAAAATTAAAAAAAAAAGACCCCACATATTTAAAGCATCAACCTTCACACCTTATTATGTAAGAGATAAAATGTCTTTATTAAGGACAAGCTTATGCAAACATTAAATAAAACTCAAGGCAAATGTCCGTGGGTGTTTTCACTATCTCCTCATCTTTTTCTCACTTAGTTCTTTGTCCCCTGCCCTTACCTTGGAGAATGATATGGTAGTCCTGGTGGTCCCTGGACCTAGGTAATTAATTTTGTGTTGAAAGCTTGCCCAGTGACTGGTCACTTCTCTGAGGCTCTGGGTAGAATGGCCTTGGGGGGGCAGTTCTGGGAGGCCCTTGTCCAGTCTGTTTCCAGGGTAATCTGCTTTGTGGGTTGTAGCTTTGCTTCAATACCCGAGAGCCTCATTTTTCTTCCATAAAGCGAAAGGAGCGAAAAGAGAAAGGCATTATCATCTTGCCGTTAGAAACTGCAGACTCACTAATCAATCCCAGAGGACTGTTCTGCTTCATGTTACCCCTACATTGAACTTTTCTTCTGAACCCCTGATCCCTACCTCATGGTTCTGTAGCTCAAGTGTTTATGTAGTGGAGAGCTGACTTAGCTCTAGCTAACTTGCCAGCTTCCCTTAGCAACCTCCCTGGTAACTGGCATCTTTGTAACAGATCATTTCCAGCAGTGTTTTCTTTACCTGAGCTCTCTGATTACAGCCCCTCTCTGCAAGCTGGGTTCCATCTGAGCTGGGGGCACACTTGGGGACTGTAAAGGACCTCACAGCCCAGCCCTGTAGGTCTGAAACCAACTGAAGGACAATTTGTATGCAAAATGACTACATTACTGGTTTGCTTATGAAACATACTGTCTCTCCTATCTGCATCCTTTTCTCTCAGGAGCCTCCCTCCCTGTGACTGCTGAGGCTCTGTCATCCTCCTGCCATCCCTTTTGGCAAGATTCTGGCGAGTAGAGCCAAGAGATGCTTCAAGGCCCGTGGGCCTGGGTGCACAGCATGAGTTCTTACCTGCAAGGACAGAACCCACTGGGGAGCAGGGAGATGAGCTCAGTGTACCTCTTGACTTCCTGTTGCTTTTTGCTCCTCCATAAATACAAGAACTATGTTGGGGACATAGGGACTTAGTGAAAGCACACTGGATTGAATGTTTTAACATTTAAAGATAAAATCCCCATCGACAGCAGCAACCTTGCTCCCCTCTGAACCTGCACAGCTTGCAGGTCACGCTTACCTTGGGACACTGCACACACATCCCCTTGGGCTCTAGTTATATACGTGCTTCTCTGGTTACCCTCTCCTGGCCTCGATAGGAAGCATGTCTTACAGCTTTGTATCATCCACAGTGCCTATCCCAGTGCTGTACACAATAGGTGTTCAGCGATTTCTTGAATTTGAGCTACCAGAAAATAAGATGTAATTCTCGACTTTGTGGGTGGAATAGTGTGTCAGTATTCCAGTGTAAAGACCTCACCCACCTGATAGGTGGTACTGAGACATCTGTTAGGTGTCCCCGAGTGTGAGACATCTCAGGGTGGCAGTAACTCCATTGGTCACTACAAGCTGCCTTTTCTTTCATGTTCCCTTGCATTTGACTCTTCCTTCTGCCTAAATTGCCTTTCTCTTTTCTCGGCTTGAGAAATGCCCAGATTCCTTCACAAAGCCCAAATGCCTTCATATTCATGTGTTCATTTGTTTTTCCTTTATTAGTTCGTTCATTCATTCATTCAAAAATATTTTTCAAACCTCTCATGTGTTTAAATCACGCTGTGCCAGGTGATGATGAGTCAGTAAACAAGCTGGCATGAAACTTGCCTTTCAAAGCTTACATTCTAGTGAGAGAGCTGAATATTAAACAAAAACACCACATAACTGAATATATAACCACAAACTGTGACAGTGCTGTGGAGGAAAAAGACACTGCTTTGAGAATGCAGGTGGGACTGTGTTCAGGTGGGCTACCGCGTGCGACTCACTGCACAGCACCACAAATGCATCCCATAGACTCACTCCTGCATGGCAGAGGGTCTTTGTGCTTGCCAGGGGTACTGTACTGAGGCATTTGTCTGCATAAGAAAACCACAGAACTTGTTTGCAGCTTCTCCTAAACTATTTATCCGCAGCCCCTTCTTCATTGCCAATGCCAGCCATCACTCATTAGCCCTCTAATTTTACACTGCTATTCGTGTGTGTGTGTGTGTGTGTGTGTGTCTGTGTGTGTGTGTGTCTGTGTGTGTGTCTTAGTCCGTTTTCTGTTGCCATAACAGAACACCATGGACTGGGTAATTTGTAAAGAAAATAAGTTTATTTAGCTCACAATTCTGGAGGCTGGGAAGTCCAAGAGCATGGTGCTGGCATCTTGTGCATCATAACATTGTGGAAAGTATTCACATGGCAAAAGGGCAAGAGCAGGAGAGCCAGAGAGGTCTTGCTATTACAACAAAGCTACTCCTGTGATAACAAACCCACTCTCACGATAGCAACATTAATCCATTCATGAGGATGGAGGGATTAAGTTTCCAACACATGAAATTTTGGGGCACACATTCAAATCATGGCACTCTGCTCCTAGCCTCCAAAATTTGTGTCCTTCTCACATGCAAAATACATTCATTCCATTCCAGTTGCCCCAAAACTCTTAACTCGTTCCAGCATCAACTCAGAAGTCCAAAGTACGTAGCCCAAAGGCCTCAGAACCAGGAAGCTGATTGTGTAACTCTCAGTCTGAGCTCGAAAGCCTGAGAACCCAAGGGGAGAGCAGCTAGTGTATGTCCTGTAGTCCAAAGGGTGGAGAGCCTGGAGTTTGATGTCCAACCAGGAGTAGAAGAGTGTATGGCAGTGTATGCCAGCCCCTGGGGAGAGACCAGTTTGCCTTTTGTCTGTTTTTGCTCTATTAGGGCCCTCAGCTGATTAGATGATGCCTGCCTACCTTGAGGGTGGATCTTTTCTACTCGCATGCTCCTTTTCTGGAAACACCCTCACTCTAGGTATTTCCTAATATAGTCAATTTGGCACCCAAAATTGACCATCATAGGCCACGCATGGTGGCTCATGCCTGTAATCTCAGCACTTTGGGAGGCCAAAGTGGGCAGATCGCTTGAGTATAGTAGTTCAAGATCAGCCTGGGCAACATGGCGAAAACCCACTTCTAAAAAATTTTTTTTAAATTAGCCAGGCATGGTGGTGCATGCCTGTAGTTAAGGAGGCTCAGGTGGGAGGATCGCCTGGGAAATCAAGGCTGCAGTGGGCCGTGATTGCACCACTGCACTCCAGCCTGGGTGACAGAGTGGGACCCTGAATCAAAAAATAAAATAACTATCACAGAGTGTGTGTGTGTGTGTGTGTGTGTGTGTGTGTGTGTGTGTGTGATTGTATATCTCTCCCACATCTTCCTCTCCCTCTTTCTTCCATCCCATTAATTCTTTAGGGTACAGAAAAGCTAGACTTTCTTACTGACATGGTCAGTCAAACCATTCTACCTGGAGGCAAACTGACCCATTGTGTTCCAGGTTCTCTTCAAATGTTTGGCTACGATGCTCCTTGCTCTAAGGCTCTCTTTTTGGCCACAAAAGATTCTTGCTGGAGAAAAAAATTCTTTTGGCCTACTTTCAGGGTTTGAAAGCCTTTCTAGAAGAATAGTCTTTCAGTAGCTGACATTTCACTGTGTTATATACTCACTTGGTTTTCTATTAAATTAACAGCATATAATCTGGATGGAGTTTCCACTGCAGCTAAGTGGTCTGTGTCCCAGGAGGAGTATCATATGGGTGTCTTTGAGAATTCACTATTGCTGTTGATTCATTCTTTAATTAAGTGCCTGCCTGGGTGTTCTCTCACTGTTCAAGCTTCTTGCATTCCAGGAGTGGGTTCTTTCTGGCTGACTCCTCAAGTACAGTGCAGTGTGACTCTATAGCTGGCTTTTCCAGAAGGAGGCTGTGGCCCCAGAGTCTCCTTATCATTGTTGTTGTTTTTCTTTGCTGAAATGAAAGAACTTTGCACTTTCTCCTCAGACCGGCAGGTTTCAGTACATGTTGGTTTATTTTTAATTTGCAAGTCATGAAGTTTAAGTGCTTGGGATCTGAAGTACAAGCCCTGAGCATCCAGGAATGCAGGGATTTGTTCTGATTTCCCTCCCAAAATGCTCTTTGTCTAGAAACAGACTCCCTTCACTTAACAGAGTTTTCTGTGTAGTTCACTGTATGCCCGGGTTATGTGTACATGTGGGGTTGTCATATTTAGAGCCTGAGAGGGTTTTATCACTCATTAACTCCAGGTAACCAGGTACCTTTTAAAAAAGTGTTATTACAAAGATAATATGTGCTACTACCAGGACTTAGTGCCTAATTAGGTATGGAAAAGAGCATTTTAAAAATAATTTCACATGCCAAGGCCAGTTGGCCAGTATTTTTTTCTTTTATAATTTTTTTTAATTTTTGTATTATTTTATTTATTTATTTATTTTTTCTGAGACGGAGTCTTGCTCTGTCACCCAGACTAGAGTGCAGTGGCACAATCTTGGCTCACTGCAACCTCTGCCTCCCGGGTTCAAGCAGTTTTCCTGCCTATCCTCTCTTTAGCTGAGATTACTGGTGCACGCCACCACGCCTGGCTAATTTTGTTGTTGTTGTTGTTTGTTTTTAGTAGAGACGGGGTTTTACCATGTTGGCCAGGCTGGTCTCAAACTCCTGACCTCATGATCCACCCCCCTCGGCCTCCCAAAGTGCTGGGATTACAGGCGTGAGCCACCGTGCCCGGCCTAGTTTTCTTTTTCTTTTTTTGAGATGGAGTCTCGCTCTGTTGCCCAGGCTGGAGTGCCGTCGTGCAATCTCAGCTCACTGCAACCTCTGTCTCCTGGGTTCAAGCAATTCTCCTGCCTCAGCCTCCCAAGTGGCTGGGACCACAGGCGCCCACCACCACACCCAGCTAATTTTTGTATTTTTAGTAGAAATGGGGTTTTGCCATGTTGGCCAGGCTAGTCTTGAACTCCTGACGTCAGGTGATCCTCCTGTCTTGGCCTCCCAAAGTGCTGGGATTACAGACATGAGTCAGCGCACCTGTAATAAATACTGGCCCCAGTTGGCCAGTATTGAGTGCCTGGGTGCTGTGTTGAAAAGGACAGAAAGAATGCTATGATTGGTAGTGATGTTTGCCACGAAAATGGAATAGGGGCACGGAGGCCCATGTATGGCATCTGCTGTTCCTGGTCTACAAAGATATTTATGTTCAACTAAAGATTTTTAAAAATCATTTTCTTTATAATATAAATGGAAAAATCATTTTTGGGTAACTTCTTTTAAGGCAGTGCACATCTAGAGACTCAATAATGTCTATATCAGAACAAGGCTACCCAGTTTGTGTGTAAACATGATGGACTCACTTGAGTGTGCCCTAATTTCTGTCCTCTCTTTCCTTCACTGGCCCAGTATGGGAAGGAAATTCATGGCAAGCTGACTGTGCCTGATGCTTGGGTCCCTCTTGGGAGGCAGAATAATGCCCCTGAATCTGTATGTATGCTAGGTTACATGGCAAAGGAGAATTAAGATTACAGATGGAATCAAGGTTGCTAATCAGCTGACTTCAAGATATGGAGAAAATCCTGGATCACCTTGGTGAGCCCAATATAATCAAAAAGGTCCTTAAAAGTGGAAGAGGGCGTCAGAAAACAGACCAGAGAGACGGCATCAGTGGGAGGACTCAGTTCAGCTAAGCTTTCTGCCCAATATTGCTAGGCTTGAAGATGGCAGAAGACGGCCTAGTGCTAAGGAGTGCAGGTGGCCTCTAGAGTCTGGAAAGGACAAGGAGACAGATCCTCCTCTATAGCTTCCAGAAAGGAATGCAGCCCTGACAAAACCTTGACTTTGACCCAGTGAGACCTATTTCAGACTTCTGAGCCACAGAACTCTAAGATAACAAATTTAAGTTGTTTTAAATGGTAATTTGTCATAGCAGCCACAGAAAACTAATATACCAACTAAGTTGCCTCAATATAATAATAATGATACCCATGAAAATGTAGTGCCTGGCACTGTTAGTAAGCATTTTGTAAGCATTGTCTCCTGTGGCCCCAATGATCATCATATGAGGTAGGTACTGTTACTTATCCTCACTTTACAGATGGAGATATAGAAACTTAGTGATGTCAAGTGACTTGCCCAAGGACACAGAGCTAGTAAGAGTCAGAGCCAGGGCTCGGACCCAGGTCTCCAAGATATCAAAGTCCATGCTTCTGATCGTGATGCCGACCTGCACTGGTTGCTCAGTGGCCATCACCTGGGTCTCTATTAATTGCCTGGTTTCAGCTGCTGCCTTTCTCTGACTTAAGTTTGTTCCCTGCATGCAGTCTGTTCAATTGACTCTAGCCCTTGTCCGTACCTTTACTCCTGACTTCGGGTCTTCCCCTGTGTCTGGAGACCACCCCCTCTCTCCTCCCTGCACCTTTGCCCCCATCATGTTCTTCCAGCCGTGCCTCGGATCGTCTGGCTTTAGGCTCTGTCCTGAAGGTTGGCCTCTCGCTATGGTCCTGGTGGCACGGAGTGGTGCCAGCAGGGGTGAAAGAGCTGTTGGAATTGCCCCTTGGTGTTCACTTTTGGGCCACCAATAAAGAGTGTGATAGGTGTCAGGGAAGTGTAAGGCAAATGGGCATGGGAGCTCCAAGTCTGGTCTGGACCACAGTGGCAGACCCTTCACCAAGGAGGGAAGAAGCCTGCTGGCTCTATCAAGCCAGTACTTAGTGTCCAGAAGCCATGATAAAGAAAATGCACCTGGCTAGCCTTGTCTGTGAGTCAGATTTCCATAAATAACTCTATTGTAAAGAATTGATGTTTGTTGTCTGAAGATTCCTCCCTTACTTTAGGTATATTCAAATATAAATATATTGAGTAGGCATAGTTTTTACTAGGCTAAATATAATAATGAAGTATTTGAGAATATGTGTAGAAATTCAAATATTACAATGAACTCATAAGCATTCATTACTTTGAAGGCAGAAAACTTGGGTTCAGACAAATAAAGGTCCTGTTTAAAGAAGTGTAAATTGAATCCTCTTTTTTGAATTGTTCTCTGTTTAGGACATTAGCCTGGGTATAGAATTTAACAATAAAAATAATAATAATAGTAATAATAGTAGCTAGCATTCCTTCAGCACTTCCTATGTGCTAGATACTGTGCTAAGCACTTGGCAACCTCCTAATTTAATACTCATGACAAACCTGGGAGATACGTACTATTACTATCACCATTTTACAGACAAGAAGAGAGAGAAGCTGAGAGGATTTTAAAAACTTGGCCCAAGATAATTATGGGCAAAGAGAAAATATAATAGCTATAATTTCCCTTTCTGCATAAGATTTTGACCTTCAGTTGACTTCCTAGCTCTGTTACCCCGGTAACCTGGTAAGAGCCAAATGTCAACTATGTTTCCAGGCAACATTGCCTACAATAAAAATGGCTCCTGATTGGTAAATTGCATCTGGAACTGGGAGGATCTGTACAGGAACTAGAAATACTTGAAAGGGACAGCATTCTTTGGGCTTTCCTGAGGGCATTGACTCTGGCATACCTCTCATGGTGACCCTGGAAGCTCCGCCTCTGGAGTTGCTATGAGAGAAATTGCTCTTGTAGGACATGAGGTTTTTCACCAGCGTGGCCTGCTATGGATCTTGTCTCTTTGCATCTGAGTTGCTGATCAGATGCAAGGACTGGCTCAAAGGAAGACCAGCTCTCTTCACTGCCCTGCTAGCTTGTGTCCTTTATCTTTGTGAGTGGACTGGTGCCAAGCATGTCCCAGGGTCATCTTGTGAGTCTGAATGTTCGATTGAACCTAAAAATACTGGTTGGTGTTGGACTGGTGGATGTGTAGTCAATACAGCCAGAAGTGGGAAAAACACAATTGGAACCTATGCATTGCGATCCTAATGCCCACGCTTCTAATCATCCTGTGAGACACTCTCAGGGAGGCTCAAGGAGGCCAAAGAACTCTACCAAGTCACAGAGCTGATATTTAGCCACCTACATTGTTGCTTCCAAAATCTTGCTCTTAACCACCAGTTAAGGTGTGACTGTAAAGTAAAAATATTTGTTTTTCACAAGTGGTTCATTTAGCACCATCTCGATCATTGCATCCACACACATGTGCTCCACAGTGTCTGTGGAAGGTACTTAGCTTGATAGTGTAGGCAGACAGAAAGGAGGATCATGGGGTCATCCTCAGGAGCTATGATTATTTAGTTTTGCTATAGTGGTTCCTCCTCTCCTTTTTGTAAAAAAAAAAAAAAAATTATTTTGAAATACTTTTAGAGAGAAAAGTTGCAAAAACATCAGAGTTCTTACATACCTTTCACTCAGGCTCCCGTAGTATTAACATCTTACATAACCATAGTACAATTACCAAAGGCAGGGAATTACACTGGCACAATACTTCTAACTAAATTATAGACCTTGTTCAAATTTCTCTAGTTGTGCCACTGATACTCTTTTTCTGTTCCGTGCTCCTTTCTAGGATCTTACAATGCATTTAGTTATTTCTTCTCAGTCTCCTTCGGTTTGCAGCAGTTCCTCAGTCTTTCCTTGTCTCGATACTTTTGAAGAGCACTGATCAGTTATTTTGTAGAATGCTCTTCAGTTTGAGTTTGTCTGATGTTTTCTATAATTGGGCTGAGGTTATGAATTTTTGTCAAGAATGCCATAGAAATGATGCCCTTCTTGGTGGAAGGAGTCATGATGTTCTTAAGTCTCATTACTGGTGCTCATTCTTTTCTGTTTTATTTTATTTTGTTTTATTTTTGTTTTGTTTTGTTTTTTGAGACAGAGTCTTGCTCTGTCACCCAGGCTGGAGTGTAGTAGTGTTAATCCCAGCTCACTGCAGCCTCCGCCTCCTGGGTTCAAGCTGTTCTCCTGCCTCAGCCTCCTGAGTAGCTGGGAGTACAGGTGCGCTCCACCATGCCCAGCTAATTTTTGTATTTTAGTAGAGATGGGGTTTTGCCATGAGGCTGGTCTCAAAACTCCTGACCTCAAGCAATCCACCCGCCTTGGCCTCCCAAATTGCTGGGATTACAGGCATGAGCCACTGCACCTGGCTTGTTCTTTTCTCTTTTTAAGTTCTTTCTTTAACTCCTCCCCAAATGAGCACATTAGGAAAGGGGTTATAGTACCCAAAGTGGAAGTCTGCATCCATATATATGAGCATGCCAGGCCCAGCCAGGACTGCTCTTCCTTCTACTATTTTCCTCCACATTTTATTTCCCTAAATTCTCTTTATAGCTCCTTCAGTTTTGCACCTACCTCTCCGACATGCAAATCAACTCTCTCAAATTGAACGTTGTTAGTGAAAATAGCTGGACCATTGCATGAGGCTTTTACCACTCTGTCAACAGGGTTGACAGATTGTGTGAGGTTTGCACTCTGATATTATCAGCCTGGGACATTTGGTGATTAGTGATTAAAATGGTCCTGAGGTTGCTATGCCCTGGAGAAGGTTCTTGGAGATGCTGGGGCCTGAGACAGGTATGGTTTTCTAGAGGGTTCAGCACTGGGCAGTATAAAGCTGGACCACAGGGCTGTGGAGTTTCTCCCTCCCCTCATCTTTAGGGGTGTCTGACCCGAGCATGTCTTCCCTTGGGGGTAAGTTCCTTGGTGCTTCATTGTTGGGTTAATGATGAGTTTCAAACTGAAGTTTCAAAAATTAACTGGGCCCAAGGTCAGGCAGGTGGGAGTGGAGATTGGGGTAAGAATTGGGAAGAAGGAAGGCAGTACAGAGTCTTGGTCAGGTAGAAGAGGGTCCTGCTCTTAGCAGGGCACACACCTGTAGAATATGTGTTCCTTCCCATCTTTCTTTTCTTTTTTTGAGACAGGGTTTCACTGTGTCACCCAGGCTGCAGTGCGGTGGCGTGATCCTAACTCACTGCAGCCAGATCTCTTGGGCTCAAGCAATTCTCCCACCCCAGCCTCCTGAATAGATGGGGCTATAGGCCTGCACCACCATGCCCAGCCAATTTTTTTTTCTTTTTTTTTTTAATAGAGACAGGGTTTCTGTGTGTTGTCCAGGCTGGTCTTGAACTTCTGGGCTCAAGCGATCTTCCTGCCTCAGCCTTCCAAAGTGCTGGGATTACAGGTGTGATACCCTGTGCCCGGCCTCCAGTTTTCTAACTCCATGAGGAAAATGTTCCGTGAAACACAATTAAGCAAATTAAACTGAAAGTCTCATATAAGTAGAATTTTTCTGGTCTTGAATTTTTAAAGAATGAATTAGGCGTGAGTTCTTATCAGAATATGTTTAAAATAATGAATGCATCTCTAGGTATGCTTCAGGATTAGTACAATTACCCTAAACTTTCTAGTCTGTTATGGAATTCAGTGGTGACAAGAACAGGCGGGCGGGATTCATTTACTGGTTCCTCATTTGGAATCGTAGTGCCCTGAACTGGAGGACATCAAGGTACATTATATTTATGTAACGCGTCCACTATGCCAGGAGACATAAACTGAAGAAGTAGAAATAAGGAGGTTGTTTTTTGTTTGTGTGTTTTTTGGATAATAAGGTAACAAAAACATGTCAGAATACTGCATTTCTTTATTTTTTCGAATAGGCTGAAAAGCTAAAATATAAGAAGATGAACAGTGGAATATCTTTCTGTATTACTTATCCCCATCTTTTCAGTTCCCAGAAAACCACTGATATTAATTTCTTATATCTCCTTCCAGGGTTTCTTTTCTTTTCTTTTTTCCTTTCTTCTTCTTCTTCTTCTTCTTCTTCTTTTTTTTTTTTTTTTTTTTTTTGGTTGTTGTTGTTATTGAGACAGGGTCTTGCTCTATCGCCCCGGCTGGAGTGCAGTGGCATGATCACAGTTCATTGCTGCCTTGACCTCCTTGGCCCAAGCAATCCTCCCAGTTCTGCATCCCAAGTGGCTGGGACCACAGTCAGGTGCCGCTATACCTTGCTAATTTTTTCTGTCTTTTTTTTTTTTTTTTTTTGTAGAGATGGGGTCTCACTGTGTTGCGTAGGCTGGACTCGAACTCCTAGGCTCAAGTGATCCTTCTGCCTTGGCCTCCCAAAGTGTTGGGATTAAAGTTGTGAGCCACCATGCCTGGCCCAGAGTTTCTTTTTTATGTATATAAGCAAATATGAAAATAGAATCTAATTTTGCCCCCTTTGGGTAGCATATTAATTATCTAGTATATTGTATTTTTTGAAGATTCTGAATCTTCAGATTCATCAGAATCTTCAAGAATATGTATTTCCTTTTTATTCCTTTATGTCAGATTTTTTTAAAATTAAATAATATGGTTCCAGTTATAGTCCTCTATTAACCCCCTCCGGAATCCAGTTATCCTCTCTCCCTCTCCATAGGTAAACCACTTCCAGAAATTCATTATTTATCATTCCCAGCATATTTGTGTGTTTACTGCATATTTATGAATTCATAAACAATTTGTACTATATTTTTGTAGGCCTTAGAACCTTATATAAACAATATCATACCATGACACCTGTCTGTAACTTTTTCACTCAACATTATGTTTTTGAAAAGTAACTATGTTGATAGAAATAGCTTCAGTACATTGTTTTTAATTGTTACATAATGTTCCATTGTTTGAATAGACCACAATTTGTAAACCAGGCATGGTGGTGCATTTCTGTAATCCTAGCTACTTGGGAGGCTGAGGCGGGAGGATGGCTTGAGGCCAGGAGTTCGAGGCTGGAGTGTGCTGTAGTTGTGCCTGTGAATAGCCACTGCACTCCAGCCTGAGACCTTGCCATATATATATATATATATACACATATATATATATATATATGTATATATATATATGTGTATATATGTGTGTGTGTATATATATGTTTATATGTATATATAAAACACAATGTATTCCTGCTTCCATTTTTTTCTGTAATAAACAATGGGATGATGTAGTATGTCAAAATTGAACCCATTCTTTCAAATGCAAATAAGCATATCTTTACCCTTTGAGACCTGTGGTGCAAGGAAGAGCCTGAGGGTTGGGCACGTTGCTCTCTTTTATGCCTCACACTTACTGGGTGTCCTTGAGTAGGTGGATGGATGGAGGGATGGATAGATTGATGAATGCTTGAATCTCTTAAGAGAGTTGCCAAACCTCATAGTTCCATCTGTAAAAATCTCCTTGCCTGTGGAGGAGACCAATATATAACTCTTAGTCTCCTTTTCCTTCTAGATGTTGAAATGCTTCAGGCCAGTACATCTAACCCAATCCCTGGAGATGGTTTCTCTCGGGCCACTAAGGACTCTATGATCCGCAAGTTTTTAGAAGGTAAGTCATAGCCATGAGCAGGGAAGCCAAAAGAGCAAAAGAGAAACAAATGCAAGACATTGTCTGGTTCTCTATGAGGGTTGCTCCCCTCAAGGAATGGGCTGCTGCATACATGGCATGTGATGTGAATAAAGGCACTCTGCCTCCCCCGACCCCTCTACCCTGAGCTCCCCCGTCAGCCCTTTAGAGGTGGGCCAGGAGTTCCAACCAGTGGAGCCACTTGTTTGGGTAAACAAGTTGCCTCTAGTTTTTTTTAAATGCATCTGTTGTTTTTATTTGGCCAAAATTTATTGAGTACTTACTATGTGCAAATCACTGTTCTGGATGTTGGGGCTGGAGATACAAAGGAAAATAAGATATGATCAATGCCCTCAGGAGACTTTACTTGCTGGTGAAGGAGGCAAATATAAACAAAGATACTAAGTTGAGGCTGTGTTGTATAGTGGTTAGGAAGATTAACTCTGATCTATTCTCAATTTTCCCATCCAGTTAGCTGGAAAACCTTAGGCAAGTTATTCAAGTCCTCTGGGACTCAGTTTCCTCCGTTGTAAAATGAGATAAATGTTGTGATAATTAAATGAGTTATTATGCATTAGGTCTCAGAGCACCACCATGCACATAACAAGCAGTTAATGAAGATTTATTATTGTTGTTATTATTACTGAAGGTTTCAAAGGTGGAGGATGTTAAATTGCGTGGGTAATTCTTTAACCCTGTCCAATCATTTGCAATGTATGGTGGGGTCTGTTGATCAAGTAGATATAGAAAGCAGAGTGCTAAGAGGATGGGACTCAGAAGGGGACAAAAGTCATTTTCACAGTGAAGAGGAAGGAAAAAACTCTAAAGCAGTGGTAGACAAACCACAGCCTGGCCATCTGCCTGTCTTATAAATAAAGTTTTATTGGAACACAACAGGACCGTTTATTTAGTATTATATATGGCTGCTTTCATGTCACAAGAGCAGTTGAGTACCTGCAACAGACTTTATGGCCTGCAAAACTTGAAATATTTACTATTTGGATCTTTAAAAAAATGTGTGCTGACCCCAACTCTAGAATGAAAAGTTTCCCTGAGAGGGGAGTCTTGGGCAGTCTGTTTCAAGCCCTAGATAAGAAGTACCACTTTTATTGGACAGTTGGCAGTGAACGCCCCACCTTTCTTAACTAGGGCTTTGACAGTTAGTCCCATCTAGGACTTTCCCTAGTTCTAATGGGATGAATAACTGAATCCCAGCAGTAAAACAGAGATGATAAAGCCTTGTGCTCATGTCCTTTCACTGCATCGCTGGGTGTCAATGGAGGTGACATGAGTGTTTTCTCAGTTGCTTTGTGTGGTGTTCTGAGCAGACGATACAGGAAGTGATATTGGGGAAAGTCCTTTGCCAGGGGGCAGCACTGAGGAAACAAAGTAAGGTCCCTCACTCTGCTTTATGACTGATGATCACCCAGTTTGTTTGGCCACTGCTTTCAGTCACCTTTCTCTGCGTTTCTAGGCAACAGCATGGGAATGACCAATCTGGAGAGAGATCAGTGCCATCTTGGTCAGGAAGAAGATGTTTATCACACGGTGGATGACGATGAGGCCTTTTCTGTGGACCTGGCCAGCAGGCCCCCTGTCCCAGTGCCCAGACCAGAGACCACTGCTCCTGGTGCTCACCAGCTGCCTGACAACGAACCATACATTTTTAAAGGCAAGTATGGCAGGGAATGATGTCCAACTGGGTCTTTGGAGCTTCTCAACAGGGATTTCCTGGATGACCTGGCTTTTTGAACCATTGCTCAGAGACTATCCCCTTCTAAATGGTCTTCAACCAGCCCTACGAGACAGGGTCATATCTTGGGACAGATTCTGGAGCTAGAATAGGAGTAATGACCAGAGTCAGTGCTGGCCTTCCTGGAAGTATTTACGCACAGTTGCAAAGGCAGGTAAACAAGACCCCTGATATATTTTTATCTCCTGAAACCCTTCTTGATATTATTATGAAATTTGAATTGCTAACATTTATTGAAATCTATCAAGAATGCTCTATCTGGAACACGCCATTTAATCTTTACAATAACCTATTAGGTAAGGACCATTATTATCTCATTTTACAGATGAGGAAATAGAGGTTTTACAGAGGTCATTCAACCATTGCATAGCAAAGCCAAAATCAGGGAGTCTGATTTCACAGCCCTGGCTTTTAGCCATTATGCTAGGCTGTCCATCTACCCATGTTATTAAAAATTAAGGTTTTGACTTCTTAATCATCCCTGGGACATTAGTTAGATACTGATAGCATTGTTAGTTTCACTATTTTTTCGACTCGATTGCAATAATATGGTTACAAGTACTATAAGAGTATTAGAAATAGGAGGAGGGGTGGCTCATACCTGTAATCCCAGTACTTTGGGAGGCTGAGGCAGGCAGATTGCTTGATCCCAGGAGTTTGAGACTGGCCTGAGCAGCATGGCAAAACTCCGTCTCTACAAAAAATACAAAAAATTATCCAGGTGTGATGGCCCGCACTGAGTCCCAGCTACTCAGGAGGCTGAGGTGGAAGGATTGCTTGAGCCTGGGAGGTGTAGGTTACAGTGAGCCGAGATTGAGCCACTGCATTCCAGCTTGGGCGACAGAGCAAGACTCTGTCTGAAAAAAGAATAAATAAGAATTGCCAGATCTGTGCTCTGGAACTATATTCTATTTTTCAATGGTATCATCATGTTGTTGGAGGTGTGGCAAAAGGGAATTATAAATTGGGGAAGGTAGCATTCACCCAGAGCCCTAGGTAGTTGGGTTGGGGTTACCAGATAAAATGCAGGATGCCCAGTTGACTTTGAATTTCAAATAAATGGCAAATGAGTTTTTAGTGTATGTCCCAAATAGTACACACATTTTTGTTTTGTGAAATCCAGCAACCCTGAACTGGGTAGGAATACAGTTGTGAGATATTATGTACTGCCAGGTGCTGTCAGTGCTTGTGGCCTGCAGTCTCCTTGGGTATTATCTCCTTGGCATGAGCAGCAGACACTGTTGTTTTCTTGCCCATGTCCCTCTAGCCCTTTGCATTTCTGTGCTCATTGGCTGGACCCTACCTGTCAGCATCTGTGTCTTGCAGCCTGAGGGCTTCCTCTGGCACCTGGCACCTTCTCTGCCCTCTTATAGGACAGGTTGAAAGCACTGGGGAATTAACACACGGAGTTGCTGCCCTCAACCAGTGCCTGACAGGAGGTATGGATGAGTGCCCCAGCTTACTTGCATCCTCCGGTGGGAGAATTCTTAGTTGCGCATTCTACATTGTGTTCTAGTCATTCCTAGGTTGCCCGCAGTGTAACTTGCTTGATAGCCCACCATTCATTGCACCATCCGCTTCCCCGTCTCACCTCCATCACCTCTCAAATAGACAACTTGCACTTGAATCCTTGTCTCGGGTTCTGCTTCTGAGGGAACTCAATCTAAGAAGCATGCAAATATATGCTGGTAATTCCTAAATAGCAGAGGGAGTAGGGAACCGTACTGATGGCATGGCTCATTGTAGGGAGGTGTTTGGACAGGGGCACAGGTGATTCCTCAAGAGCCCTGATGGACTTGCTAGGAAACTGTGGAGAAGCGAAGGAAAGGAGAGAGGCAGGAGATGACAAAAGGGGCAATGGCTTGGATGCCAGAACACCTGGGTTCATCTCTCAGCTCTTGCATTTTCCAGCTGTTCAGCATAGGATATTGGGTAAGTCATTTCACCTTTCTTTTTTTTTTTTTTGAGACAGGGTCTTGCTGTGTTGCCCAGGCTGGTCTTGAACTCCTGTGCTCAAGCAATCCTCCTGCCTCGGCCTCCCAAAATGCTGGGATTATGGGCATGAGCCACCATGTCTGGACCATTTCACCCTTTTTAGCTTTAGTTTCCTCATCTATAAAATGGATATTGTAATAATACACGTATAGATTAATACATGTCCTAATAATACATACTAATACTCTGCCATAGCCTTATTGCGAAGGTCAGATGAAATAATACAGAAGGAAGTACTTTACAAACTGTAAGGCATTGTAGAGCCATCCCTTGGGTTAACTAGCATGCCAAGGTATTGCTGACTATTGGCAACAGTCTCAAAGTTTAGATATGAATAATTATAATAAAAGCTAACACTGAGTGTTTACATGGGCCACACACTGTTCTAAGCACTTTCCATGTATTAACTCATTTAATCTTCATCACAACCAGTGAAAGAACTATTATCATCCTCATTCTACAGATAAGAAATAGGGACAGGAAGAGGTCAAGCCACTTGTCCAAGATCATATGGTTCACAAGCCACAGAGCTAGTATTTGGACTCAGAGAGCCTCTTTCAGAGCCCAGGGAGCCATAATCACCATGTCATCTTACCACTAAGTGAGATTTTGTCATGTCCCAGTTTTCTCTCCTAACCTTCATGAATCTGTCCCTCGTAAGTGACTTCACCTTAATCTCTTTGGAGCTGTGCACACATTTTGCTGTTCTACTGCTTAGAGTTCTGTCTTATGGCACTAGCTGGCATTTTAAGTGGTACTTCCTTTTATTCTCTAATTTTAAGGCTCACATTTTCCATGGCTAGCTTCAGGTTCTCAGGGGTCCAGGCACATGTCCTTTCCCATTACCGTTTTCTTCAATGAGCTTGTAAATGCTGATCATGTCCTCTGGCTAGCTTTGGTTTTCTAGTTTGAGATTGTGTCTGTTTAGTCTGCCATTACTTGACAATTCCTAGTCCTTCTCATTAATTGCCTCTTTCTACAATTTTGATTTACAGAACCACATACGGTGGTCCTAGGTATGGATTCATTATTATTATTATTTTGTACTGGATTTTGATACTTTTTCAGTAATCAGAATATTCTTTATCTCATAGTTTTTGCAGAAAAAAGTCAAGAGCGGCCTGGGAATTTCTACGTTTCCTCAGAGAGCATCAGGAAAGGTAAGCCATGTGTTATATGAACTGAACTTTTGTGTGGTTGAAGTGTTCATAGGTCAGTGATTTCCAAGTGTAACAATAGCTCCTTGACATTGAAAAATAGAGGGATCTAGGCCAGGCATCATGGCTCACGCCTGTAGTCCCAGCACTTTGGGAGGCTAAGGGGGGTGAATCACTCGAGGCCAGGAGTTTGAGACCAACCTGGGCAACATAGTGAGACCCTGTCTCTAAAATTAAATAAATTAATTAATTAGATAAAAATTAAATAAATTATTTAATTAATTAGAGAGATCCAAGGATACTTTAGTGTGGCACTGTCTGAGAGTCTTGTACTGATGGTAAAGGGGGAGGGAAAGAGATCAGGGTCCCCTACAATGCTGTGCAAATTGGTCGTACAAAGGACCTTAATTAGTGGAAAGTGTCCATAAAGCACATAAAAGTACAATCTAAAAATGGAGGTTGATGCCAACAGGATGAAAGTAGGTGGCCCAGCACTCAGTCTTTACCTAATGATAACAGCCTTTCTGGGCTATTTACTTACCTTATCTATACTAGCTAAACTATACTTTGATTCAACTTTTATTTAAAAGGTATTTTGCTTGCCATTGGGGAACAACTTGGAAGTCTTATTTTTCTAAACAGTTTTAAAGGAAGTTTGAGGAGCTAAGTGCTCTTTTCTCTTGATTAATTTCCTTGTGCTAAACAGAAACACTCAGTATTATCCCATTGAGGATTCTTTTGAAAAGTAGCCATGACACCATCTAAGCATTTGAAGGCATCCCCCAAAGGGCTCTGGTAGTAGGAAACTGGAACTGGTTGGCTTGTGCATTTTGTTTTTTCCTCCACTGTGTCTCCCAATACCATTAAAGAGAGCCTTGACAAGGGCAGACCTGGGAGAAGGATGTGTGGGTGTGTGCGGACAGATAAGTGAATGGTTGGGCAGAATGATAGATAAACGTCTCTGAGGCTTTTTCAGTACTCACCGGTGCAGCCATTTCTCTTTTTTCTTCATGTTATGTCCCTGAGTCACAATGCCCAAATGGAGTCCTGCTGGAGAAATTTAGATCCAAATAGCCTTGTATGAATTGAGTGAAACGTCAAGTTGCCTCAGTGGCCCCATGGTCGCTGCGAGTAGCTCATTCCCCACAGAACTGAAGTCACAGCCTGTAGAGAGATGAGGGTTGGCTTCATATTTCTCCAGAAGCTCCAAAGCAGAGAACTGTGAATTTGTAATGTAGAAGAGAGGTTGGCACAGGAACAACCCAAGGGTAGCCAGCTGGAAGCCAGCACCTACTTTATACCTGATGCTGTTGGGCCTGTGTCAGGATTCCACTGATGTTCCAGTCTCCTGGGGCATTTCATGCCCATGGGTCCACAATCACTGTGCCTCATGCTGCTTAGAGACAGTGAGGGATGAGAGTGGGGCTAAGAGAAGCATCCTGGCTAAACTCTTCCAGTGTATTCTCTTCTGGGTATGGATTTAAGTCTAAAGCAGTGGTTCTCAATTGGAAGTGATTTTGTACCCCCTCCCTAAAGAACATTTGGCAATATAAGGGAATTTTGGTTGTCACAACTCAAGAAGGGGGTGCTGCTAGCATTTAATGGGTAGAAGCCAGGGATGCTGCTGAACATCCTACAATACACAGGACACACCCACACAGTAAGGAATTACCTGGCCCAAAATGTCAATAGTGCCAAGGTTGAGAAATACTTGTCTAAAGGCGTCTCAATAATTAAGGCTTGGCTGCTTCTTCAAGAAAACACCAAATGGTGGATGATGCTGATGCAGTGGGAGGGCCTGGGGGTCCTGGAATGGCAGGCTGCGATGGCCTCCCTGGAGGCTTTGGCAGTGACATCAGGCCAAGGTTGTGGCTGTGGCTGGGGCCAAGGCTCTGGAGCTCATAGAGGTAAGTCTGAGAACAAGGAGTCGACGCCTATCACTAAGTTAAACCATCTGGCCAAAGATGTGAAGATCAAGTCCTGGGAGAGCTGTCTTCTCTCTGCCCATCAAGGTGTCTGAGATCATTGACCTTTTCCTGGAGTCGTCTCTCAAGAATGGGGTTCTGAAGATTATGCTGGCACAGAAGTTGACCCATGCTGGCCATTTCACCAGGTTCAAGGTGTTT
Source organism: Homo sapiens (assembly GCF_000001405.40). NCBI lineage: Eukaryota > Metazoa > Chordata > Mammalia > Primates > Hominidae > Homo > Homo sapiens. The sequence goes on along the minus strand of NC_000010.11, from coordinate 96,621,348 downwards.
GTTGCCTTTGAGGACTACAATGGCCATGTTGTCTGGGTATTAAGCACTCCAAGGGGGTAGCCACTACCATCCAACGGGCCATCATCCCAGCCAAGCTCTCCATTGGACCCGCACAGAGAGGCTACAGGGGGAACAAGATCAGCAAGCCCCACACCAGCCTTTGCAACGTGACAGGCCACTGGCTCTGTGCTGGTGTGTGTGCCTCATCCCTGCCCCCAGGGGCACTAAGCATCATCTTGGCCTCTGTGCCCAAGAAGCTGCTGCTGATGGCTGCTACGCCTTGGCCAGGGACCGCACTGCCACCCTGGGCCACCTTTGATGCCATCTCTAAGACTGCTAGCAACTGGATCCCTGACCTCTGGAAAGAGACTGTATTCACCAAGTTTCCCTACCAGGAATTCACTGACCATCTCTCAAGACCCACACCAGAGTCTCTAAGCAGAAGACGCAGGTTCCAGCTGTGGCTACAACGTACGGTTTTCTTACCAGAAAAATGAAATGAATGAAGCCTGTTAAAAATAATAATAATAGTTAAGACTTGGGAGAGTCAGCAGATTTCACGCCTCCCTTAAATGTTGCAGCCTTGTCTACTTCAGTGTGATAGGCCTTGGAATTATTAGCTGCATTCTTCTCCCCTGATTTTATGTTGTATCTCCCCCTTCTTGGCCACATGTAATTGTTCTTTTGAGAAGAGTCCTCTTGAGCCTGTGACCAGCCTCATTAACCGTACACTTCTGGTGAGTGGTCCCCAGTGGGGGAGCTGTCAAGCTGAGTTTTGCCATCCTTTCCAGGGCCGCCCGTCAGACCATGGAGGGACAGGCCCCAGTCGAGTATATATGACCCTTTTGCGGGAATGAAAACGCCAGGCCAGCGGCAGCTTATCACCCTCCAGGAGCAGGTGAAGCTGGGCATTGTCAACGTGGATGAGGCTGTGCTCCACTTCAAAGAGTGGCAGCTCAACCAGAAGAAACGATCGGAGTCCTTTCGTTTCCAGCAGGTAACTAGCTTCGTATGGAATTTGTTTCATGTCTATTTCCCCACTTGACAGTAGAGGAGGGCTGGGCCATGGCTGTCTTGTGTATTGCTGTACCTGGACACCTGTGGCTGTGCCTGCGAATGTTTGAGTTTCATTGTGAACCAGTGAGTGTGTATGAGTGTCACCTCGGTCTGTAACCACATGGCTCCCTGGCTGAGAGCTGGGTAGCTTTTCCAGGTACCATGAGGCTTGAGATCAGGAACAAAGACTCAACTACAAACACTAACTCTGCTGCTGTGTCTCTCTGCATTTGGCTCCCTGCTTCTGCTTTCCAGCTTTTTTCTTTTCAGAGTCTCTCTCTCTCTATTCCTACTGCCAAATACCCTCATAACTATCACACTTTATGACTCAAAGAGAACTTGGAAAACTCCCAAGAAATATGATTAAATGAACAAAACAAGTTGCAGATACAAAACCACCCAAATTAAAACAACTCAGACACGTCCACACACAAACTCTGTATTTCTATGGACATGTATATAAATGCAAGGACAAAGATCTGGAAACGGCCACTTCGGGCCCATTCCAGGGGCCACCTCTCAGGAGAAGACTGGGATTGGAGGACTGGGGTGTCAGAGGAGACTCTTGCTCTACCTGTATAGTTTGAAGCTTTTATGAGAATATATAACTCCATACCTGTATCATAAGTGTACATGATGTATAATTAAAAACAAAAAAAGAACTCAAACTTAACCTTAGGAAGCTCATTCTTAGTCCACCAATGCCTTTGTATTAAAAAGGAGGAAATGGGGCTCAGGAGGTTAAGGGACACGTCCAAGGCATCTTTCCTAGTGAGGGGCCGAGTCAGGACTGGAACTATTGCTTTCTCTCTCCACCTCCCCAGGCTGCTTCCTTCAAAGTACTAGCCAGGCCCGACCCTGCTTACCCTCAGAGATCAGATGGGATTGGGCGCGTTCAGGGTGTTATGGCTATAGACCCTGGTGGTGTGTATTCTAATCTCTGTTCTTACGCTATCTGACATACCAGCTGTCAAGGCGGGGAGTAAGCAGCACCCGTCCAGGGCTGAGATAGGAGCCTGTCTTCTGGGACAGGATTAGTGGTGAAGAGTGGGGAAGCATGTCATCAGGCCGCATTTGCTGACCTCCGACAGTGCTATGTTAGGCATTGTGCTCAGCGTTAAATAGACCTGATCTCTTTCACTCCTCATACACGCATATGAAATAAGTATTACTCCTCCTGTTCTACAGAAAACTGAGGCTCAGAGAGGCGAAGAGGCAGTCAAGGTTCAAACCTCCCCTTTCTCACCCCAGAGCCTGTGCTCCCTTCACTATGCCTTCTGCCTTTTTAGTGCTCCTTAAGACAGGGGCACCTGCTCTGCCAGCTGCCTCCCTCCCTTTTGGGGCCTGAAGGGTGGGAGGGCACTCTGGAGAGCTGAATGCAGGAATCACGGGTGCTTTTCACTCAGGAGCCCCTGGGAGGCTGCAGTCCTGCTGAGAAAAGGCTGGCCCTGGCTAAACAATGTTTTTTTGCTCCTTGCCAAGTTGTGCAACCACGTGGCACAGTAGTTAAGAACAGCCAGGGCTCTAGAGCTGGCAGCCTGAATTTACATCTTTATTCTGCTATTTGATGACCTTGACCTTGCTGTGCCTCATATGAAAGGGGAGGACTAGGTGATATAAGCTACTGTAAGCAGCATAACTGGTACGTAGTAAATACATAATAAATGTTAGCTCTCTTTCTTTTTTTCTTTTTTTTTTTTTTTACATTTTCTTGTAGTGTAAGGTAATTGCTAATATGAGGTATAATCTGTAAGCAATTAATACAAATATAAATAGGTATAAGCCACCACTAACTCAGTCTGCTGGAAAGCTTCTCAGCTAAAGTAGTTTGAGGATAAGGTTAAGGGAAATGAGAAGGGGTGGACAGGGCAGGTTTCCAGTGGGAACATAATTTACGTGTCTTATCATTACCATCATCCTGTATGTACCAGTCCATTGTTGCAGAAAGGTAAATCCTTTCCAAGTATGGTTTTTTTGTTATCGTTGTTGTTGTTATACTTTAAGTTCTAGGGTACATGTGCACAACGTGCAGGTTTTTTACATAGGTATACATGTGCCATGTCTTTCTGTGTTTCTATCCAAGAGACCTCTTCCCTTCCCATGAGCTGGTCCAGAACTCTTGGGCATAGCAGACGACGGGTTTATATTTAATACGGCAGAATCCCAGCTCATGGGGGCTCACATTGTTTGGTTCCCTGAGAGCCTCTAGCCACTTCCTGAGCATCTCCCCTTCAGGGGCTGGTGGTGTGGAGACATTCCTGGGTGGAGGCCTCATCTTCCTTTTCCTCTGCCTCTCTGTCCACTCCTCTGTCTCCTTCACGTCACCCTCTCACAATGGACATTGAAGCTTTCCTTCAGCTCCTTCTCTGTGCAGTCTGTGTCTCCAGTTCCATGTTTCCAGCCCCAGTTGGCTTTGTCCCCCTGAGTGCCCCAGGCTCACAGCATGTCTAACAACAAACCATCCCTCAAGGCCGCTTTCCTTTCCCAACAGCCTCTCTGTGCTCATCACAGAGGAGAGGGAGATCAGACCTCAGAGTCTCTTTGGCCTTCTCCCGTGCTTCCGCTCACCCAGTCAGCGGTGTGTCCTGCTTGGTCCTGCTCTGCGGCATTTGTCCTCTTGCATCTGCTCCTGTCTCTCCATTCCCCCAGCCACATCCCCATGTCAGCTTCTGTTGCCTGCATCTGGCATACTCCATAGTCTCCAGGAAGGTCTGCTGGCCTCTGTTCCTTCTTCTCTAGTTCACTAGAACCTTAAATCCATGACAAGCTCACAGTGTTCAGTGTTTCCCTGCTGTCTCCTGGACACAGGTGAGTCTCTTCAGCCTGCAGCTGCAGACCAACCCCCCTTTCCAGTTTGGCCTCCTGTGACTCCCCAACATGAACCTTCTGCTCCAGCCAGATTGTCTGGACATTTTCCCTAGAATGCTCAGGCACTTAACTTCGGCGTTATTGTTAATTGACTAAAATAGCAACAATCTTGACCCTTACATGTCTATTCAACATTTATTGAATGACTACAATGGGCCAGATGGCAGGATTATGGAAAGGTACACGACGTGGTCTCTTGACCTTGAAGAGCTCACAGTATCTCAAAGAGGCAAGGCACAAGAGTGTGCACACATGATGGAGCAGCATAGCCCAAGTGCTGGATGGTTGGCATATCTGGGGAGGCTTCAGGGAGAAAGTGGGCCTTGATCCAGACTCATGGAGAAGAACCAACATCCATGAAGGTCAGGGGAGTGATGTGAGAACACAGTCTCAGAGACAGGAATACCTGTGGAGTATTTGTGAGCTGGGCTAAGAGGCATACATGAGAGGGGTCATATAGAACAGAGCTGAGAACCAGAGGGGAGGAAAGACACTTTCTTGTGGAAGAGATGTCTTCTCTTCAGGCACAGATTCTGTGAGTATTTGGATTTCTCTGGGGGCTGACTGTGAATGCGCTGAGCCTCATTTGCATGTTGTAAATGTGACTGCAATGTGATATACCCTGCAAACAGCATACAATCTGAAAGAAACTCTCATGTCCAGAGGGTATCATCCTGTTGTACACTTAAAAAATAAACCAAATTTTTTTCCAGGAAAATCTTAAACGGCTAAGAGACAGCATCACCCGAAGACAGAGAGAGAAGCAAAAATCAGGAAAGCAGACAGGTATGTGGCTTCCTAGGGTGCTGCATTGTGTGGGACATTGCTGTCATCTGTTGTCCTTGACTCTCCTTTTGGCTGTGGCCTGAGTGGGCAGACCACTTGCCCAGCACTCGTCATACTGTTTACAGATCTGGGTCCCCCACTAGACTGTAAAGGCCTTTTGGACAATGGTTATATCTTATTTATTCTGTAAACAATCTGGTACCTGGTACATAAGACATGCCCGGAAGTGAATAAGTGGATTCAACTCTGCATGCTTCCACCTTTTCACTCAAATAGGATGGTGATACTTCCTCTGCAGACATCTGACTCTCCCCTTGGCAATTAGGAGGACTTATGTTTTTTAAGCAGAGAAAGGAGAAAATCCCATTTACCCAGTGTCTATTTCTGATTCTGGTGAGCAATGGCGTCATCTGCATCCACACCATACAGTGCTTCAGAAGCCCATGCCCCAGGTGTAGCAGGGCTTCCATGGTGCAATAGCAGGGCCACAAATTCCAGTGGTGCACACTATGGACTGGGCCCCCGCTCCCCTTAAGCCTACCCCTGTGCCAGCCATGTGGCATCACCACCCTTGAGCAAGAAGTTGGCGTTTACCCACAATGCATCTTCCCACAGAGAGCCTCTGGCATAGTGGGCCTCTGTGATTAACCGAGGCCAGCCTTATAGCAAGAGGAGCATGCAGGAGAAGGCTTTCAGAGGCACTCAGATCTTGAATGGAGCCCTATTACATGAAGAACCAAGTTAAAATCTAGCCCTGTTTGTGCACAGCTTCCACGGTCTCTCTCCAGCTGCCATCAGCTGCCTGACTTCCCATGAACCTAGTTGGGCTGGTAACACCCTGGTGTCCAAATGGGACATTCTCTCCTGCCGTGGACCCCTTGCTCATGCCATGCCTCTTCTTTCTCACCTGTATGAAAACTACTGGGCTGCAAGACCCAGCCCTGGCAGCCCCTTCTCAGTAACACCTTCCTGGACCACTCTAGGCCATGGTATTCCTTCCTCATTCAAGTATATGTGGGACCTCCCACCCCTTCCATTCATCTGGCACTTCTCTTTTTCTGTCTCTGGTTGCTATCACCTCATTCCTTCATCCAAGCCATCAGCAGTCCACAGATGTTCTGCCTCCAAAGCGTATCCTAAATCTGGTCATTTCTAACCATCTCCTATGGCACTGCTGCAGCCAAGCCACATCATCTCTTGCCTAGACTAAGGGAGTAGTCACTCAGTCATCTCCCCATGTTCACTCTTGCCCCTCTATAGTTAACCCATTGTAGCCAATGATGTTTAAAAAATTTAAAAGTCAGATAATGCCACGCCCTTGATCAAAGCCTTCCAGGGGCTCCTGTCCCACTCAGGGTAAAATCACACATTCCTGCTCACAGCCTACAAGGCCCTTTGTGATCTGACCCCTGAGCTCATCCTCCATTCTCCCCCAAACCCTGTGCTGCAGTCCCTGGACTCCTATTTATTGCTCTAACAAGCCAAGAGCATTTCTCCCTCAGGGCCTGTGCACTTGCCATTCCCCTGCCTTTCCCCACATCTTCACCTTCAGGCCCTTTTCATCCTTCAGAGTTCAGTGTAGCATCTCCTCATCAGAGGCCTTCTCTGCCATTCTCTCCAGAGTAGCCCTCCACGACTCACTTTCTGTTCCCTGGCATCCTCTCTTTTTACATATCACAGACTGGAATCATCTTTGGTTTCTGTTCTCAAGGTTATGGTCCAACACCCCATCTCCCTTCCACTAGAAGCTCCACATGGGCAAAAACTTGTCTGCTGTGTGCTCCGTGGAGTCCCCAGTGTGCAGAACAGTACAGTGATGGAGTTCTAGAAGGCTTTGTTGGAATGGTCAGTTTCAGGAAACTATTTGGTGACACCACTCATTCATTCCACACTTAACAAGCACCAGGCACCCTGCCAAATACAGAGACCTATGAGACACTAGCTTCACCATCTGGTAGCTAATGAGTCAGTTATCTTTGTATTCACACAGGTCTGGCTTTCCCTACTAGGGTCTGTTCCACCATGCCTAACACAGTGTTTTGAAGATAGTACTAACCTAGTGAATGTTAATGATTTTGGGAGAAGAGGGGTTAAGAGGTTTTAACCATCGCAGAAGGTCAGAGAGGTCATCCTATGTCTTCTGCTTGGGTGTCTGGATTTTAAATTTATGCTGCCGGTGGCTGAGTTCACACTTGTCTGTCCTCCTGGTTGAGAGGAAGAGAAAGGAGAGAAGGCAGAAAAGCTGTTTCGAGATCTGCACAGTCATCCTAGGGTCAGATAATAGGGGTCTCAGTGATAAAAGAGATGAGATGCTTTTTAAAACTAGAGTCCATGCGCCCAAAGATAGAAGCCTTGATGGAATGAGACATTTCAGGTTTTTAAATACAGACAGCATCAAGAAACCTGTGATTTGGCGTTGCACCCAGTGTTTGAAGGCCCAGGAGTCCTAGTGTTGGAGTCACATGTGCTCAGCCGTCTGGGCTCAAGACCTGAGCCTTCTGGGTCTCATCACATCCTGACCACTCATCTGGGCTCCCCACCTGGTGCCACTGGAGATACTGAAGCAGGACAGACGCACATGCAGAGGAGTAGAGGGGTACAGGGATGGACTCTGGGGCCAGCGAGGTTGGGGTCAAATTCCTGCTCACTGCTCACCCCTCACTAGCTGGGAGCTGTGGGCGAGATATGTCACCTCCCTGAGCCTCAGTCCTGCTTTGCAAAATGGTAAAAGTGAAAGTGCCCACCCCATTAGGGAGCATTGAATGAGTTGGGGTATAACCAGTGCTTAGCACAGTGCCTGGCACCTGGGAGTATTCCTAAAAGTGTCCACACCCATGATTACACAGAGGCCCACACACCAGCTGAGGTCCTCTCAGGCAGGGCCATCCAGAATGAATCACAAGTTCTGAAACATTATGCAAGGTTCACCCAAGGCTGTTCAGGCTCTGAACAAGTGATTTATACCCACCAGTAGCGACAGTCTAAATTAGAATGGTCAGTGTCTACATTTTTCCAAAAGAGCATGGCTTAGTTTGCCCATCTCCAGCCCCCATCCCCGACTCTCCAAGAAGCAGACCCTCTGACAAGGATATTTTCGGGAGAGGGGTGTTAAGTATTTGTACTTCTTATATCAGGGGCTTTAATCAATGTCATAACTATTGAGAGATTAAACTGTATATAATTTGATACAAAACAAGAATGACCGGGGACGGCAAGCAATCTATATGGGAGAACGTTCTGCCTGACAGCCCCAAGGGCCTCCTTGTTTGTGGTACTTATTGTAATAAAATATGCCTAACATAAAATTTACCATTTGAACCATTTTTAAGTGCATAATTCAGGCTGGGTGCAGTGGCTCACACCTGTAATCCCGGCACTTTGGGAGGCTGAAGTGGGAGGATCACTTGAGGCCAGGAGTTCGAGAGCAGCCTGGCCAACATGGCAAAACCTTGTCTCTACCAAAAATACAAAAATTAGCTGGGTGTGGTGGCATGCGCCTCTAGTCCCAGCTACTCAGGAGGCTGAGGCAGGAGAATCGCTTGAACCTGGGAGGCGGAGGCTGCAGTGAGCCAAGATCGCACCACTGCACTCCAGCGTGGGCGACAGTGCGAGACTCTGTCTCAAAAAAAAAAAAAAAAAAAAAAAAAAAAAAAAAATATATATATATATATATATATATATATATATACACACACACACAATTCAGTGGCATAAAGTACATTCACAGTGTTGTGCCAGCACTACCACTTGCATTTCTAGAACTTTTCTCCCCTGATAAGGATTTGAGAGCAAATAGCTGGTGTGGGAGGTGATCCCAGGGAAAGTGGTAGGGGATGGAGAAGTGAGACAGGGAGGAATCAGTGGAGAACACCCACCTAAGCAACGAGACAGCTGGGACATTTATACACCAGCCCCCATCAGCCTTTGATGGAGGCCTGCTTGGGGAGGGGCACTCATCATTCTGCTACGAGAAACAGCCTCAGGCAATTAGAAGTTGGACCCTGTACTGCATGCTGAGGTTGAAGGGCAGCATTTGCCAAAGAGAAGGCATCATTTATGGTTGAGTAAATATGACATATTATTGACACACGATAACATTATAGGAAAATTAGGGTTGATGAATAATGTTTGTGCTTAAAGGATCTTTTCTAAGAATGTAACCCATTCTAAACACAATGACTGACTATTCATTTGAGAACTTCGTTTGCCTTAGGGAAAAAATAGTAATCTTTAATTTGGGTTAGAATGCCAAAGAGAATTAAAAATTAAGACTGTTCTTAATAACTTGCCCATTTTTCTCCAACCCCAGGGGTTTGTTTGCTCTTACTGGGCTGGTACAGAGCGTTGATGGCGTAGGAAATTAGAGAAGGGCTGGTGAGAGCCATGGCCTCACAGAGAAGATAATCAATATTTGTGTTCTGGGTGTGTCCTGTGGAGCAGGACGTAGAGGAGCTAACCGGGTCCCAGGAAACTTGGGTTCTGATTCCTGCTTTGTCACTGAATCACTTTATGATCCAATTCCTTTAACCACTCTGTGCCTCAGTTTCCTCACTGGGGGCTATAACCTGACTTATCTACTTAATGGAGAAGTCATGAAGTTTAAAGGAGGTATAATAATGCATATAAATGCACTTTGGGAAAGCACTATGCAATATAATCATGATAACTATTCCTAGCATTGTACCTTTATTCAAAGAATATCAGGATTTTATAAACATTCGGACTGGTTCTACCTGATTTTTTGAACTTTTGACTCCCTATTTTTTCCTGTGTATTTTACTTTCCTTCTTTATAGAACTAGTTGAGGTTAAAAAATTGCCTCCTCGAAGTTAATTAAGCAGACCGGAATCTCCCTTTTAAAAAAGTGATTTTTGGCTGGGTGCAGTGGCTCACACCTAATCCCAGCACTTTGGGAGGCTGAGATGGGTGGATCATGAGGTCAAGAGATTGAGACCATCCTGGCCAACATGGTGAAACCCCGTCTCTACTAAAAATGCAAAAATGAGCTGGGCATGGTGGCGCGTGCCTGTAGTCCCAGCTACTCGGGAGGCTGAGGCAGGAGAATTGCTTGAACCCAGGAGGCAGAGGTTGAAGTGAGCCAAGATGGCGCCACTGCACTCCAGCCTGGCGACAGAGCGAGATTCCTTCTCAAACAAACAATGATTTTTAAAAATCTAAGTCAGAGCAGGAAGAAAAAAAAAAAGACTGACACTCGTTTGGTCTCTAAGATACTGTGGGGGCTACCCATATGAGAGTGAGTGCCCCTGGCTATTTTTGCCCAAGTAGCTCCAAGCTGGGGTAGGTGCTTCCATGGCATGGTTGTAGCCAAGAGAGCCCCAGCATGTGAAAAAGACCTGGATTACACAAAACCCTAGGAAGCTGGTTGGACACTTGGACCATACACTACACCTGGAGCCGGAGTCTCCAGATGAGGAAGGCTGGTGCCTGTGCAAGCCAACAATCCACTCTGATCATTCTCTGCGCAGAATGTTCTGGGGGACTTGGTGTGCCCTGTCCTCTCGCTGCTCCTTCATCCTGTTCCAGTTTATCCATTCACCCTGCCAGATTTCTGGCTTTGGTAGGTGGAGCCACCTCTGCCCCTGGACTCTCTGAACTTCCTGCCACGCCTGTCCCCTAGAAGGGTAGAGGTGGAGGAGGAAGTGGTACCAGAAGATAAAAGCACTCGTCCCCAAAGCTAACACCTCTTCTACCCAAGTTTGTATAGCCACCGCTGTATAAACCCTGCCCCTGGGCTTGAGAAGGTCCCAGGCAGCCGGGGGAGTCTTGAGGCAGGAGCACATCTTGCCTTCAGGAGGAAGTTGGTGCTGCTGCCCCCAGACTTTTTTTCTACTCATCAGAGTTACTGTTTTCTGCTCCTAGAACCCAGCATTGGAAATGTAGGGAGGAACAGAGACAACCTCTGGGTAGGGTTAAGCCAGTAAGGAGGTCAGGTCAGTGCTTTGCTCGACAAAGGCATCAGCTCTCTTTACCCCAGGGGCCTTGCAAGTCACAAAATCTTTCATAGGCCTGAAGGACCTCCTTTCATTAGCTTTCGGGGTCATTACTGTGTGTGTGGGCCACCCAGCCCACACCCACCCACCCACCATCCGTTCCTTGTGCAGAGAGCAAGAGGCTGTACAAGCAGTGGTTAAGAGCCTGGACTCCGGAGCCTGGGTTCAAATCCCAGCTCTGCCACTTACCAACTGTTCGACAGGACATGCTACATCACTTCTTTGTACCTTAGTTTCTGCTGGCATTGATGATAATAATATTTATTTCTTGGGTGTTGTGGGGGTTAAATGAATGAAAAATACCATAGCTCTCAGAACTCTGCTTGGTGCATAGGGCAGCCTGTTATTACAGTCAAGGATGGAGATACCCCTCCTCAGATAAGGGGAGTGATTCAGAGAGGAGAACTGTCTTGCTGGAGTTCCACAGATGCTAAGTGGCAGGGCTGAGAGCCCAAACCTTTCTCTTATGGTTTGTTCTTTCCACTCCCTGATGCAGAAGCGCTTCTCTGTCCCTTTCTCACATTATTCTATTCCTCTCTTCAGTCTCTCAGTGACAGCCACACAGGATTCAGTAGTTTCAGTGCTGAAGGGGAGGGGGCCACCAACCCAGGGCCCCTCCCTCTCCCATCGTCTTTTCCCTTCCCCTTCCCCTTCCCATGCAGGCTCCTGTGAGAGAGGCAGGTGGAGGGAAGCTGCTGAGCAGCTTGGCAGGTGACAGTCTGGTATCTTGACAGCTTATCCCTCTTTCCTCCAATTCCAGACTTGGAGATCACGGTCCCAATTCGGCACTCACAGCACCTGCCTGCAAAAGTGGAGTTTGGAGTCTATGAGAGTGGCCCCAGGAAAAGTGTCATTCCCCCTAGGACGGAGCTGAGACGAGGAGACTGGAAAACAGACAGCACCTCCAGCACAGCAAGTGAGCAGCTGGGGGTGCGGGGGTGGGGTCTTCTTGACTGGGCTCCAGCTGGCACCCTTGGACCTTAGGAAACATCCTCTTAAGAGCCCAGGAGATCTCCAGTGGGGCCTGGTTTGGGTTTGAGAGGTATAAAAGGTGGGGCCGAGTTACTGTTTGACTATGAGGTTTGCTTTGTATCCCATGAAACCTAGTTACGTGATAATTATTACTCTGGCCCTTTTCTAAATATCAAAACCTAATACTAATAGGTAACATTTATTGAGCATTTACTATATTCTAAGCCTCTTTATAGATTATCTAATTTAATTCTCACTGAAGCTCTATGGAATAGGGACTGTCATCTTTGTTTACTGAGGAGGAAGCAAGAGGCTTAGTGCTCTGGCCTAGGTTAAATAGCTAATGTGGAATAGCCGGAATTTGAACTCATTCTGGATACAGAGCCAAGGCTCTTAGCCACCATTCTTTGCTGCTTCCTCAACTATGATAAAGCAAAGGAAAGGGCACAGAGTCAGAAATATCAGAAAACAATGTACTCAAGTAAAATAAAAAGAAAGAAGAGAAAAAGAAAATAATGAACTCAAATTTGAACATTCCAACTTTACAGGCAGGTTGAGGATCTAATTAGGAAATGCCTTCCTTTTGGCTGGAAAGCTTCAATAGTCGTCTGATTGCACAGACAATACAGCCTGATGCATCAGGCAGGAGCCGAGGGCTTTGTTCCCGTATCCAGGGCAGTGTTAGCTGACTCCAGACACATTGGCTTCACAAGCCACATAGATTGAGTTTCTCTTCTTTCATACATTTCAGTGCTAATAAAACAGCTAGGAAAGCAATAAAAGAGCCAGAGAGCAGCTGAATTTCAGGACTCATATCTCCTTAAATGTCGGGCAGAGAACCCCATAACGCATGTTGGAGCAGGAAGGTTATCTAACTCTGGGGGTTCTTAATCTTTTCTGCATCACAAAGCCCCTTGAGAATCTGATACATACTTTGGCTGTGTCCCCCAGATACATGCACAGGTGTATGCATGTGTCTGTGGGCACACACACACAATTTTGCCCACCCATGGACTTAGGTCAAGAACCTCTGAGCTAGTTTTCCTTCATCCTTTATAGATGGGGTATTTGTGACCCGGAAAGAGAGAGAATTTTGCCCAAGGTTACATAGCCAGTGAATGGCAAAGGTGCGAGTAGATCCTAGCTCCTTTCTCTGCCCTCATTACCTGTCAAAACAGACCCACAGCCTATCACGTGACTGCCTGGGAAGTCTAGTCTGGACAGAGGAGAAAACTTCCTCTTACATAATGGGGGTGATCATTTGTATGCAAAGCCCACTGGGGGCAATTTGAGAATTCTGACAAGTTCAGGAATGGGAGAGATGTCCTCAGGGATCACAGGTGGCAGAAGGAGCAAGGGACAGGTGGCTATCTCTGTCTCTCAGACCTGTGGAGGAGGAAAGTGGTAGAACCCTCTCAGGGTGAGAACAGTGCATCCCAGGGTGGGGAAGGAGAGTGACAGCTGGAAATTTAACAAGAGAAATGCACTAATTTCAGGTTCAGAGTAATTGAATAGATTTTGTGTATATGTTTTTTGGGGGATAGCCTGGGGTGAGGAGAAGATGGGAAGAATAAACTGTGCTTTTCCCCTTGTGCAGTGGTTTAGTGCCCAGGGTTGGCTGGCTCATCTGGTTAGAAAATGTTACTAAATGACAGACCAATGGATTTTACTCTACTTTGTGGCTGTAGTCTGCACCCGGCCCCTGTTATACAGTTTCTGTTATCTCTTGCCATGCAATAAACCATGCCAAAATGTAGTGGCTTAAAACAACCCTTCATTTATACCTTATCCTACAACTTAAACAGGACTCAGTGGGGGACGGTGGTTCATCTTTCCTCTGTGGCATCGGCTGGGGTCATTCATGAGCCAGCATTCAGCAGTAAGCCCTGCTTGGGCTGGAACATCCAAGGAAACCTCTCATCCTCCGGGGCCTCTCTACACGTGGCCTTTAATTCATAGCCTTTTATATGGCAACAAGATCTGGAGAGGGAATAGGCCAAAAGGAAAAGCTCCAGTTTGCTAGTGCCTGTCAAGCTTTGGCTTGCATCACACTTGCTAATGCCATATTGGCCAAAGCAGGTCACATGGCTAAGCTAGAGTGTGGCAGGGGGCAGGAGCATACAAAGGTGTGGATCCTGGGCGGGAGGTTGACTAGGGGGTCACTGGTGGTTAGTCTACCATCTTGAAATGGATAATAGTATAGATAGCTGCTTCCATTAATCAAATGCTTTCTCTTTGCATGCCCTGTGCCAAGCATGTCACCATATTTTCGGGTTCATTTTATACAACAGTGCTGTGAGTTTCTAGATAAGAAAATGGAGCAGAAAGGGTAGGCAACTTGCCCCAAGTCTCTTGGCAAGCAAGCAGGGGGTCTGGAATTCACATCTATGTCTTCCTGTGCTTTCAGCTGTGGGGGTGTACTGCCTTCCAAATAGAAATAATTCCCATGGCAGAGAGGGAGAGTGAGGATGGCCCAGCTTATCCACCAACTGCCCCTTAACCCCCTGAATCACACCCTAAAAAAAACACTGTTTTTATTATGGTGCAGCTGTCATCTCTTGGGAACCACAGAAAAACAGTTGCAGGTTAAATCTGGTTATAACTAAAAATTCAAGCGCCAGATATTAGTGTTATGTTTAAGAGAACAAAAATTTCAAAACAGAAAGGCTGTTGACCTCCTAGGTTGTCTGGCCCAAGTTTCTTTTTTCTTTCTTTCTTTTTTAAAACAGACGCTAGTTTCAAGTGTAACCAAGTTTCTTAAGAATCGTATTATACTTTTATATGGTCATTTTTTTCTCTCACTCCTTGATCCACCAAATACTGAGGATAGCTCTTTGTATACTGAGCTAGACTGTATGCTAGAGAACCAAAGATGAAAAAGAACCAGAGCCTGTCTTTAGGAGCCTTGTAACGGAGGAGAGAAAGTACAAGAGTAGCATGGCGTTAGATGCTTGTCCGATACTTCTCCCCTGATGGTAGAAGCCTACCAAGGGGTGGGCACTGCCCCCCTTCCCCCTGGCAAGTGTGAAGATGATGGGAGCTAGGGCCAGAGTCTCCTAACAACTGTGTAGCCTAGAGGGGATTGGGCAAGTAAGTCATCAGCTTGGAGAGGAGGAGGGCCAGGGCCAAGGTTCAGAGCCAAACATTGGGGTTGAAGATTTAAGAATGCCAGCAGAAGGGACAGTGGGAACTGATTGGTATGAGTTTCCGGAGTCATGGAGCTGGTGCCTGTGGCAGCTTTATGACTTCTTGCTAGTAGATAACCTTCAAAAGGATTATGGCTCATCGTAAGGGAATGTGATGAACAATGAGGAATGGCATGGGGAGGCTTAGCCACAGAGGGATGGGGGCCCGTGGGCCCGAGGGGCTACTTTTAGTTGGGGGAATGTGGGGAGGTTTTGATAGCATTTGTCCTGAGCCTTGGAGACTGAGGAGGTTTTAGACTTGTGGACAGGAGTGGGCTGGGAAGAGTAGGGAGAAAAAGACAGCCTGGTCCTTGAACAGTGTTGTGTATGGGTAACGAGTAGAAAGAGACAGGATCACATGTTCCTTTTTGTTTTTGTTTTTGTTTTTGAGACGGAGTCTCACTCTGTCGCCCAGGCTGAAGTGCAGTGGCATGATATCGGCTCACTGCAATCTCTGCCTCCCGGGTTCAAGCAGTTCTCTGCCTCAGTGTCCCAAGTAGCTGGAATTACAGGCACCCGCGACCACGCCCAGCTAATTTTTGTATTTTTAGTAGATACGGGGTTTCACCATCTTGGCCAGGCTGGTCTTAAACTGCTGACCTCGTGATCCACCCGCCTCAGCCTCCCAAAGTGTAGGGATTACAGGCGTGAGCCACCGCACCCGGCTCATGTTCCTTAATAAACAATTTCTGCATCCCCTGGATTATAGAAACATTTTGACGTATTATTTTATTTAAAAATCTGTCCCCAAAAAAGAATTCAAAATTAGAATCTTAACCTGCTCTATTCAAGCTAACATCTAAATTAATTCGGTCAAAGTTGATACCAGAATGCAGTCAAAACTATTTTTTGACTACCTATAAACTTACATGACCAGGAGCTATTTGAAGTGGAAATTCAGCAAACCTAAGATCTTGACTATGTTGTTAGTGAGAATATTGGAAAATTAAAGTTAAGATCTCCTTATTTTTGTTGATTAACTCTTATTTTTTCTTCTTCTCTGCTAGATCACCATGTCCTGGGCTTTCTTCTAATGCTGTGCTGTCCAGTTATGGTAGCCACTGGCCACACGTGGTTATTTACATTTTTAAGTTAATTACAACTAAATAAAATTTAAAATTCATTTCCTTGGTTGCACTAGCCATGTTTCCCACTTGCTACCATATTGGATAACACACAGTAAAAGATGCCCTGAAAGTTCTATTGGATGATGCTAATCTAATGATACAGGTGATAAATTCCCAACTGAAAAGCCTTGAGTGCCTAAACTCACAGTCACAATTCTGACCATGAACATAAATTATACTTCTGAGGGCCCGGCATGGTAGCTCACACCTGTAATCCCAGCTCTTTGGGAGGCCGAGGTGGACGGATCATGAGGTCAGGAGTTTGAGACCAGCCTGGCCAACATGATGAAATGCTGTCTCTACTAAAAATACAAAAATTAGCCAGGCGTGGTGGCACGTGCCTGTAGTCCCAGCTACTTGGGAGGCTGAGGCAGGAGAATCCATTGAACCTGGGAGGTGGAGGTTGCACTGAGCCGAGATCGTGCCACTGCACTCCAGCCTGGGTAACAAAGCAAAACTCAGTCTCGGGGAAAAAAAAAATTATACTTTTGAGTGTGTACTTTGCATTTTGTTTTGTGTCAAAGGGTCCGGCCCCTTATTACAAGGCGTGTCTGCATGGGTGATACATACCTGTTTGCTAGAATTCCTAAGCAAAAAACTGCAGCAACAAAGTTAGTTTGCAGATTTTAGAAATACCACTGAAGAGCTGAGAATCAGAATACCTTTGCTGTCTTGTCCTTCAAATTGGAGCACTAATATCAAACAGGATTTTCATAGGGGTTAAATGGCAATCACATTTTCAAAGCCCTCAGTCAATGGTAGCAGTAATGCCAAAGTTAGTCATCAAAAAGTGAATAATTTTGTTTCATGCTGAAAGAAAAACTGAACTCTAATAAAATGGTAGAAGGCTGGACATAGTGGTTCACACTTGTAATTCTAGCACTTTGAGAGGCTGAGGCAGGAGGATCGCTTGAGCCCAAGAGTTGAAGACCAGCCTGTGCAACAGAGTGAGATCCTGTTGCTACAAAAAAAAAAAAAAAAAAAAAAAAAAAAAAAAAATTGGCTAGGTGTGGTGGCACACACCTGTAGTCCCAGCTACTTAGGGGGCTAAGGCAGGAGGATCTTTTGTGTCCAGGAGTTTGAGGCTACCATGAGCTGTGATCATGCCACTGCACTCCAGCAAGACCTTGTCTCTAAGAAAACAAAAAGTATAAGATGGCCAAAGTTTGAAGAACCCCATACTTACAGCTTATGTATTATTTATATCAATAAAACTAAATAAGTTCTAGAGTTCTCTATTTTATTTTAGCCTGAAAGAATCCTCAATCCGGCTGATTTTCTTTCTACCCTTTAGGTAGCACAAGTAACCGCTCCAGCACCCGGAGCCTCCTCAGTGTGAGCAGCGGGATGGAAGGGGACAACGAGGTGAGAGCTGGGACTCCACCCCACCTATCCTGTCCTAGGGGTCGTTTCATCGCAAGAGATAGAAACCCAGGTGAAAGGAGCCAGGCACAAAAGGTCATATATTATAGGATTCCATTTATATGAAATGCCAGAGTGGGCAAATCCACAGAGACAGTTTGAAGATTGGTGGTTGCCAGCGGCTGGAGGGAGGAGGAATGGGAAGAAACTGCTTAATGGGGACAGGTGTATTAGGGTTCTCTAGAGGGACAGAACATATATATATATGTGGTGTGTGTGTGTGTGTGTGTGTGTGTGTGTGTGTGTGTGTATTAAGTAGTATTAACTCACACAATCACAGAGTCCCACAAGAGGCCACCTGCAAGCTGAGGAGCAAGGAAGCCAGTCTGAGTCCCCAAAACTGGAGAACTTGGAGTCCAGTGTTTGAGGGCAGGAAGCATGCAGCATGGGAGAAAGATGTAGGCTGGGAGGCTAAGCCAGTCTCTGCTTTTCACGTTTTTCTTCCTGCTTTATATTGGCTGGCAGCTGACTAGATGGTGCCCACGCAGATTAAGGGTGGGTCTGCCTTCCCCAGCCCACTGACTCAAATGTTAATCTCCTTTGGCAACACCCTCACAGACACACCCAGGATCAATACTTTGCATCCTTCAATCCAATCAAGTTGATAGTCAGTATTCACCATCACACAGGGTTTCTTTTTGGGGTGATGAAAACGTTTTAAGACTAGATAGAGGCTGCACAACATTGTAAATACACTCAATGCCACTGAATTGTCCACTTTAAAATGGTTAAGTTTATGTTAACTTCACCTCAATAAATAGAAAAGAAGGAAAGAAAGGAAGGAAGGAAATAGACAGCTGGAAATCCACTCTTACTAGTGAAACCTTAAGGGGCATCTGTGGGAAGGAGCAGGTGAGTCTCAGGGGATCCAGGGTTAGGGGCCGTGCTCTGGGTCTGGATTAGGAGCTGCAGGACCTGCCAGAGGGAGCCGGGGTCACTGTTCTGTGTATCCCAGGCCCAAAAGCTCTTTGGTCTCTGCTTCTCTGTGCACATCCGCTTTCTTTCCCCTCACACCTCTGCCTTCTGCTTCTCCACAGTCCCCTGAGTCCACTAGGCCTCCGAGCAGGGAGTAAGTTGCTGCTTTAGGTTGAGGCCCCATTCCAAGTTGGCCCAATTTGGGACATGTGTCTAGCTTGATCCAGGGACCAGTGGCTGGGACAAGCAGGAGGGGCCACATGGGTCACTGCCAACTCTGAAGCCTTCTGAGAAGAGTCCTTGGGTGGGCATTTCTAATAAGCTTCCACCTGATGCTGATGCTGACCGGCCACAGAGCACACTTTGAGTAGCAAGGAATTAGAATTCAGGCAATTAATGATCATTGGGGCCAGATTGTCTTCCTCAGTGCCTCAGTGACTTCAGGAAGAAATGGAAAGCTGCCAGGTATGGCTGGGTTGATTATCAATTTGCAAACAACCTTCAGCCCCAGCCTAAGGAGGACCAAGGGGCTTTTGAGTTACGGTTGTCCAGCTATGCTGGTTGCTGAATGTAGTTTTCGCCTTTCTTTCTCATCTTCTTTGCTGTAGGATAATGAAGTCCCTGAGGTTACCAGAAGTCGCAGTCCAGGCCCCCCACAAGTGGATGGGACACCCACCATGTCCCTCGAGAGACCCCCCAGGGTGCCTCCGAGAGCTGCCTCACAGAGGTAACATCAAAACTGATATGAAATTTTTCCCTTATCTCTGAATCCTAGGGGAGAATAGGACTTGGAAACACCTAAGATGACTAAAGAATAAGCGCAGAGCTGGGCGCAGTGGCTCATGCCTGTAATCCCAGCACTTTGGGAGGCCAAGGCGGGCGGATCACAGGGTCCAGAGATCAAGACCATCCTGGCTAACATGGTGATACCCCATCTCTACTAAAAATACAAAAAATTAGCCGAGCATGATGGCACACGCCTGTAGTCCCAGCCACTCAGAAGGCTTAGGCAGGAGAATTGCTTGAACCCGGGAGGCAGAGGTTGCAGTGAGCCGAGATCATGCCACTGCACTCTAGCCTGGGTGACAGAGAGAAACTGTCTCAAAAAAAAGAATAAGTACAGAGCTAATTGAAATGCCTACTCCATTGGACACATTTCAATGTGGACCCTTCATTAATTTAAGTGATGCATTATTTAGTTGCAAATACTTTAAATAGCAAATGCAATGTTTCATAAATGAAATACATTGAAAAATGTCAACTTTTAAAATTGTTTTTATCAGTTTGGCTAGAATTCAACTCTCCAATAACTAATTCCCTTGGCTGGACTGTAGGGACAGTGCCTTTTGGGGAACAGAAAATATGAAGGAATTGGAAATGAAAATGCAGGTGACAGGCTACATCGTATGGTGGTGGGAAGCCTGACTCTAGAGCCCCCCTACCTGGGGTCAAGTCTCCAGCAGCTATTTGCAAACTTGCAAGAACTATTTAACTTTCATGTATTTCAATTTCCTTTTTTTTTTTTTTTTTTTTGAGATAGATTCTTGTTCTGTTACCCAGGCTGGAGTGCAGTGGTGTGATCTCGGCTCACTGCAACCTCCGCCTCCTGGGTTCAAGTGATTCTCCTGCCTCAGCCTTCCGAGTAGCTGGGATTACAGGTACCTGCCACCACGCCTGGCTAATTTTTGTGTTTTTAGTAGAGACAGGGTTTCGCCATTTTGACTAGGCTGGCCTCGAACTCCTGACTTCAGGTAATCTGCTCGCCTCAGCCTCCCAAAGTGCTGGGATTACAGACATGAGCCACCATGCCCAGCCTCAATTTCCTTGTCTATAAAATGAGGATAATAACAGAACTTTCTGCAGAATCATAAGCATTGAGTTCTTGGCCTATAGTGAGAACTCAGCAATATAAGTGATCTTTTTTTTTATACAGGAGAGGAGTTAATATCTAGAGATTTGGAGATGAGCATTAGACTAAAGAATTTGACTAATTTACTAGATTTTGATGTATGCCTTTGTTTATATGATACTTGGGCCTCTGGTAGGAACCTTTTTATGGTTCAGTCTTGTGGAGTAACGGAAAAAGTGGTCACAGCTAGCTGTGTGTCCACAGATGCAGAAAGGAGCCCTTGGGAATAAAAGCCAAGGCTTGTCTGAGGAGTTAACTCTTCGATGTTTAAAATAAAATGTTCATGTGTTAATGGGGCATAAGGAAGGAGGAAGCTTTTCTTCAACCAGGGTTTTGTTTTGATTTTTGCATTTTGAAACTTTTAGATGAAGCTCATCAGTGGAATTTGTTGAGAAAGTGCAACAAGGAGGTCTTTCTTCTGGTGTTCTGGAAAGAGAGGCTGGCTCTGTGCTAAGGATCTTTCCATTTCTCCCTTTGCTATTTATCACTTTCTCATGCGCTCCCAGCAACATTTGTGTGTTGGCACTTGCTACTCAAACATCGCCCAGGCCCAGGCTGTGCCACACCCACCGGGCATGCTTTCCTGGTGTAGACTGGAAGGCACGGATTAGAATATTAGTCCTGGAAGGAAGCTTAGCAGTAATCTAGTCCCATCCCCTGAATTTGCACTGTGCTCTGTTGCTTGAAAATTATCACATAGTTGGTGATTGGAGGGCTTACCAAGAGCAGTGATGGTGATAAATGCTGTTATTTATTGAGACTTACTATGTGGCAGGTATTCCGTTAAACATACTAAATGCATTATCCTGTTTAATTCTCTCCACAATCCTAAGACGTAGGTATTTAGTGTTATCCCATTTTGCAGATGTAGAAACTGGGGCTTGAGATTGGGCTGAGACTTGCTGTGTGTGGCAAACCTGCCAGACTTCATCTCATAGGCATTGTTTTATACCTCTCCAAGAAAGTCTCAGTATTAGGGGAGGAGGTTCAAGATCCAAGGCCTTTTATTCCTGAAGGTGAGGACTTTGGAAGCAGTTGTCTAATTGTACCAAGATAAAAGAGTTGTCAAGTTTAAAACTTTAGCTACAAGGTTTCGGTGGGATTTTGTTAACAGAAGAGAAAGAGAAGACAACCGGGGAAACAGGTTCCAAAAATTAAAGGATAGAAACTAGGAAGCATGTAAATGTGTAAAAAGAGATGGTGGTTGAGTTGTTTGGGGAGTCTGGAAGCAAGTTGTGATAGAGATGGGGAGAGAAAAGGAGGAAAACATTTTTTGCTAAAGAAACAATGTTTACGAAGCAGTTTGTAATTGATAGAACTTGGGGTTTGGGTGCATTTTTGGTGTGAAAAAAGATGTGTGAGTATGCAATGTTCACAATAAAATACGGGGATATTTGAGCAGATAATAAAATGGGACTCTCTCCAGAATGACTTCAATGTTTGACCTGCTTATAGACAGGATTGAAGGCTGGCCTTGGTGTCCTAGACTCCACTGTCAGATCTGGGCATCAGCATCTCTTCTCTGCCCGTGTTCTAACCTCCCTGCTAACCCCTGGCCCAAACCAAACAGCACTGGTAGTACAGCCTCCATCCCACTCCATCCCGGTTCTGGTCCTTGCCTCTGCTCACTCTACATGCTATCCCAGAGCTTGAATTGCCACCAGCAGACAAAGACCCCAAGTCTCCATCTCCATCTCAGCCTTCTCTTTCCTGCAGTTGACTGGGGATCTTCATTCAGGGACCCCACCAATATCTCAAACATAGCCTGTGCAAAACTGAACTCATCAGCCCACCTACCATTCTCTACCCCAAACTGCCTTCTTCTCATGAGTTCCCAGCCTGAGATAGTGGGACCATTCTCTCCCTTCCCCAAGCCCCAAACCTGGGAGTCATCCTTGATCCCTGCCCCCCTCACAGCTCTCATATCCAGTGTGTCTTCATGCTCTGTCCGTTCTGCTGCTCTTTCAGCTGTCAGATCCGCCCTCCTTTCCATCTGCTAGTGCCTAAGTTCATTCTTGAAGGCCCACACTTACCTCCCTTCCTCCAGTCACTCCCTCCTCCACATTGCAGCCAGAGTGCCCTTTCTAGAACAGGAATAGCTGATGATGCCATTGCCTGGCATAAAAGCCTTCACGTTTAATTCTGTGTATTTCAGCATTCTTTGGCTCTGCCTAGCTCAAGTCCTGCCCCTCTCCTGTATTCACCGATGATCTGCCACTTCAGCATTCCCAGTGAGCTCTGCCACTCTGTACTGTTTCTTTGCCCAATCTGTTCCTTTTGCCTGGAATGCTGTCTTCCTACTCCCTTCTACTCTTGCTTAGAAAATTCCTATACATCCTTTAGGACTCAGTTCAAACATCACCTCCTCTGTGAAGCCCTCCCTAATGTTCCCATGCGAGTGAATCTTCTTTTGGTTTCCCAAGCACTTCTATTATATTCTATACTCTAATAATACACTCTGTGTTGCGACCCTTGTGTAGATGTGTCTCCTCAATGAATGGCGAACCTGTGAGACACCATTTTTGACTTTTAATTTTTTTTCTCCTATCCCTAGTGCCTGGCAGAGTAAGTGGCACATACTAGGAACTTAAAAGGTACTCACTGTGTTAAGTGAATGGATGGAAGGATAGATTGGTACTGTTTGGGTTGGACTTCCGGAGCTCTTAAAAAAAGTAGCCATCAAGTCATCTACCACCGTATGCAGGGGGGTTATAGATGAGTGAAAGAAACTTCACACTCTTGGCCAGGCACAGTGGCTCATGCCTGTAATCCCAGCACTTTAGGAGGCTGAGGCAGGGAGGGAGGGATTCCTTGAGCTCAGGAGTTTGAGACCAGCCTGGGCAACTTGGCAAAATCCCATCTCTACAAAACAAACAAACAAAAAAAATTAGCCAGGTGTGGTGGTGTGTGCCTGTAGTCTCAGGTACTCGAGAGGCTGAGGTGGGCAAATTGCTTGAGCCTGGGAGTTTGAGGCTGTAGTAAGCTGTGATTGCGCCATTGCATTCCAGCCTGGATGACAGAGTGAGTCCATGTCTCAAAAAAAAAAAAAAAAACAACAAAAAAACAAAAAAAACCCACTATAATTATAGGTCTGCAATTATAAATAAGTTTCCTTGAGATGTAGCTTCCAATCTTTAGCTGGAGTTGTTCCTCAGAATGAAACCTAGAGAGGGTATGCCCATAGGCCCACCCCAACTGCACAGTGTGGCAGCAGAAAGCGGAAGAGGGGCTGGGAGGAAATCATGGTTGTCTTTGTGATAGAAGATAAAATGTAAGGCTCATGGGGCATACCTGGGGAACAGATTTCAGAATAGATCTTTAATCGTCATTATCTCATTATTAGCTTTACTTGTTGTGTGCCTACTCCAAGCCAGAAACTGCTACCTACTTTCCTACTGTCATCTCCAAGCCTCACATGGTACTCCAACGTAGGGATCAGTACCTCTGTTTGGCAGATGAGAAAACAATTGCAGAGGCGTTGAACTTGCACACACAGAGATATATGCATAAATGTCTATGCTATATGTTCCTATAGGTTCTGAACCTCCCTTACCAAATTGCTCTGTAGAGTTTACTGATTTTTTGCCTATTGTCCGTCTCATCCACACACTTGCATCATCTTGAGGGCCTAATCCATGACCACTTTACTTGCTGTTATATCCCATACCCAGGAGTGGATATAAAGTAAATTAGTGTTTGTTGAAAGAAAGAAAGAAAGAAAGAGAGAGAGAGAGAGAGAGAGGGAGGGAGGGAGGGAGGGAAGGAAAGAAGGAAGGAAGGAAGGAAGGAAGGAAGGAAGGAAGGAAGGAAGGAAGGAAGGAAGGAAAGAAAGAAAGAAAGAAAAAAAGAAGGCAGAGAGGTGGGCAGGCTAAATTTGCTCAGGTAAAAGTGGTATCATGCCCTTTGGCTTTCTCCTATAACCCCAAACTCACAGGGCAGGCTGAAGAGATAGAAGGAGGCCATCCTTTTTTTTTTCATGGTATAAAGCTCAGTCACTCAGTGACAACCATACAAAACCATCTAATCCTGGGACTAGGGCAGGACCTCCCAAGGTTGTCTGTGATTCTTATTTTCTGCTCCTGCCTCCCTCTCTTGCTCCTGAGGCAGCCCCTCTTTTCCCAACTCAGTTGTCATTTCCTTGACCTATACAAACCTTGCATTCAAGAGACATTTAGTACATATTTACTCTTTGATTCAATCAATCCTCAAGTATGCAACTCCAGGGTGGCACAGTTCAATTATAGCACCTAACAAAGCTCTTTTTCTTGACTTATTGACTTGCTTCCAAGGGAATTAAATATTGGTTTTACAGTACACACGTGGAAATGCCATCTGTAATCCTTGAACCTGTCTGTAAATAGACTCACCCTAGTCTAACTGGAATGTCATTTAAGACTGTTCAAAAACCATACAGAATAACATGGAGGGAAGTTTCTAGGAAGGCAGATGCAGAGTTGGGATAACAGTTGAGATAACAGTTATCTCATGAGGAAGCAGTCATGAGAAGCAGGCTTTGGAAATTCCAATTCCTCTCTCAACAAATCTCCCTACTACAGTGTGTCTCCCAAGTGGCTATTAGAATTGCTGGTGTTTTAAAACCTAGGTTTTATTATTATGTAGGTATGGCAAAGTCAACAGCTCAGGAGACAACTGCCACTGAAAAGATAGTTTGTTATACTCACAGATCCCAAAACAGGGGTACATCAACCCATAGGGGGCTACATGGGGAAGCATCAGGGCCAGTGAGGAGGCAGAGGAGCAGGGGAAAATGTGGACAAGAGCTTTTATTGTGGTTTCCATGGGACAAAACAGGTGAGCCTGGGTAAGATTTAGAATTGGCTAGTTTGAATAATTTCATTGGCTCTGAGGCATAAGGGCTGACTCTAGTCGTCTGGTACCTGGCCCTAGGGTGATAAGGGCAAGTGGATGGTGGCCCCATAAAGTGGAGTGTGAAAGCCCCATAGAGGAGGTGGTTGGGGCATGCATCTGGACTGGTTGGTTTGCATACGAAAGGTATATTTAGCACTGGAAGGCAAGTAGCTTGTTTGCTGTTTCTAGGAATTTTAGCTTACCCTGGGAGGGGCAGTCTCTCCAGGGTCAGCAAGGCCCCAAGATGGCAAAACATCAGATAATGAAAGGATTGGTGAGGACAGCTGTTTGGGGAGGGAAACTATTCAAAAGCTTTGTGGCTTGAGTCCTATCCTCTAGAGCTTAGAATGCGATGGGTCTGGGATGGATCCTTGGAATTGGTATTTTTAAAAGCTCCACTGGTGTTTCTAATGTGCCGCCAGGATTGCAAGCCACAGCTAGCATGCGTGTCACTCATACATTCATATGTGTGTCCTGTCTCATTGAGGATTGTGTCCTTTGCATAGTATACCAAGTTTGCAACAAATTGTGCATTCCTAAGAACTGTTTAATCAAATTAGTTTTTAAATAGAGTTGCCTTATCTTTCATTTTAGGCCTCCGACCAGGGAGACCTTCCATCCTCCTCCACCTGTTCCACCCAGAGGACGCTGATTCCACCTCCTAAAACCTGCCTACTTCAGGACTTTAAGACTCACAGTCTTCAGCCTGTTAATGATGTCTTCATGTTGAGTTTTATAGCATGACTGTTGACCTTAAGATCCATTCTCATTGCTGATAATGCTGCAGCCCTGCTGGTTTGGGCTTGCCTCGAAGATTTTATTAAGGCACGAAGAAGTGAAAAACTAAGGGCTTCATTCACCATCACCAAGTATATCGAACCATATACTTGTTTGCCAAAAGGATGAAGACTTAATCGAAATACTTACCTCTAATTTGCCATATCAGAAGCCTAAAAAGAATGATCATAAATGTACTTCACCAGTGATTTTACTGAAATGCACTTATATTAGTCTTTATGTATTTGCTAGTTCAGCCTGATTTCTAGAAGAGGTTATAGTGTGAGACTTGTAGTATTCAAGTAAGATAAGTGACCTAATTTTAAAATAATTCTTCTACTTTTCTGTATATTCAGCAGGGTATTTAAGTGCTAGGGCTGGTCACACACAACCAACTGAAAAAGACTAGAGGGATTAGTACAAACTCCTCTTATACAGAAGGCAAATCTGAGGTTCCACAGAAGTCTGGAACCAAGACTATTCAGTTGGTTAAATAAAGAGGTTAGTCTAGACTGGGCCTGCTCATTCTAGGTCACCACATTTTCCATCTCCAAATAGCCAGGCCCTCTCTCCCTCAAGAAATGCCCAGATGTAGAAATTCATCAGTGCCTATTGGTCTTCCAGAATTTTCCATCTTCCGTATCTCCCAGGCATGAGACTACCAAGTTTGTTTGTTTTCTTTCCAATTTGGGAATTTATACTTCAGTATGGTTTCAACGCAGTTATGTTTCCAGAGAACATCTAGAAGTGGCTGGAAACCAGAAGCTGGGGATTCCAGGGACCCCACTTAGTGCTCTATTTCCTTTATAGGTTTTATTTCTGGTCATAGAGAGAGAAGGACCTTTGACTTTTTCTTCGTTGAGGCTTCTGAGGAGGAAAAACAAACCTAAAATAGAAATACAGTCAGCCTTTCAAATCCATGGGTTCTGTGTCCGTGGATTCAACCAACCTTGGATCAAAAATATTTGAAAAAAAATCTACAAAGTTTCAAAAAGCAAAACTTGAATTTGCTGCATGCCAAGAAGTATGTTGAATTCATGTAAATGAAGTGATGTGTAGGCATTGTATTAGATATTATAAGAAATCTAGAAATGATTTAAAGCATACAGGAGGATGTGCATAGGTTATATGCAAATACTATGCTATTTTATATATGGGACTTGAGCATTTGTGGATTTTGATACTGGGGGATCCTGGAACCAATCCCCCATGGATACCAAAGTACGACTGTAGTTATCTATTTTTTACATACTTATTATTACCACCATGCTCAGTAAGTCCATTTTTGCATGGAATATGGAGCCTTAAAACATGTCATGAATTTGGAGTCCCTGGCACATAAATCTACCTTCAAATCAGAGGTCCTTAATGATGCCTAAACATACAGTAAAATTAGAATCAGAAATACTTCTTTAAAAAATATTCAAAATGTGTTTGTTTCCCATGGGATTATTCTCTATCCCACACGAATGTAAAAAAATCCACATTAATGATCCATTTAAGTATAGTTTTATTGGGTCCTTTTCTAATGATTAAAGGTTCTTTCTCAATTTCATTCCTCAGTCCTGCAAGTAAGGACTCATACTGAAGAGTACTGAAACAAGGACTTCTTGTCAGAAACAGCTTCTGGAATCTTGGGTTTTGTTTTTGTTTTTTGACAAAATACACTATTGGCCATGTCCATCACGAGAGTGTTTGTAGTAATTAATTACCTTGTACAGGACCTGGCACTTAGTAGCATTCTTCAAATGTTCCCTCAGTGATCCTTTTACTCTCCTTGTCACTTATTTGGGAGAAATAGGGGCACGTGAGATAAGAAGAAGAATAATTTTGATGTTGGTATGCTTGCCCTGTTACTTATAGACAGTCTTTGTCATAGGCAAACTTGAATTTGATTTAAAATAGGGCTGGGAAAAATATTCAATAACTGTAAGCCCCCTTTTGGATGCCAAACTTAGAATTTTGTACATTCTCTGATGAACAAGCATTTAGATCGTAACATGGTAAAGCCTATTACCAGCCAATGTTGTTAGCATCTTTGTATGCACATCACTGTTTGTGCAATATATGAATATTTTGTTGCATTGTATTCTTATATAAAAATAAGTAGAAAACATAAAATTGAAATTGCTGATGAGAAGCCTTGTCTCGTGAATGTGATACACTTGAGACACGGATGGAACTGATCAGGAGTGCCAAGTCAAAAGCAGCAGATCTTAAGCCCTCACTGGTTGTTCCTTTAACATCCAAAATGGTTGGTTATATGTAAAAGAAGAAAATGAAATAATCTGGATGAAACACTGGGACTGTGTTATCAAAGAATGTCTGTAGTGATGAGGTGAAAATTTTCATTTTCCAGAAACAGAACTGCTCATTTATAACATAAATATATTCAACTTCCACATACTCAACACATGTGTATACATTTTTAGGAGTACATTATGTAACAAAACCATGGATTTCCAATACAATGAGAAGCAGAAATGACACTGCAAGCTAGGGTCCAAAGAAACCATTAAAAAATTTTCTACATGATGCTTAGGCAGACAGCTCTGCTGCCACCATCCTTGCCCAAGATTTTACAAGCTGGCTCCATAGAAAGTGAAGCTGTTGGGTATATTCACCACCATTGCCTTTGCCCCTAAGGTAAATTGGCCTCCAATTCCTAGGCCAGCACTTTTATTTCATCTTATATTAAAACCTAGGAGCAGATAATCCAACTAAGCAACAAAGTATGAAGACTGAGAGACTATTTTTTTTTTTTTTTTTTTGAGACAAGAGTTTTGCTCTTGTCACCCAGGCTGGAGTGCAGTGGTGCCATCTTGGCTTACTGCAATTTCCACCTCTTGGGTTCCAGTGATTCTCCCGCCTCAGCCTCCCGAGTGGCTGGGATTATAGGCACCTGCCACCACGCCTAGCTAATTTTTGTATTTTTAGTAGAGACGGGGTTTCACCATGTTGCCCAGGTTGGTCTCAAACTCCTGACCTCAAGTGATCCGCCCGTCTCGGCATCCCAAAGTGGTGGCATTACAGGCGTGAGCCCCCGTGCCCAGCTGAAGACTGAGAGACTATGAACAAGAGGTTGGTGTTGTAATCTAATAATTTAACTGGACATATTTAATGATGTGAATAATCTCTAATGCTCTGCCTTAGTTACACAAAGTGGTAAAATATAGATGACTTCTACGAATATTTTTACAAGTCAAGCTAAGTTACACATCCCCTTTTAGCTTTGTTGTTACAAAAAAAAAAAAGGTTCTAGTCATTGCCATATCACTAGGATTTTTAGATTCCTCTCCCAAATGCCCCAGGAAGTAAGTTGGTTTTCTGTGTTCCTCCTTCAAAGAATAGTGTGTGGTTTTGCAGCTGGTTGGTGGAGGAAGCATCAGTAACAGATTTATTTCTGAGAAAGACAAGTGGTTAATTTGGAAAATTCTAAAAAATTCTTCCTAAGCATTAATCCTCAATTTTAAGGGATCTGCCTGTATAAATATTTGCTTTGGTTTGATAAATTGTGCTCTGTTCATTTCCAAGCAAGTTATTAAGAACATAAAATAGTCTTCTTCATTCATTCCTGCTGGCCAGACACTGTGTTCACCAGGGTGGTGAGGGGATGAGTAGGAGGTTGAAAGATATATTCTGAATTCTGAGGCACAACTTGGAATTCACTTCTCGTAAAAATCATAAAAAATAGGTTCTTAGGTGTTCTGTGTGGGAAATGCGCGCGGGAGGAGACACACACACAATACCTTTAAGGGTAAACAAGCTTTATCCCAAATGGCAGTGCAGATATAAGCAAATGATATAATAAGCAAATTGCAATGGGAAGGGAGAAGGGAAAAGATATATATATGTATTTACACTCACCAGACTATGGAGGATTCACCACCAGACTGGGAAGCAACAGCCTGGGCTCCAGAGTTGGCCACTCGTCCATGCAGACAAGGAGAGGTCTCATGAAGCTTCGGCGCAGTCTGGAACCCTAGCTCTTTTTGTAACGAGTTGTTTGGCATGAGGTCCAGTCACAAGGGCCCTTTGTGACCAGGATCAAGGAACACAAAAAGGTCAACTTGTTTTTGCGGTTGTCTATTGTTTTTCAATAACTAATGTATAGGAATAGATTGAAATAGAGATTTCTCCGAAACAACGCTGGATGAACGCCTCAAAGAGCTCACACAATCCGTTCTGGGACTTGGTGACCATCGTTTGTGTCCATGTTCAATTGAGTTCAAATTTAATATTTAGGCTAGTCGCCAAAGCCCATTTAGGATAAAATGTCTTTGCTATCTCTGCAGTAAGAGTTAGCATGGTATAGGGAAGAGATTGTTTCGGAAGCCAGGAAACCTGGTCTTTTATTTTGGTGTGCTACTTACTTGACGAGTTCACATAACTTGACTACCTTGTTCTATGTTTCATCACCTACGAAGTGGAGAGTTGTGTCTTTGGTAACAGTCTAGGTCTCTTCAACTCTGTTAAGTCTAAGTCTCAGAAAGAGGGTGTGGAATCGCTTTGTCGGAAGAAGCAGGGAGACAGCCTTAGTGGCATCACCACCTAATTGGCAAGGCTCTTTTTATTATGTGGCACCTGCTGTTCCTTGCTCTGTCTCACTGTTATATCAGTTAAAAAACTGAGAGACAGTGAAAGAGGAACCACACAAAGAAACTAATGGCCTTAGTTGCTCTTCAGTCCAAGAACTAAATGTTCTCAGTAATGGCTTCCTAAAGAAAGAACTCAGAGCAATCATGAAGATCTGTGTCTAGAACATTACAGCCAGAACAGAAACGGTGGAGGTGGAAAATGGCAAATAGCAATAGACGAACTGTCGCCCACCCTGCTGAAGTACATAACTGGCAAGACAAACATAACAAAGTAGAAGGAAGAAATAGAATTTCAAAGAAAAAGTAGCTGATGATAGAAATCAGAAGATATGTGGTCAATCCATACCCTAATACTTTTTTTTTTTTTTTTTTTTTGAGACAGGGTCTGGCTCTGTCACCCAGGCTGGAGTGCAGTGGCACAATCAGCTCACTGCAACCTCCACCTCCCAGGTTCAAGCCATCTTCCTACCTCAGCCTCCTGAGGAGCTGGGACCACAGGCACGTGCCAGCATGCCCAGATACTTTTTTTTTTTTGTATTTTTTGAAGAGACAGAGGTGTCACTCTGTTGTCCAGGTTGGTCTTGAACTCCTGAGCTCAAGCAGTCTGCCCACCTCGGCCTCCCAAAGTACTGGGATTACAGGGGTGAGCCACTGTGCCTAGCCCCCATACCTAATAGTTTTGATGATCATGTTTACCCAGAATGAAAATAAAAGACTGACATTTTGGTTTTCTGGATTGCTTGCTGGTCATAAGCTCTTTAACCAAAATGGAGTCTTATTAGAGCTACCATAGAAAAGAGGCTGTATAGCCACTGGGGGAGGTGGGAAATGCCTTTCACCGGCATTTTCTCCCCACCGCTGCCATCCTTTTTGGTGTCAGGGAATGAGGTCATTCACCCAGATGAAATAAGTGGTGAAATAAGGTATGTTAATGTTTTTCACTCCCCAGTTTAGTGAAACAACCCTAATTTTGATGGTGACCTGAGCCCTGTTTTGTCCTGTTGAGGTCATCAGGCACCTAGGATCTTTGAAGCCACACTTCTTTTACTCTAATCAGTTACTTTATCTCCCTTTCCTTCTTTCCACACCTACTGCTGTCAGACTTGTATCACCTAATGCCATTTATCAGCATAATTCCCCTAGTACCTACCAGAGTGCCTGGTACATAGTAGAGGCTTAATAAATAATCGTTGAATTAATGGCTCTACCTGCTCTTCCATCCATTAAATTTTCCCAAATACTCCTCTGAAATAGGGTTTCTTTCCACTTCTCTCATTGCCCATTGCTTTTACTGCCTGTTGACCATTTGCACAGTTGGCCAGCTTTTGTGTTCCTTTTTAAAAGTACACTGTCATGCCTGTTCTTTGTTGTGTGTGTAGTTTCCTGGTTTTAATCTATCCTCCCTAAATGAATATACTTTTTCTTGTGTCCTCCCTACCTCCAAGCATTTGCCAACCCAGTCCTCCCCAAAACACCTGCCACATGCATACTACCTCAAATCTGTGGAGGGTGGTGATGGATACTTAAGAAACTACACATCCATCTTAATGTAGCACTTACACGGCTTGTTCTTCAATTGCACATCATCACTTCATTCAAGAGCAGTGATTATTCATTCACAGAATTGACTGAGCTTTCACTATGAGCAAGTCACCCTGCTAGGTGCTCGGGAGGATATACAAAGATGTATAAGATGCCTCCTCTGATTTCTACAGCAATTACTGGTGTATGATTCATTCAGCAATTAATCATGTACTGCTTTGTGATGTTTCTTACACTATCTAGAAAGCATTCTTCAAATCTTGCTATGCTATTTGACTTTTCACTTGTTAATGTCTTCATTCATTCAGCAAAGAGTTGAATACCTATGATGTGACAAGCACTATCTCAGCAGCTGGGACAGATATAAAGACAAACAAATCATAGTCCCTGCAATCAAAAAGGTCCGAATGCAGTGTAGAAGAGGAAATGTGAATAGATAATTACAACACAACACGCCAAATGCTATTGAAATCCCAAAGAAGGAATGCTCCATTTCTCAAGGGATCATGCAAGGTTTCACTGAGGAGGTGATCATCAGCTAGGTCTGAAAGGATAATATCTAAGGCACAAGGTGAAGCAGAGCATGCCAGATAAAGGGAGTATAAAGAGCAAAGGCACAGAGGTGTAAAAATATATACGGGTGAATGCAGAGCATAGAAATTGGTGGAAGGTAAAGTTAGGGAAATAAATTAGGGATAAAATAGGCAAAAATTTGGACTTTATCCTTTAGCAGGGAACTTTTTTTCTGATTACATAGTTAGCACATGCTCACTGTAAAAAATAACCAAACATTTATAGGCATGTACAAAGTAGAAAGTTAACCACTGATAGTAGTTTGTTATAATCTTTCAGATTGTTTTCTATGGGCAGACTAACATATTGCCATATAAAATGAAGTTAAACTCTTATTTTCTTCAACTTGAAAATTTAACAGAACCTCTTGGTTATCATTCCATGCCAGTACTTACCTATTTCCTTTTTTTAAAGTGGCTGTATAGTTGGTAAATCATTACCAGCAAAAAGACCTATTATGGAGCCAGACTGAGTGGGTCTGGTGTTTCAGCAAGCCACTCAAGCTCTCTGTGCTTCAGTTACCTCATCTGTAACAGGAACATTTTCACCGTACCTGCTGCATAGGGTTTCTGTGAGAATTTAATGAGCCAATATCGTTCAGAATAGTGCCTGGCAGATGAACGCCCTCGTGGTGACTCCATGATTTATTTACCTAACATTGAAGAACTGTTTTAAGCAAGGGAGTGAGCGATATAATCTGGTTTCTTTTTAGAATAAAAAAAACATCACCCTGGCACCTGTTGGGGATGTTAAACGGGAGGAAGATCAGTCAGTGATGGATATCTTCTTGTGAGACTCTTGCAATACATAGTGATACGGAAGACTGGTTGGTACTGGCAGAGGAAGGAGAGGAAAAATAAACTCTTGAACCACTTTTAAGAGACCAAATGCTAGAACTTGTTGACTGCTGATGGCTGAGAAGAGACAATCTGACAAGTTCGAGATTTTTGGCTTAGTGGCCTGTGTAAATGGTGGTGCCACATTCGTATATTTTTTTTTTTTTAAAGATTTTTTGTTTCAGTGTCTACTACGGATCTGGCACTGTTCTAGGTACAGGAAATACGGAAACAGGATCTCTGCTCCGAGGAGCTTACACTCCAAGAGATATTTATGACTGGGAAGAGGAGACCCAGAAATAGTTAAGTAAACACATAAATGAACAAGAATGGCAAGCTAACTTAGCATGTCTTGATTGAACAGTAGGGGTCCAGTAAATATTCAGTAACTTTAAAACATCCAACCCTGTACGAGTTTAACAATCTCTCCTAACGGTGATTACAGGAGCCCGTGATTCATTCACAGCGGCAGACGAGCGCCAGGAAAGGGTTATTTGATCTGATCCCTCAAGTTCCGGAGGCAGCAGGTCAGACGATCGGCCCCATTTGGCAGCCAGGAAAAAAGCTTAAGCATTTTGGCCAAGGTTACACAACCCGAAACACCGGGACGCGGCCCGGAGGCGGCTTCGGCCTTGCGGTCCAGGCTAGGCCACTGCGCCGGGGCCCAGCCTGCTCGGCGCCCGCCCGAGTGCTCGGCAGGCCCGTAGCGCCGCGGCTCCCAGGAGCCGAGGGGCAGCCGGCGCGCAGGCGGCGGTTGCCGGGCCCTCCCTCGGCCCGGCGGCGGTGGCGGCCCCGCGTCGCGAGGCACTTCCGGCGCGTGCCGGGGTGGCCGGATGACGTGGCTGAGTCAGAGGAAGAGGCTGAGGAGGCGCGGGGGGCGGGGGAGGCTCAGGAGCGGGCGGTGACGGCGACGGCGGCGGCAGAGGAGGCAGCGGCTGGGCCGGGCCCCGTGCGTCTGTCCGCGCCCCGTGGATGCGAATCGGCCGCGGCGGAGGCGGCGGCGGCGGAGGAGGCGGCGGCGGGAGGAGGAGTCGGTGAGCCGGCTCCGGGCCGGAGGGGCGCGGAGGATGAGGCCGCTGCCTGGCGCTCTTGGCGTGGCGGCGGCCGCCGCGCTGTGGCTGCTGCTGCTGCTGCTGCCCCGGACCCGGGCGGACGAGCACGAACACACGGTGAGGCGCCCCGGCCGGCGCGGCCGCCCCGGGCTAGCTCCCCAGTTGCCCACTGAGGCAGGCCCCACGCAGCCTGGAGTGCCCGGCGGCCCGGTGGTGCCCCACTGCGGCCCGAGGACTCCTTCCGGTTGGGCCTGGCGGAGCAGGAACCTTGGGAGCGTGGAGGAGGCATTTCCGTGCGCTCCCGGGACAGGGCTCCGCTCCCGAGTGACAGGGTCTCCTTCCCCCGGTCTGGGCCTCAGTGGCGCCGCACCCCAGGGTCTCGGGGTTCCTGGGACCCTGGGGCCAGGAAGGAGCCTGGGAAGGGTTGAGGTTCATCCACCGCGGGAGCGGGGCAACGGGCAGGCTGGGCTCGGGGCTTTTGCCCCCCAGGGAAGGAGACTGCCTTCTGGCTACTGAGGGCTGCGACGCCGAGGAAGATGGATGCATCGTGATTACCCGGCAGCCACTAACCAGGAAATATCCTACACTTTATGGTCTCCTTTGGCTTTTATCGCCCGCTTCTGCCCAGACCGGATTAAAACCCTGGGGTGGGGCAGCATTAATAAACTTGAATTGAAGAGCAGTTTATACTTACTTGTAAGTGCACCCAACCTACACGCGTTCAATTCCTAGGCCTTTCTTGTAACTTTCTCCTCACCTTCCAGCCCCTAAGTGAGACCCCCATCCCGATAGTCTCTAACTAAGGCAGCTTCTGACAGTAAAGGGTCTTGACGTTTCCCAGTCTTCAGGTCAGGGCCAGAAACAGTCCCTTTTGCATTTGGCCTAAAGGTGATTGGCAGTTTGTTTAATTGGTATTCTCACATCAAAACGTGCATGTGAACGACTCTTCAAATGGCTTTCACTTAGGGCTGTAACTGTGGTTTTCAGAGTGGTAGACTTGAGCAAGGCAGGAAGGTCAGGTAAATTGAGAGTTTGCTTGACGAGTAATTGTTTTTTATACCTTTACCATTAATGATAGGAGTTTCTATGAGAGACTGTGTTTGTACTAAATCAGAACGATCTGAGGGAGTCTTATGTCATTTCTGGTAAGTGAGGAAATGAAGCAGTCGTCCTTACCTATTTAATGGATCCGATTTTATTTGTAATCAACAAAACTTTTCGCTGGATCCTTGGCTAGCTGGGATCTTATTTTAGCTAATAAAAGCTCTAAACTTTTGACTGTTCTACCTTCGGTCACAGCCAGAAACTTCTTACCTGTGTAGGTATGTATTTCTTTAGAGACACAAATCTCGAATTGGTGACATGTTTTTGTACTGTACTTGTGGTGTTTCACCTAAGATAATTTTGTTGGGAGGTTAAACAGCTTAAAACGATTTCCTTTTGTGTTCTTTCATCAGATAAGCTGTCTCAAAGTTTAAGAACTGCTATTGTTTCACATAGTATACAGGGACCATGTATAGATTTGGGTCTTTGAGTATTTTTAAATTTTCAGTGGGCATCCATCCTTCTGTTTAATGATATTATTACTAATATATTTCCAATTAAAAAAACACTTAGGAAAAGTTACCATATGAAACTCAGAACTCTCAATGTGTAGTTCCGTGATACAGGCATATAAGCTCAAAAGTGTACTGTATTCTACTTTTTAATCTTGTAATCTTGTGACTTACACTGCTGTGATTAGGGAAACCATTAAAATTTTACAAATTGGGTGTATATAAAGGCTTTAGAATAATTTACAAATTAAAAGTGTAATTTCAATGCAGTTTTATTGCTAGGACTATTTCAGTTTTTTATTCTAGTAATTGCATATAAGATATTTGATAAAAGGTTTTTGTTGACTGCCACGAAAGATAATATGGTATATATGAGATGGTTGCTAGACAAAAAATTTAGAATCCATATTACTTCATGTCTATATTGAACTGCTCTTACTTGGTTACCCATTATTAAATACCTATTATTTATTTATTTATTTTTGAGACAGAGTCCCACTCTGTTGCCCAGGCTGGAGTGCAGTGGTGCTGTCTCACATCACTGCAACCTCAGCCTTGCGGGCTCAAGCGATTCTCGTGCCTTAGCCAAGTAGCTGGGATTACAGGTGTGCGCCACCACACTTAGCTAATTTTTGTATTTTTAGTAGAAAGGGGATTTCGCCATGTTGGCCCGGCTGGTCTTGAACTCAAAACGACTGGCCTCAAGTGATCTGCCTGCCTTGGCCCCACAAAGTGCTGGGATTACAGGCATGAGCCACCACGCCTGGCCGAATATGTATTGTAAAAAGCAAAACAAAAACAAAAACAGTTATGGGAAGAATAGCATCTAAAAATAAGCATAAAATTCAAATGTCATTTATATTATTTTTTCACTGTTAGCCAAAATCTTTTGCTTTTTCTAAATTTCTTGAAAATATTTCTCAAAAACTAGGCATTCCTATTCCTCTTAGCCAGATAGTAGTACCGAAAAGGCTAATGTCAAGTGAGTTTTATTTATTTTTTTCTGTCAAAGAAGCAGAAGTAGCTAGTAAAGAGAGAATAATACTAAAGGAAGAGGAGACATTGGTGTGGGGAAGTTGCTGAGTAGGTGTTTAGTAAATACATGTAGAATTGAATTATCAAACAATAACTTTTAGAAGCTGAAGCTGGCCTTTTAGGTTAATTGCCTGTGAAGATTGTTTCCAGATAATACCTAGTATGTCTTTTGTAGTAAAATGGGCTATGCACTGTTTTTTTTTGTTTGTTTTGTTTTGTTTTTTTGAGGCATAGTTTTGCTCTTGTCACCCAGGCTGGAGTACAGTGGCACAATGTCCACTCACTGCAATCTCTGCCTCCTGGGTTCAAGCAATTCTCCTGCCTCAGCCTCCCTAGTAGCTGTGATTACAGGTGCTTGCCACCATGCCTGGCTAATTTGTGTATTTTTAGTAGAGACGAGGTTTCACCATGTTGGCCAGGCTGGTCTTGAACTCCTGACCTCAGGTGATCTGCCTGCCTCGGCCTCCCAAAGTGCTGGGATTACAGGTGTGAGCCACCATGCCCTGCTGGCTATGCACTGTTCTAAGTATTTTACACTTATTAACTCATCTATTAATAACCTACGAGGTGAGTAATATGCCCATTTTGTAGATGAGGAAAGTGAATCTAGAGAGGTGAGGTCACCTGCAGATAACACACATCTGGTAGGGGTAGAGGTGGGATTTGAACTTAGGCATTCTGAGTTGATAGTCTTCTGCACTGTGAGCCGCCATATGCTCTATTCCCCTTTATCCTAAAAATAAGACAGTAAAGCACTAGGTATTGAGTGGTTCTCTATATTGATTTTTAAGTGCTTAAATGCTTAAATGCTCGAATGAGTGTGGCTCCATGATGAGTTGTTTCTGAGATCTTTGGGTTAGCATTAAGGAGCAATAGTGTTGACTTCATGGGCACGTGCCCTGAATAGTCACAAAAGACTGTGTGAGAGCTTGTTTTCATGCTATCCTGTAACATCTTGAAGTTTTAAATTTTTTAACAAGGGGCTCTGTATTTTTCTGTACTGGGTCGCACAAATTATATAGCTTGTCCTAAGAAGGGACAATACCTTATGCCCATTCCCCAAAGCCCCTGATATCTCTTACTGTACCTACTGAATTAGGATTCAGGTGGCCATCTGACCCATATGGTATTTTTTTTTCTTTTTCTTTCTTTCTTTCTTTTTTTTCTTTTTTTTTTTTTGAGACTATGTTTCACTCTTGTTGCCCAGGCTGGAGTGCAATGGCGTGATCTCGGCTCACTGCAACTTCCGCCTCCCGGGTTCAAACGATTCTCCTGTCTCAGCCTCCTGAGTAGCTGGGATTACAGGCATGTGCTACCGTGCCTGACTAATTTTGTATTTTTTTAGTTGAGACAGGGTTTCTCCATGTTGGTCAGCTGGTCTTGAACTCCTGATATCAGGTGATCCGCCTGCCTCGGCCTCCCAAAGTGCTGGGATTATAGGTGTGAGCCACTGCGCCTGACCCTATGGTATATATGTATATATTTTATGTGCTTATTTGTCCAAAGTTATTTTAATATTCTCTGAAGAGTGTTGAAAAGGAAATGTGCTATTGACTGTATGTACATATCTAGAATATGTAAAAATGTGTTCCTTTTAATTTTTAAAAGTTGAATCATATGCATTACAGACATGTTGTTTGAAATGAAAATTAACACTTTTGTGGAAGACAGGCTTTTAATAACTGATTGAAGGGACATAGGCTTCTTTATAGTCAGTGAAAGGTATGTTTATGCTTATTTGGTTTTCTAAAACTCAAAGCACTTGGAAGCATCTAGAGTTAGATTACTATGTCTCCTAAGATTCCGAAGGACTCCATTAAAAACAATTTCAGATTGAGAATCATAGAATTTTAGAACTAGAAAGACTCAATAATTTAATCCAAAACTCTTCATTTTCCTAATGGCCTGTACAGGTTCAGAGACTTGCTCAAGGCCACAGAAAGAATCAGAGCTTCCTGATCGCCAGTCTTGTCTTTTCTACCTGTCTTTTACATGTAATTCCATAGTTATAATATGTAAAGATGTTAGCAGCAAAAACCCAGTACTTAGGGGCACAGGAATCTTAGAGCATTTTATAGTTTGCACTGTAGCCTTGAATTTTTATGGGTTCTGTTTCCTTAACAAGATCACAAAGTCAGATTTTTTTTTTTTTGGTCTGTTATATACGCAAGCACTGTGCTTGGCACAAATAGTACTTGATGAGTGCTTGTTGAATGACTTGAATAATTAGGGAGCTACTAGTGACAAGGATATGCAGTGTGGAAGCACAATGAACAAACTGAGGCCGTTATTCCTTTAAGATGCATAGTCTTCTGTTTTGATTTGGGGGTCCTACCTAGGCTAAAATTCCCTATTTCTCTGTGGCCCAGTGTACTTCTGGTAATCTTGAGACTTCTAATGTTGGACAGACTGGATGCCTACTAGAATCGTTTACTCAGCCTCTGCCTCATAAATAATTTGTATTATATCACGGAGTGATTTCAGAAATGTTTTGTTTGATTTACTTTGGCAAATGGAAACCTTTTGTCTTTGTCTCTGTTGGGAGTATAGGAACTCTTAAAACTTACTGAAAACTTATAAAGAGTATAAGCTGTTTACTATAAGTGAATTTGTGAGTTATCTAATGTAGATTGTTAAATGCCGTAATTCGTTGTCCTATTTTCAGCTCTACTCAATGATAGACTGAAAGTTTATTTAGGTACAAAGCTATTTTTGAGAGAGAGTAGTTATCTCAAGAGACTATTCAAAATTACATTTCTAATTTATTTGTATTAGAATTCTGATGTGTGTTTTAATAATTTAAAGGTTTTGAAATTATGATTTCTGGAACATTATTTTGAAGTAAACACATATATTTTTCCCCCTTTGTATGAAAATGAAGGATAGCATTTGGGTGCTTGTTCTGAACCCTCAGTCCTTTGCTCATCTATGTAAATTGTGATTTCTTATTCAGATTTCACATGACCACGTCAGCATATTATCTTCTAAAGCGTTTCTCCTGATAATAATTAATTCATTACCTCTGTCAAGGAGGAAAACTTTGGTACCCCCCCAACACATAAACAGTATTTAAATAAGAGGGGCCCAACATTGGTGACTTCTTGAGAATAAAGGTCATTCCTTTTGAGATTAGAGTGCAAATAGCTTCTTAGAAGGTTTTTTTTCTTTCAGGCAGATTAAAGGCTCACATAGAAAAGTTATTCAGTGTTCAGGACTGTCTTTAGTTGCTTTGTACACCTGGCACTGTTTTCATATTTCCTTGATTTAGTTTTTTGCTCTTTAATGAATGAAGCTGACTAGGGATTAGCAAAAATACTAACCTTTTAAACTTGATGCTGATTGATTTGGACAAATTACTTAACATCTCTGTTCTTTAGTTTTGTTTTTGTTTTTAGTCTGTAAAATGGGGAAGTAATAGGACCTATTTTATAGAATTTTGAGATGATTATTTAAGTGTTCATATAAAGACCTTAGAACTATACCTAGCTCATAGTATGTATTTATTGTTAGCTACTGATGTTATTATTACAAAAATGGTGAGATCATGTCATGTTAGGGTTTGGTGAGTTAAGGCTTTACTTGAGGATTTGAAAAAGGAGGATTTGAGCATTTCGGAAGGATTATTAGAGTTTGGCTAAGTGGAGAAAAGGAGGGCATTCTAAATTTGGTGGAATGACGAAAGAAGATGAAGTGGGGCCAGGCGCAGTGGCTCACGCCTGTAATCCCAGCACTTTGGGAGGCCGAGGCGGGTGGATCACGAGGTCAGGAGATCGAGACCGTCCTGGCTAACATGGTGAAACCCCGTCTCTACTAAAAAATACAAAAAATTAGCCGGGTGTGGTGGTGGGCGCCTGTAGTCCTAGTTACTCAGGAGGCTGAGGCGGGAGAATGGCGTGAACCTGGGAGGCGGAGCTTTCAGTGAGCCGAGATTGCACCACTGCACTGCAGCCTGGGCGACAGAGCAAGACTCCGTCTCACACACACACACACACACAAAGATGAAGCAGAAAAGGGGAGGAAGACAATATCATAAACCGTTTTGGCCAGCGTGGATGACGTAAGTGTAGCAGTGAGATTCTTCTGAGAGCTGGAAAATAAGTAGGTGAAGAATGCCGGTAGCCTGAATTGGCCTCCTCTCACTTGGCCGTTTCCCAGGGAAGCCTCAGATGAAAGGGATTATTATCGTGCTTAGGGATCCCCTGATACACTGCTGTGCTTCTGTGACTCCACCCCACCTTCTTCTGGGCCTAGCACTCTCTTCCCACAGACTGTGGAGCTCAGGGGCTTTATCAAAGCTTTAGGGAAAGGAAAGATTTTTGTTTGTTTTGTTTTCTCCTTCAGAAGTTGTGTGAAGTCTTTTGGTATTTTTTAATTTCAAAATATTTTAAAACATTTTCTTTTGAGAGAGAACTCTTGATCTTGTCTTGGAAGCACTTATTCTCAGGGACAATCAAGGTCTGCAATGAAAAGTAAACATTTTAAGTTAATTGTATTAAACCACAGTCTGCATAGTAAGGAGCAAAACAAAAGAAAAAAGCATTATTTTTGCCTTGCTATTCACCCTAAACTCTCAGTATGTGTATTTCTAATTACTGTTTCAGTCCTCTTCCCAGAAAGAATCTTAGACTACAAAATGATATAAATTTTATTACAGTACGGGCATCACATCACAACTCTACCACTCTGTTAAGGATTCCTGAATGTTTAAAATGAGTAACTTCGGAATATGTGGTTTAACATCGACTGGGACCCTTAAATTATTTTAGTCCTTATGTTTTAATTTGTATAAAATAAATGGATGCCCTATTTTTAAAGGTATTTATTTTCAAAAATGTTGTCTATTTTTAAAGGAAAAGTATTGGAATTTATAGAAAAAGTATTTTTGTGCTTATTTTCACAAGTTACATTTATAACATTTCTGCAGACTCAGCAGGGTTAATGGCAAGGTGCTCTTTAATAGGTCGTCTCATTCAACATTCTGCTCTTAAATAGATGAATTATGTTACCTCCCCTTATTTTTCTGAAAAGGTACTCTTACAGTCAGGGTACATAGCAGTCATTTCACATACTTCAAACTTCTTTTACCAAGTTGCCAATGAACTTTACATTTCAGCATTTCTTCAGTGTTTTCCCATCATATTTATTAAATATCTATTTGCCTTGGTGAATAGGTTCTTCTTGTGAGACTGAGTCTCGCCCTGTTACCCAGACTGGAGTGCAGTGGCGCAATCTCAGGCTCACTGCAACCTCCACCTCCCAGGTTCAAGTGATTCTCTTGCCTCAGCCTCCCAAGTAGCTGGGATTACAAGGTGTGTGCCACGACACCCTGCTAATATTTGTATTTTAAGTAGAGACAGGGTTTCACCATGTTGGCCAGGCTGATTTCAAACTCCTAACCTTAAGTGATCCGCCTGCTTTGGCGTCCCAAGGTCTTGGGATTACAGGTGTGAGTCACCGTACCCGGCCATGAACAAGTTTTAATTCTAATACCAACTCTCATCAGTTGGTAATGATTGGTTTAGAGCACTGTTTTGAGAACTCTGAGGCAATATCTATGTTCAGCAGAAAGGAGTAACTTGGTTGATTAGTATTGTGTGGCCCATGAGCATTGGATGGAAGAGTGGGGGCATACATATATTTGTCAGTCTCCCCAAATAAAAAGAATAGTAATGAATGGGGATATACTGCTACATTAACATTTAGACCTTTGATTCATTACTTCCTATGTGAAGATTATCTACAGTTGTTTTTCTGAACTCCCTTGAAACAGCTTATGATTTTCCAAATTGTTATTCGTCCTGACCTTCTCTGCCAAAGTGAATTTAATCATTCCTTTATTGTTGCTACAATAGCCCTTTATTACCTTAATTATAATACTTATTTTTTCTTTGTTAATCATTTACTTGTCTGATTCCACTGTGGATTATGAACTTCTTAAGGAAACGACAGTATTTTACTTACTTTTATATTCTTAATACCTAACGCGATACTTGGTACCTGTCACATGTGTTCAAAAGGTGAGATCATTTGTTATTTCCTTAATGACCTGGCTGTTGTCTTATATGAACAGTGAGGCATTTATGTTTGAAAATGAAATGACTGGGTCTAAGTCTTAGGGTGATAATCGTGTGAATCAAAAGAAAAAGGCAGATGTTTTTGGTAAGAACATACAAGTTAATGTTTTTGGGTTCCCTAGAGTGCAGAGAGATTTGGGGTTTGAGTCTCCATGGCTGAGAGAATGGTAGTACCATTAGAAAAATGAAGCTGGGGGAAGTGGATTTGGGTAGATGAGTTTGGTTTTGGAGATGTTAGGTTTTGATTGAAAATATTTATTTATTAACTAGTTTTAGATGGAGGACTGGAGATAAGGATTTCATAGTGGGCCAGTTGGATCACTTCTTCTATTATGTGCCCCATAGCAACCTACCTTATTATTATTGCTTGTTTAATGCCCATCCTTCCCCCAGTAGGACAGGGAACACATCTTGTTCAAAGCTGTATCCTCAGTTATAAACACAGTTGTTTCACATGCTAAGCACTTAGTAAATAATTGTTCAGTGAATTAATGTCTGCACTATTAGTTGATTTAAATGCATCCAATGTTGTCTTTAATTTATACTGCTACTTAGAATTATTAGTTTTAAAATTACCATGGTAATCAGTTTCCATAGAATCATTGGAACTTTAAACTTGTCGAGATCTTAGAAATCTTTGACAGGCCTCCCACTTGTACCTTGGAACTACTCAAAGTCATTACTGACCACACTTCAGATTTAGCCATGTATAATATTCACTGATATGTAGTTCCATAATTACTTATTCAAAGAAATATGCATATAGTGCATGTCTTTCAGGCTGCTAACAAGATAGAATGTTGGCTTGAATGGACTTGTGGAGGTTCTATAGCAGTCTTCTTCCTTGTCCTCTGTAGTACTTTGACCAGTGGCTGTGTGAAAGTCTCGCAAGGAGATGAAATTTTATTTATGCTTGCTGGCAACATTAGGTTTTTTTTTTTTTTTAATTGATTAACATGAGGTTCTGGATAAACTTGATTTTGTTTCCTCCTTCCTTGTCCATGTTAGCATGGTGAATCATGCTGGTTGCAGGTTTGCCACTATTTGATA
Source organism: Homo sapiens (assembly GCF_000001405.40). NCBI lineage: Eukaryota > Metazoa > Chordata > Mammalia > Primates > Hominidae > Homo > Homo sapiens. The sequence goes on along the minus strand of NC_000010.11, from coordinate 96,577,135 downwards.
GTGTAAATGTAAATAATAGACACACTCTTATGAGCTATTGGGCTTAGTTCAAACACTGTCTTCTATAAAACAAGTTTGGAAAAGGTGTATCTGCCTGAGACTACAATCAGAGGATATAATTTTAAAATTCACAAAGTTTCATTTTTAAGATGTGGACATTCATCATCAGATTAAGCTTCCAGTATTTATTTTATAGCTTCCTGAACAGAGATGATGCACTTTTGTTTAGAACACACAACAAATATTCCCTTAATTTGAATTAGTGTGTTTTTTTTTTTTAATTCTTGTTTGCTTTTCTTGTTTCAGTATCAAGATAAAGAGGAAGTTGTCTTATGGATGAATACTGTTGGGCCCTACCATAATCGTCAAGAAACATATAAGTACTTTTCACTTCCATTCTGTGTGGGGTCAAAAAAAAGTATCAGTCATTACCATGAAACTCTGGGAGAAGCACTTCAAGGGGTTGAATTGGAATTTAGTGGTCTGGATATTAAATTTAAAGGTAAGTAAACCTTAATAGTCCTTACAATGCAATTTGGATTGTAGACAAGGGTTTCATATTTTGGCACTATTGACACTGGTGTTGGATAATTCTTTGTTGTATGGAGCTGTTATGTACATGTTAGGATGTCTAGCAGAGTCCCTGGCCTGTACCCCCCAGATGCCAGTAGCACCTTCCAGTTGTGAAAACCAAAAAAGTCACCAGACATTGCTAATTGCTGTCAGTTGAGAACCACTACTTTAGACTCTAAAATGTGTTTTAGTCTGTAAATGAGGTGTATTGCATTTAGGAAAGTATATTAGTAATTAACAAAGATTTCCTTTGAATATTTATAAGATAATAAAATAGATAATTGTTAATAAAATTGTATTTCCTTAACATATTTCCTTCTGAAAAGTGTTGTCTAGTAAACCCCCTATTGATTAGACACATGTGGCCCGGGAAGACCTTCATGGATATTTAACAAAGTAATTTCTGGAGGTCTGAGGCTGTAATGGGATGCGTGGATACTTAAAATTCTTGTGTGACGCCTCAAATTCAAACTTGTACCATAGGCTTAACATGTATTATTTATCAGTGTTGTATTAATTTATCCTGTTAATACCTATAGGATATTTAAATTTTAAGTCAAAGACTTGTTAAATTTGGGGAAAATACTTCATCGTATCTAGTTATTATGCAGGTATCCATTTATCAGGTCCTTTGAGTGTGTTTATACTTTTCATTTTTCTCTGTGAAGTTTGTCAGAGAGTGTATTTCCTGCACAGGCATTTTTAGCATGGTGAACAGAAGCTTGAGTAATTGAATTTTTGCAGGATCTTTGATTAGGTGTCTTGGTTTTTGAATACATCATGGATCCTGTAAACAGGAGCTTTGGATTTTAATCCTCCTTTTTTTTTTTTTTGGTACTGTATTCATTTTAGTAAAATTGTTTACTGCAGTTTTGACTTCATTGTCTCCATGTGTAAGATGAATAGTAACTGACTTCTGGTATTTTTAGTACTAAAGATGTTATTATTTAGTACTTTGAGGAGAAGAATGTCAGTGAGATTTTAAAGATAATGTTACTTTAATTTCGATTTGTTAAATTTTATTCTTGTTTTTAAAATTGCTCAGTTATTGTTGAAAATAGGTATACCGTATCTATTTACATTCTCCCCCCTCCCCATCCCCCCGTTTATAGTCTTTGGGGCTTAATTATAAAATTAAGTTGTAAATTTAAACCACAGTGGCATGGCCTGTAATTTTATGAATCACTGTAAACATACCTTTGAGGCTTGTGTTTTAATTTAATTAGGTAATTTAAGTATTTAGTCACAAATAACAAGAAAACTTAAACTAGAAAATGTGATCTTTGAGATTTGGTACTATATGTAATCGTCTGCTTTCTCTTTTTCCGTATTTGGTGTGCATTTCTAGTTTATTAAAGAGGAACCAACAAGAGAGAATAGGCAGAACTCCTGAGTCCTACTTTGCTACTGTGTACAGATTTCATTAGTTTTTGAGATCCTCACCCATATTTACTAAAGAAGAGTACTTAATTCAGCAATCTTTTTTTTTTTTAATACTTTAAGATCTGGGGTACTTGTGCAGAACGTGCAGTTTTGATACATAGGAATACACATGCCATGGTGGTTTGCTGCACCCATCAACCCGTCACCTACGTTTGGTATTTCTCCTAATGCTATCCCTTCCCTAGCCCCCCACCCCCTGACAGGGCCGGGTGTGTGATGTTCCCTTCCCTGTGTCCATGTGTTCTCATTGTTCAATTCCCACTTACGAGTGAGAACATGAGGTGTTTGGTTTTCTGTTCTTGTGTTAGTTTGCTGAGAATGATGGTTTCCAGCTTCATCCATGTCCCTGCAAAGAATGTTAACTCATCCTTTTCTGTGGCTGCATAGTATTCCATGGTATATATGTGCCACATTTTCTTTATCCATTCTATCATTGATGGACATTTGGGTTGGTTCCAAGTCTTTGCTGTTGTGAATAGTGCCACAGTAAACATACATGTGTATGTATCTTTATAGTAGAATGATTTATAATTTTTGGGGTATATGCCCAGTAATGGGATTGCTGGGTCAAATGGTATTTCTAGTTCTAGATCCTTGAGGAATTGCCACACTGTCTTCCACAATGGTTGAACTAATTTACACTCCCACCAACAGTGTAAAAGCATTCCTGTTTCTCCCATCCTCTCCAGCATCTGTTGTTTCCTGATTTTTTAATGATCGCCATTCTAACTGGTATAAGGTAGTAGCTCATTGTAGTTTTGATTCGCATTTCTCTAGTGACCGGTGATGATGAGCTTTTTTTTGTATGTTCGTTGGCTGCATAAATGTCTTCTTTTGAGAAGCGTCTGTTCATATTCTTTGCCCACTTTTTGATGGGGTTGTTTGGTTTTTTCTTGTAAATTTGTTTAAGTTCTTTGTAGATTCTGGATATTAGCCCTTTGTCAGATGGATTGATTGCAAAAATTTTCTCCCATTCTGTAGGTTGCCTGTTCACTTTGATGGTAGTTTCTTTTGCTATGCAGAAGCTCTTTAGTTTAATTAGATCCTGTTTGTCTATTTTGGCTTTTATTGCCATTGCTTTTGGTGTTTTAGACATGAAGTCTGCCCATGCCTATGTCCTTAATGGTATTGCCTAGGTTTTCTTCTAGGATTTTTATGGTTTTAGGTCTTACGTTTAAGTCTTTAATCCATCTCGAGTTAATTTTTGCTTAAGGTGTAAGGAAGGGGTCCAGCTTCAGTTTTCTGCATATGGCTAGCCAGTTTTCCCAACACCACCTATTAAATAGGGAATCCTTTTGTCATTGCTTGTTTTTGTCAGGTTTGTCAAAGATCACATGGTTGTAGATGTGTGGTGTTATTTCTGAGGGCTCTGTTCTGTTCTGTTGGTCTATATATCTGTTTTGGTACCAGTACCTTATTTGGCAATCTTAAACCCCCTTTTATTAGTTCCTAGAGGCTGAGATGGAGAGATTATTTAAATAGAGGAATATGGTTTTCATGGGTAAAGAAGTGGGATTTATTTTCTTTTCAGACTAAGCTAAGCACTTTCAGATTAAAAAAAGAAGAGCTAGCCAAGTGTTATTCCCTGAGAGTTGCTGATTCCTAGGGGTCTTACCAAGTTTCCACCTCCAGCATGGATATGCTGCTAAAGAAGCTGCTAAATTAAGTGGTCCAGATGAAATAGTAGATGCTGATTAGATTTATCTTCGCCCTCTACTGTAGCTCTTTGCTTGCTGTGTTCAAAGATAAAGTCGATCATGCTTTGAAAAGTGTTGTAGGTTGTCACTTAGCCAAACATTAAAAAAATAGGATGCACCTTAGAGATTGTGTCATCCAATTCCCTCTCCCAGAAGCCCAGAGATAAAGTGATTTATCCATGGTGTATCGTAGCATACTAATAATAGAAACTGGAACATTATGTCTCTTGTGAACTATAGGAATATTTACCGTGTGTTCTTAATCTTTCATCTCTTGAATATTTGACTTTTAAAGATTCTTCTGAAGGCATATTCAAATAAAATTTTGGAAATGTGAAACCAGAGAAAACTATACGTACACATACATACATGTTTACATATGCATACACACACATCTTTTTTTAACCTATTAGACTGTGTCAGGCTCCATGGATTGGTATCGTTTTGTAAAATGATGATTACTAAAGAGACTATTTAAAGGAACTAATGATAGTCTAACTCTAATACAGGATGCCTCTCAAGATTTTATACACAACTTTTTCTTGCTAATAATCTTATATTCTAGCACTAGACAAAAATGCTAAATTGAGACCATTTTAAGAAAATGGGCCAGGCGCGGTGGCTCACCCCTGTAATCCCAGCACTTTGGGAGGCTGAGGCGGGTGGATCACGAGGTCAGGGGGTCGAGACCACGGTGAAACCCCATCTCTACTAAAAATACAAAAAAAATTCGCCGGGCACGGTGGTGGGCGCTTGTGGTCCCAGCTACTCGGGAGGCTGAGGCAGGAGAATGGCGTGAACCCAGGAGGCGGAGCTTGCAGTGAGCTGAGATTGCGCCATTGCACTCCAGCCTGGGCGACAGAGCAAGACTCTGTCTTAAAAAAAAAAAAAAAAAAAGAAAATGCGTTAAATATAGAAGGGCTGACTTAGATTAGGCATCCTTGAGCCTGGTTTGAATTCAGTACCCTCCAGTTTTAGAGGGTACCTCTTCGAACCTTGCCATCATAGTGTGGAATAGAAGATGTGCTTTAGGGTCAGAGAGACTTGATGCATCCAGCTTTGCCTCTGCTTACCTGTGTGGTCATGGGCAAATTGTTCAACCTCTTTGATCTCGTATTGCTTATCTGTGAAGTGTGGGAAATAATATTTATTTGATCGAAGTGTCAGGTTTAAATGAGAATGCATGTAGAGCATTTATCAAAGTTCCTGGTATATAGTTTATATTCGAAAAGTGGTAATTAGGAATACTAATAGCACATAGCATGGGTCTGTAGCTCCACCTTGATTTTGTATTTACGATTATGAAATGTTAGTTTATTGATTACAGACTTTGATTTATCCCCAAGCTGCTGTACTAGCCTGTTATAGTAGCACTCTTATTCACCATTGCACCCTTAGCTGTTAAGACATAGTATGCTTTTAATAAATTGTCTAGCATCCAGACGGTTTGTGCCTACTTGTTGTTACGATAATTGGTTCATTATGGACATTAGATGATCTGGAATAGTAATTCTTAACCAGAAGAGATCACCACCCATCCGTCCTTCCCCTTCCCCCATTTGAGAATTCTTGCAGTATAATGAAGTGTGTTAATTGTGGAAAAATCAGTGACTTCTACAGGACTCCTTCCTTCTGTTTATTTTATCGATCTTCCCTTGAATTTTTTTCTTCCTTGAATTTCGCAACTTAACAGAGGGCTGAAATTATTTTACAAGTATTTTTTTCTTTAGAGTTAATTGTTAAGTTGAGAGTACTGCAGGTAGGAAGAGATGCCAAGGGCTGTTTAGAGCCTTATATATTTTTAGTTTAGTGATTCTCAATCTTGGCTGTTCTTATCTTCACCATGCGGTATTTCCCTCCAGATATCTGCCTGGGGAATATAGGCCTGATTGCCAAAAGGTGAGGAAAAGGGACTGGGGGGATGGTAGGTTTACTTATTCAGCCGGAAGATGTTTACTTCAGGTAATCCCCCATGCTGTTTTCAGTCCCTAGCTTCTGCTATTCCTGCTGTCCCTGATTCTGGAGCCCCTCTGGTTTAAGTTCTCTAGAGGAAGGTGCCACTGGTCTACTACAGGGATAAGTTGAGGGTACAGTATGTGTCTAGCTGTATGAAGGGTAGAGGAGGGGACCTGGCCATCTAACCCATTTATGTACATATTTAATATTTTAATACAGTTCCCTTTGTGTTTAGTCCTACATCTGTCCCCCTAGCTTTTGAGGTCTGTAGTGCCTCCAAGTCCTGAGTGTCTCTTGGGTTCTGTGACACCAGTTCCCTCCCTTACAGGCATCACTCTCCTGTTATGTTTTCTCCTGCTTTATTAGTAGTTTGTCATCTTACAACCGTTTTCCATTTCCTAAAAATTTGTTAAAATCTTTTTCCCATGGCCGGGGGTGGTGGCTCATGGCCTGTAATCCCAGCACTTTGGGAAGCCGAGGCGGGTGGATCACTTGAGGTCAGGAGTTCGAGACCAGCTTGGCCAACATGGTGAAACCCTGTCTCTACCAAAAAAATACAAAAATTAGCCGGGGACCTGTAATAATCCCAGCTACCCGGGAAGCCGAGGCAGGAGAATTGCTTGAATCCAGGAGGCAGAGGTTGCAGTGAGCCAAGATTGTACCACTGCACTCCAGCCTGCGTGACAAGAGCAAAACTCCATCTCAATTTTTTTTGTTTTTTTCCCACCGTTGTCTCTTCTCTTTGTCTCTGTGGACTTAACATACTTTTTATTCCTTCACTGACATTTTAATGGGTTTTAAGAGAGAGAAGAAATATACTTGTGGTTAAATCTGCCTTGTTTGTAAGTGGAAGTCTGGGAACTTGGTACAATATGTTGTCCTGTTGGTTTCAACCAAAGTGTTTTAGCCAGACCAAATAATTTGAATCTGAAATTTGTCAATTCTTATTACCGATTTCTTATACCTTGTACTAACAGCAGATTTGATAAATATGGGCATCTCTTTTTTGTTTTTTAAAGGAATATATATGCATATATATTTTTCTGATTGTAACAGTGATAGAAGTTCAAATACACAATTTAGTAACTACAGGAAAATATAAACCTGGATATAATTACCATTAACATTTTGTTGTATTTTCTTCAGTCCTTCTGTGTTTGTGTTTATCCACATTGTTTTAAATATGTGAAAGTTGAGTTCATTCTACATATATTTATTAAAGTTTATTTAACAAATCCTTATATAGTGCATATTATGTGCCGGACACTGTTTTAAGCACATTCTAACACATTTAGTAAGTTATATATAGTTTTTGTTCTGCTTTTGTTCTCTTGACATTTTATGAGCTTGTCCCCATACTGTTAATTACTCTTTTAAATGTGGCAACATACTATTCTGTAACTTGGATACTGTGGTTTTTTTCCCCCATTTTCTTTCTTTTTTTTGAGACGGAGTCTCGCTCTGTTGCTAGGCTGGATTGCGGTGCAGTGGTGTGATCTTGGCTCACTGCAACCTCACGCGATTCTCCTGCCTCAGCCTCCCAGGTAGCTGGGATTACGGGCACACGCCACCACGCCAAGCTGATTTTTGTATTTTTAGTAGAGACGGGGTTTCACCATGTTGGCCAGGATGGTCTTGATCTCCTGACCTCGTGATCTGCCTGCCTCGGCCTCCCAAAATGCTGGGATTACAGGTGTGAGCCATTGCGCCCGGCCTTTCTCCCATTTTCTAGTTGTTTGATATTTTGATCCTTCCTTCCATCCTTCTTTGGTTTTCTTTTTCTGCTATTGCACATAAGTATTTCAGTACATCTCTGAATCTGTTATTAGGATGAATTCTTGGAAGTAGAATTACTGAATCAAAGGGTATAAACATATTTAAGGCAGTTGTTGACACATGTTGCCAAATTGTCGTTTAGAAAAAATTACACTGTTTATACTGCTAGTCAGGTTGGTCAGTTAATCAGTACTCTTTATATAGTTATTTAATTAACTGTGAATATATCAGTTTTTCCAGTTCTTGTTTTCCTCTAGTTAATTCAGCAGTTATTGAGTATCTTACTGCATTCCAGCACGATGGTAGGCTCTGGGTATGCATAGTTCAACCAAGAGCTCTGGCTTCTGGGGTCTTCAGGCCCTCTGAAATTCTACGTTAATTTTATGTGAATGTGCATTTTCAGGGGGTGGGCAAGGGAAAGATCACTTTCATTGGATTCTCAAAGGGGTGTGAGGCCCAAGGAAACTTAAGAACACTTTCTGTGAATATATTGGCACTTTCAATCCTTTTTTTCTTTTTTTGGAGACAGGGTCTTACTGTCACCCAGGCTGGAGTGCAGTGGTCCCATCACAGCTTACTGCAGCCTCGACCTCCCCGGCCTCAGCCTTCTGAGTAGCTGGAACTATAGGCACACACCACCATGCCTGGCTAATTTTTCTGGTTTTTGTAAAGATGAGGTTTTGACATGTTGCTCAGGCTGGTCTCGAACTCCTGGGCTCAGGGGATCAGTCTGCCTTGGGCCTCCTAAAGTGCTGAGATTCCAGGTGTGAGCCAGCACGCTTGGCCTGATGCTTTTAATTCTTAACTCTGGGAAGGAGATAGCATAGATGCTGTCTCTGTTAAGGGAACTGAGAGGTTCATGGAAGTTAAATAACTTGCTTTTTATTCACATAGCTACTAGATACTAGAGCTCAGAATAAACCTCACCTTTCTGCCCATTTCTCTATAACTTTTTATATATTGATTTCTTTGAAGAGAGACTTTGCCAAGTGCTGCTGAATTAGAGGTAGACTGTTTCTCATTTTCCAAATGTAATGTTATCAAAAGAGAAAGTAAACAAAGTATGGCATACTGTGTTCTTAGAGAACTCATGAATAATTACCACTTTCTTTTCTCAGTGCTTTCACTGCCTATTCAATTGTTAGCCTGGAGTTTTATTGGGAACTGATGGTAGATTATTGGGGTGCATAGTGTCCAGAATCTACCTAACCTTGCTTTCTGTTTGAAAAATAAGGTTAACATTTGCCACTTTACTACTTTGTTTTTTTCCCTCGTAAGAACTATTTACATTAGTAAAATCTTAATTGCATCTTTTTCAGAATTCATGGATGTGTGTTTCACCTTCGAAAGATATAGCCTATTATAATTTTAAAGCACTGATTTATGCTGGTAGATTTTTCAGATTGTTTTCCAGATATATAGAGTGCTGAATAATGATTTGGCATATTCATACACATTGCATTAGTTATTTTCAAATTGGCTCCCTCCTGAGGGAAATGCTGTTTCAGTTGGGCAGCCAGAGACTCTTCAGTTATTTGTGATGTTTGTATTTGTCTACCTGCCTGGAAGATGAATTTCATTAAGATATGACCAACCAACACCCTTTTTATATAGCCTGTCATAATAATAGATTTTCCCTTTTAACATGCTTCGTTTCTAGACTTTACATGAGTTAAAGTTATTCTTCAAGACCTCTTTGTCAATCCTTCTGAGAGACACTGTTCAAAAATTTCATTTGTTTATAAATTGGCATTTTCTCCTTCTGTACAAACATACACACTATTCATACACAGATGCATGTATAGGTACATACCCTAATATGTGTAGTGATTTCCTTTGCCAAATAAGAAAATTATGCTCTTAAAATTTTTTGTTTATTTGTTTAGTGCCTAGTCTGTGCAGGGTACTGAAGCAGGCATGGCTGGAGATAAAAAGGATATAATCAGTTATGGACAAAGCGCTCAAGACCTAATGGTGTTTTTGAGGAGCAAGATACTGGTATGAGGTAGAAAATGGTACAGGCCTACATGCCATAAGGGAGGTATGGGAGTGGGTATAAGAAGTGTGGGGAGTGGGGAGTCAGGGATTCCTTTGTGGAGGAAAGGGCTGGGGGATGGTGAGGATTTTAGACTGGACATTTTAGGTAGAGTTAACAGCATGAGCAAAAAAGTTCAGAGGCCAAGAGAGCACAGGGTGTGTGGGAATTGAGTTTGGCTTGAGCGTAGAGGCAGATATATCAGTTGGGAAACAAAGAGTTGGACTAAAATCCAGACTCTGAGGAATCTTTTAAAAGCTTTATACAGATTGGCCGGGTGCGGTGGCTCACGCCTGTAATCCCAGCACTTTGGGAGGCTGAGGCGGGCGGTTCACCTGAGATCAGGAGTTCAAGACCAGCCTGCTAACATGGTGAAACCCTGTTTCTACTAAAAATACAAAAAATTAGTCGGGCCTGGTGGCATATGCTTGTAATCCCAGCTACTCGGGAGGCTGAGGCAGGAGAATCGCTTGAACCTGGGAGGTGGAAGTTGCAGTGAGCCGAGATCTCACCATTGCACTCCAGCTTGGACAACAAGAGTGAAACTCCGTCTCAAAAAAAAAAAAAAAAAGGCTTTATACAGATAAATGCCATACTGTATATATCTTAGAGCTTCCTACTTAAATCTACCATATTGTTAATGACCATTATCAATGAATATTTGTTTCTAACGGCAAGGAATTCAATGGCTTTGCAGAGGTAGCTGTGAGGTACCCTACTGCCACTGTGGCCATTTGTTGTCCCTTAAGCCTGGACCTTCCTTTGGTTCTGAATATCCCTTCCGTAGCTGCAGTTGCCTGCTACCTTTTGTTCATTATCACACTCCTTGGAGACCCCATTTGGGGATCTCTTGCTGTCAGTTTTTCTAGCTCCTGCTGTAGAAACCCTTTGGAGCAATCTCATTTTTTAACCCTCCGTTGCTTCACTGCTCAGCCTCAGGGTTTTTTTTGTTGTTGTTTGTTTGTTTGTTTTTGCCATCATGAAAATCCTAAATTCCTTACTGCCTAGGAGGGCTTGGGCAGAAAGAAAATCTATGTGGGAGTCGCTGTTGGAGACAAATTAATTTTCTTCCCATACTTTGAGGGTAAGAAGGTATTTCCCTGACATTCTTCCATGGGACTTTAATGTTTACTGCCATCTTTGGTGTTGTAGTTTTGGGGTACCCACTTTAGGTTGGTCTATAATATGGGAAGCTACTCTCTCTCTTAAGGATTGGGGAGACATACTGCTGGGTATCTTGAGTTATAAATTAGATTGCTATTTCTTTGAGCCACTAAATGATGTAGCTACAATTTATGTTTAAGAACTTTTGATCAATAAAAAGTTTAATAATGTATCTTTAGAGAAATTGCATTTCATGTTTCAAATAACCAATATTATAGTACAAATATAGTATAGAACTTAAAAACAAACTTGTGCTTGCTTTTTTGTTCTTGTTCAGAATGATTTCTTAATTTTTTTCTAATTGCTTAATATACCAAAACAACTTCTTTTGATTGACATGTTTAGTATTTGTAGGTTTTTTGGATTTTCTTTTGTTTTATTAGAAACAGGTACATTTTTGAAATACTAGGTTTATTAAGTTAGAAACCATCTGAATAGAATTATAGTAGCAGTATCTTTGAAAGCAGTCGGGGTGGAAAATGACTCATCTTGAGGGGACTTTAAGGCAATTTATAAACAGTGATGTTTGCTGAATAGAGGTTTGCCTTTTAATCTTCCTGCTTATGAATAGTCACTGGGTGTTTTCATAGAATCTGTGGCTTCCAGTAACTTGTCTTTCCAAGAATGTTAAAATCAGTGTTTATCTCAGAGAGATCTTATAGCTACAAATGGTTATCTCTGTTTATGACCATATTCTTGAGCTTTTGTATATATTAAATAAAAACTTTGTTATGTGTTTAAGCTTTTTTTGTTTTTAAAATCAATTTATTTTGAAGTTACTTTATAAATTTTCTTGTATAATTTGCTTTGTATAAGGGATGATTTCACTTAGGTAATGTTTGAAAATAAAGATGATTAAAATTTTTTCATTATAAAAAGTCTTAAAGATACACAAAAAAAGGGAGGAATAGTACACTGAACCCACACTTATTTATCACTCAGATTCAGCTATTGTGAATAGAAATTTTAACTGTAGGAAATGTTGGCTTTTTTCTTGTCTTTTTTTTTTTTAATGTAACTATTTTGCAAACTAGTGGGCTAATTTGCAATTTTTATTTTGTGCAGATGATGTGATGCCAGCCACTTACTGTGAAATTGATTTAGATAAAGAAAAGAGAGATGCATTTGTATATGCCATAAAAAATCATTACTGGTACCAGATGTACATAGATGATTTACCAATATGGGGTAAGTATTGTATGTTGTATTTAAGATTTGGGAAAATTTGCATAATCAGAATTTATAAAATGACTCTGTTAAGGTGATTGTGTACTGGATCATGGTGTAAATGTGTTTTCACTGTTTTTTACAGAATGATTTTAATACCAGTTTTATGGTCACCTGTTGCTTGAAGAATTTTTGACATTGCCATGCCTTACATGAAACTTGCCTAAAATATAACTTTTTTATAGTATAACTTTTCAGATTCAAGAATGAGAAGGTGCTTAGAACAATCTAAAAATTTCTTCTGCTTCCATTTTTTTTCATATCTTAATTTGTTCTTTTAAATACAGTTAAAGGGACTAATAGGATTTTGAAGTTTCATTCTGTCTTTTTCTCATGTTGGTACTGTGGTAGTATGGTTTCTTGGTATGATAGTTTCTTGAATGGCTTATTTTGCTAAAAAATGTTTATGTTTTTGCCCTTATTTATCCATATTAATGGAGAAGAGCTATGGAATAGTTAATGCCAATTTATGAATAATCCAAAATCATTTATGTTGGACTTGATTAAATTATTTATAATGCAAAGCACAGCCAGCTGTCATGGCCAATATGTTTGATCACATTTTTCTCTAATTGTTTCTTTCTTTTGTCTCTGGAAATCTGCTGTTATGTATAATGAATGTTTCTTCTAATGCTTAAAATTGTTAGCAGATTACTGTCATCATGAGCAGTAAACTATCAAAGTCTGAACATATCAGATCAGCATTTAATATCATACTAAGATGAAATTTAGAAAGTTAATATCAAGAGATAATTATATGCATCATCATTACTGTGTTGCATGTTAATTAGGTATATGTAGTTAGTATATCATATAAATGACTGCAGTTACCATTATGGTAACACAGACATTTCTCTGATCCGCTCTGACAGTGGTAGGAAGATGTGCTGAATATTCACTGAAGATTTTTCTGAGCCTGTAGTTCAGGGAAACCCATTGGTTTGGGCCTCCTTCATATTTGAGAGAACAGGTTTCTTCCCTATTGTTTTCCCTTGCTTACAGGTTTGTGCAGTGATGCCATGATAGCTCATTGTAGCCTCAGACTCCTGGGCTTAAGTGATCCTTCTCCCTTGGTCTCCTGAGCAGCTGGGACTACCGGTGCACCCCACCATGCCTGGCTCTTTTTTTTTTTTTTTGGTGTGTTTGTAGAGACAAGATGTCTTGCTTTATTTAAACTAATCTCAAACTTCTGGCTTCAAGCAATCCTCTTGCCTCAGCCTCCCAAATTTCTGGGATTATATAGGGATAAGCCATCATGCTTTAGGTTTTTTCATTCACAGCTGTGGGCTCGTTAGCAACAGTGGCAACTGTGCTTTCCTGTGTTAAATTTATTATAGCCCTGGGATTTTAGAATATGCCCTGTTTGGGGAAATACTTTTGGATGTCCTTGAATGTCTGAACCATGGAGAATCCTTGTCAGAAAAAAAAAAAAAACAACTTTGTACCTGACTTTTCGTGGGGTAAAGGTTTCAGAGTCTTTTAACGCCTTTTAGAGAGTAGCTTCTTACTTGATATAATTATGTCTTTACCCCCAAAGTCTGGTTTTCAGAGTAGATAGGTAAATAAACCTTAATGAAATTAATTATTGGCTGGGCGCGGTGGCTCACGCCTGTAATCCCAGCACTTTGGGTGGCCAAGGTGGGCGGATCACTTGGGGCCAGGAGTTCGAGACCACCATGGCCAGCATGGCGAAACCCTGTCTCTACTAAAAATACAAAAAATTTAGCTGTGCATGGTGGTGCACACCTATAGTCCCAGCTACTTGGGAGGCTGAGGCATAAGAATTGCTTGAACCCAGCGGGTGGAGGTTGCAGTGAGCCAAGACTGCACCTTTGCACTCTATCCAGCCTGAGCAACAGAGCGAGACTCTGTCTCAAAAAAAAAAAAATTAATTATTAGAAGGATTTCATGCTAGTGTGGTGGCTCACGCCTGTAATACAGCACTTTGAGAAGCTAAGGCCAGGAGTTTGAGAACAGACTGGGCAACATAACGAGATTCATCTCTACAAAAAAATAAAACATTTACCCAGGCGTGGTGGCACTTGCCTGTAGTCCTAACTACTCTAGAGGCTGAGGTAGGAGGATTGTTTGAGCCCAGGAGTTTGAGACTGCAGTGAGCTATGATTGTGTCACTACACTCCAGCCTGGGTGACAGAGTGTGAGACCTTGTTTCAATAACAAATAAAGATAAAAGAAGGATTTCATTATCCCCTACAATCCCAAGCAAAACAAAACTATACTCCTTGAATTTGTACCAATTAGAATCACTTTGGTTAATAAATAATATTTTATAAATATGATTATATTTTTCCCTAATACTTACTAAAGCGTAGGGGGAAGGCCCTAAGGAGTAACTTACAGAGCATAAAGCTATTGGGAACTGTTTAGGCTTGGGTGGGGAACATTGGACAAATAGCTGGCAGTCTGAGGGCATGAGAGATGTATCCTCAGCTACCACCTATAATATTTCCCTAACATTGTGGATCTTTTTTTTCCAATATCCCAAATTATGATTGAAGTGATAATTTTAAACTGTATCCTTATTACCATTTATCTTCACCACTCCTTTTATTTTGCTGATTTCCCAGGGACAGATCCAGCAGTTGAGGTATAAAAAGGAGACATGTTAAGTTTTGGTGCCCATATATACATGTGTACATCTTACTGGGAATGGGTAGATCATAGGTTATTAGAGAAAGTACTAGACTAGGGATCTGGAAACCTTGATTTTAATTTTGGTTTGACCACTAATAGCTGGGTAACCTTGGCAGATGGTGATGTAAGCACTTCTCTGAAATTTTGAGATGTTAGGGAGTGGTATTAGTCCATTCTAACACCACTATAAAGAAGTACCTAAGACTATGTAATTTAAAAAGAAAAGAGGTTTAATTGGCTCACGGTTCTGCAGGCTATATTGGAAGCATAGCGGCATCTGCTTGGCTTCTGGGGAGACCTCAGGAAACTTACAATCATGGCAGAAGGTGAAGGGAGAGTCAAGAGTGGCCAGGGAGGGAGAGAGGGCGGAGGTAAAAAAAAAAAAAAAAAAAACTTAATGAGCATTTAGCTTGTAGGATATTTTAAATATTAAGTGGTTTTACCTTGTATAAAGTGTTTTTTCTTTTGTAGGTATTGTTGGTGAGGCTGATGAAAATGGAGAAGATTACTATCTTTGGACCTATAAAAAACTTGAAATAGGTTTTAATGGAAATCGAATTGTTGATGTTAATCTAACTAGTGAAGGAAAGGTGAAACTGGTTCCAAATACTAAAATCCAGATGTCATATTCAGTAAGTATTCAAATAGTTTAATGTAGGAAGTAGTGTTTGTGACCCGATGTCAACAATTTGTGGCTTTGAACTTTAGTAAATGAAAATGTAGCTTGAAATGGGATGCAACAGAATATTATTAAAACTATATTTTCTCAGTGTACGTAAGTAAGCCTCCTGAAAGCAAAGAGAGGATTTGCTTCAGGTCTGTAGTATTAGATACCAGTTATGCCTTTGCAGGAGCTAAACCATTTGGTACAGCCAAGTTTACTGTTGTAGCTGGGTAATTAGACTAACCCAGTCATGTATTTTTATGGTTACATTTTTAGATTGCAGTACTTCATGTTGTTTCCCTTTCCTTTTTAATGTTGCAGATAGAAGTGATGCTGTATTGAAAGTTGCTGGATAGATGTAGTTTATCATGGATTGCTCTGTCAGTTGGAATAATATACTCCTGCACAGTGAGAGCTTGTCAGAGCCTTTTAGCAACTGTCAAGCTATTTCTGTTGTCTTAGGCTTAAAAATAGTAAAAATGAGAGAGAAATTCAGTGTAGGTAGCCTCTGCCAGTTATTGCCTCATAGCTGGAATGAGTCCATTGCTAGTAGTCAATTTTGAAAGTTTTTCAAGCCTTGTGCATATGTACCTGATGCAAATAATCCTTATATAACTAAACTTAATGAAAAAATTTTATAGTTGTAATAAAAGTAATGCAGTCTAAAAATAAAGATTTACAGATTTTTTTTTATTATTCATTCAAATATTTATTGAGCAGCTAAGGAGATACGAAGGTGATTCAGAACATGGTCAGAGGAGAGGCGAATGTGCAAGTAATAGAAAGCAAAGGGCAAGGTTCACTGAATCACAGCAATCAGAAGAAACTGCTTTAGGGAACCAAGAGTGAGATTGTTTCCAGCCTAAAGAGGCATCCATGGCAGATCAGAAAAGGAGATTGAGATTAAAATAGAAGACTTCAGTCTGGATTGTTGATGATACTCAGTATGGACTATATTTGTCTCTCCTTTTCTTTTCTCCCCATCTTTGGGCTTAATTTACCAGTAGTGCCCTGAACTGTTCAATGCACTTTTTGTATACTTGCTTGCATTTTTGCTTTAATGTTTTCTACAGAACTAGGTCCTTTTGGTGTTTTAGGAATTTTTTTTCCTGTTTTTGAAGGATTTTTGTCCTTTTGATCTTAGTGTTGATAGTTTTGAGTCTTTTCCATTCTGATTTGACTTTTGTGCATTTTTGGCTGGATTATCTCATGTAGATTTCTTCACTGGTGGTTTTTCTTTAGTTTCCTCATCAAAATCGTCATCATCATCATCATCATCTTCATCAGCAGCAAGTTTTACTTTTTTCTGTGGAACCTTGCTACCACCTCCAGGGACAGATCACTTTCCAGATATCCTTAAGAATTTCGCCTCCTCCTGTTCATCTTCTGATTCTGCATCTTCCTCCACAGCTACTAAATGCTGTCCACTAATATACACTGGCCCTGAACCACACTTCAACCATAAAAGCACTGGTGGTGTGATTTCAAAGCCCCCAAGGGAAACCGTTGGCTGTGCAGACATTTTCAAAGGTGCCAGTGTTATTTAATTGGACTGCCTTCATAATTCATTGCCTCTGCTTCAACAATATGCAATTCATCCTTTGCACCAGCCCCTAAACTGACCGTTCTTAAAGATAATTGGTGCTCATTTTCATCATTATCCACCTTAAAGTGATCATCTTTGTTGGCCTTTAGTTCACAACTGAAAAGATAGTTCTGGGGCCTCAGGGGGCTCATGTCCATGTCCATCGAATCTTCCATGGGGTGGCAGCACGCATTTAGGTGGGAAAGAAGGCAGACGGAGATAAATGACTTCTGCTCAAGAGAACAGCCACGCAGGACAGAATTACACCAGGCAGATGTACAGATTCTTATTTTAATTGATTTAGACACTTGTGATATGAGCTTATACTAATTCAGTTCATATCACATTTATCAGGTCATAATATGTAAGTCAACAAAAGTAAACAGTCCTTGAGAACTGAAATCACCCCTCTGAGGAAAGTTGTTAAGTTTTGTCAATAAACAGAAAAGTTGATTAGTTTTATCATAATCGTTTCCACTTCTCATGTTGTAAGTAACTTTCCTCCATTTCTCTAGTGAATTTTAATTCTAAGTGTGTGTAAATCTATATTTTGCTCAGAGTTTTGTCATCAGATTATTAATTTGTTTACTGGCCTTTATTTTCAAATGAAAAAATTTTTTTTAGGTAAAATGGAAAAAGTCAGATGTGAAATTTGAAGATCGATTTGACAAATATCTTGATCCGTCCTTTTTTCAACATCGGGTAGGTAAATAGTGTATTTTAAGACATTGATTATGTGCACCAATTCGTTCAACAAACATTGAGTATCTGTCATTTGCAGGGCACTGTGTTGAGGACTGTGGATTAAAAGATTTAGCTAATGGTGATTTAAAGTATGAGCTTGAAATCATAAGGGTGATGGGGAGTTTTAGAGGAGCAATCAAAAACTTCCTTCTTTGTGCTTGTGGTTTAAACCAATTAAGAGATAAACGAAGAATATAACATACGGGAAGCCAAAATATCACTAATAAGGTGAATATTAGATGGCTGCGTTGCACAATGAATAGCGCATTGGCCTTCTAATGAGGTGAATATTGGAGAATGTGGCTTATATCTATCTGTGATCAAGTGGGCTTCTTACTACTGAAACTCAGAATTAGACTTAACACACTCAGAGAGTATATTATAGGCTTCCCTACATGGGCACTTGCCCTTATACAACTTACGGTGTGAGAAAGAACAGAATGTATGCATCAGAAGGAGGTAATGAGAGAACGGATTGAGATCAGGAATTTCTGCTTGTGGAAATCCTTCCATGTAGAAAGAAACATCAAGAATGGGAAGAAATGGCCTCCCAGTTCCCCAGCCCCCACCGACAGATACTTGCTGAATTTTAGTTCATAAAGCCGGTAGCATTAGTGTTGGTTTTGTACAGGTAGTTTTGATTCTTTATAGCAAAAATCACACTTTGTTTTGGTGGTTTCCTCCTCAAGGATGGAGATAAAAAGACAAGGCATAAGGGTATCCCTTCTTCTGAATTTCTTCCTGAATTGTTGCTTCTTTCTTTTGATCTAATCTTTTGGACTAGAATTTTAAAGTTTATTAATCACCTATTTTTGAGATGGCCCGTAAGTTTTTGTTGTCTCAGATTTACATATTACTGTTAGGTTCCATTCTTAGACTCTACCGGAACCTATCACTACTTCTGATCTTACTCAGGGGTCAGAGATTTTAACAATTAAGCTATTTGGAATTTAGTCTTTTTTTTTTTTTTTGAGACAGAGCCTTGCTCTGTCCCCTGGGCTGGAGTGCAGTGGCATGATCTTGGCTCACTGCAACCTCCGCCTCCTTGGTTCAAGCGATTCTCCTGCCTCAGCCTCCCGAGTAGCTGGGATTACAGGCACACACCATCATGCCCGGCTAATTTTTGTATTTTTTTTAGTAGGGGTGGGGTTTCACCATGTTGGTCAGGCTGGTCTTGAGCTCCTGACCTCAAGTGATCCACCTGCCCTTAGCCTCCCAAAGTGCTGAGATTACAGGCGTGAGCCACCGCGCCCTGCCTGGATTGTCTTTACTGAAGGATTTAGCATACTACTCTTGGAGCTAAAATTTTTCCCCTACCTCAATCCCCACCTCAACCCCACCTGCTGTGTGTTCTCCTCGAGTATAATGCTCAGGCAATCTTCAATAGGGTATGGACACAGATAATTTCAAGATTTAGATAACATTTGAGAATATGAAGGCTCTTAACTGGCACTCACTACTGGAACTCTTAGGTCTGCCTTGATTCTAGCCCCACTGGACATTGACAACTTAGGGGAAAGACTGCCTTTTAGTATTTTCACTATGGAATGGTATACTGTATTTATTACTTCAACACATATTAATTGAGCACCTGCTATCTGCCAAGCACTGTATTAGGTAAGTAGGATACATTAGAAAATAAAGGCAAAGATCTATACCCTCTAGGAACTTACGTTCTAGTCAAGGAGACGTGAAATAAACACAATAAGTAAAACACACTTTATTCAAAGAGAAGTGTGTCAAAAAAGAAAAAGTAGACAGCAGAACAAGAGTACCAGGGGTCGGGTAAGTTGCAGTTTTATATTATGTAGTCAAGGTAAGCCTCTGAAATGGATTGTTGAGCAAAAGCTTGAAGGAGTTGAAGGAAATAAAGAATGTGGATATTTAGGGGAAAGAGTATTCCAGGTGGAGGCAACACCATTGAAAAGCCTATTAAAGTGAGGATATGCTTACTGTGGTTTGAGGACTAGCAAGAAGATGAAGTCAGAGAGGTAGCAGGAGCCAGATTATCCATGGTCATTTTAAGGACTGCAGATTTTACTCTTAAATGCAAAGGGGGCAGGGGAGCACTGTAGTGTTTTCAGCAGGGGGGTAACAAATCTGACTTTTGTTTTTAAAGGATCAAATTATTATGTGGGTTCAGGAAGTCAAGGGTGGTAGCAGGGTAGGTGATGAAAAGATGTTAGATTGTGAGTATATTTTGAAGTTAAAGCTGGCGGCATTTCGTGATTGATAGGAAGGTGAAGAAGGGTTGAGACAAACTCTAGGGTTTTCAGTCTGAGTGGAGCTGACATCACTGGGGCTGTATTTGGAGGAGATTTAGAGGGGAAGATTAGGGTACAGTTTGGGACATGTTCGTTTTGGTGTGTCTGTACGATATCCAAATGGAGATATTGACCGGCAAATTGGATATATCAGTTCTGGAGTTCAGGAGAGAGGTCTGGGCTAGAGATACAAATTTTGCAGCAATTGGCATATAGATCATATTTGTGGCTATGAGACTGGATGTAATAATTGCTAAGGAAGGGAGATGTAGAGAGAGAAGAGGACCAAGGACTAAGCCCTGGGTGCAGTAGTAAGAGTTTAGGAAGAACAGGGGAGTTCAGTTAAGGGCTTTGCGGGGGAGGGGAAAGTATGGTGTTCTGAATGCCAAGAGAAGAAAGTGTATCATGGAGGATAGAGAGATTAGCTCTGAATTTTTGCTGATGGGTCAAGTAAGATGAGCACTGAAAAGTGACTATTGGATTAACCTGAAGTCATTGGTGAACTTGACAACGATTTTGGTATAATGGTGGGGCATTCAGAACCTGAACAGAGCTGCTGTAAGAGAGAATGGGAAAAGAGGAATTGGAGACGGCAATTATGGACTTGTGAGGAGCTTGGCTGCTAAAGGGAGCAAAGAAATGGTGCAGTAGCCAGTGTGGAAAATGGAATTAGGAGATTTTTCTTTCTTTTTTTTTTAAATGTAAGAAAAACATTAACTTTATATGCTGATGGGGTTCAGTGGAGATTGCAAAACTGGCAATGCAGGAGAAAAAGGAGAGAAATACTGCATCGTTTTCCTTAAGTAGAAGGAAGGGATATGATGTACTGTACAAGTATAAGAATTGCTTCTAATACAGTGACTAATAGCACAGGCAAAGGAGCTAAAGCTGAATTCAAACTGATGCTTTGCCGCTTACTATGACCTTGGTTAAATGATTCAGTTCTTCAGCTTCTGTTCCCTTAATAGTGAAGCAAGGATTATAGTACCTTGCAGAGCTGTTGGGGAATTTCACGTTGATATAAAGCACCTAGTTCAGTGTTTGGCACATAGCAGGTAAGAGGCAGTATTGTTGGTATAGTTATTTATCTCCAGTTGCATTCTAAATTTATGACAAATTGAGGGTGCAGCTTCAGGATTAGTGACACTAGAGGGTGCTGGCATGCAGCATTAGTAGGGTTAGTAAACCCCTTTGTGACACCAGGTTTCTTTATTTTTAAGAAGTATTTTCCCTGGTATAATAATTTCACAATTATACAACATCTCATAATTTTTAGAATAAAGGAATATTACAAAATTTCAGGTTATTACTACATTATAATAGTGTATATCTTAGATTAGAAAATAGCAGAGCCTTGTTAGAAATTACAACATTTTATGTGTGTCTAATTAGTATAGTTACTAGTAACTATATAAAACTTCTTTTATTTTAAAAAATTTGATAAATTGACTAAAAGATGGTATGTGTCATTTTTCTTTCCCTCTTGAGCTTTTCTGGGTTAACATCTCAGGGTGGGAACAAAATCAAATCTTTGGAAAATCATAGACTGCTTTTATGAACCTTAAATGATACTTTTACAATAAACTCAGATTTATATAACCTTTTTTGAGCAAACATTTCAAAAAACAATGCATTTCTTGGTTCCTTTATAATTTTACTGGATGCTCAATAAATAAATTGTTGAATGAAGTAAGGAATAGTCTTCTGAAGAGGCT
Source organism: Homo sapiens (assembly GCF_000001405.40). Lineage (NCBI taxonomy): Eukaryota > Metazoa > Chordata > Mammalia > Primates > Hominidae > Homo > Homo sapiens. The sequence goes on along the minus strand of NC_000010.11, from coordinate 96,555,637 downwards.
GTCTCCTGTTTTTCAAGAAGATCCATAGAGTTTATCTCGTTCCTGAAACCTCAGGGTGGATAACAGAGCCTGGACTGCCCTTCAGTTTCATGCACATATTCAGCACGTTAGCCCAAGTTAACATATGTCCTAATCATACACAGCAATGCATATGTATGTACCTGTAGAATTTTAGAGCAGGAGGATATCTATGAAGAACCGGAATATGTAGATAAGAGGTTTCATGGAGGGGAAGGTACTTGTGTTGGAATATGAAGACTGGGTAGAATTTGCTAAGGGGAGTAGAAGTAGATCTATGTGAGAAGAAATTATAAGAAAAATACAGAGGTGGAAGTGAGTATGCTGTGCTTGTGGATTCTTGAAGAGGGATAAGGCTTATTGGAATATAGAATATAATGGAAAGAAAAGTTGACTAGATAAGGTGAGATGGCCATATTACAGGAAGTATAGAATATTGGAGAAAATAGTTTAGATTTGATATGAGAGAAATAGGGTGTACAACTGTAAATTTTAGAATAGAGGAGTGATATATGAACCTGCTTTGGAAAGATTTCCTTGATAGCTTTTTACAGGATAAATTGAAAGGAAGGGGAGAGACCAAAAAAAAAAAAGGCCAACCAGGAGGCCATTAGTGCTATCAAGGTATGAGGTGATGGCATGGGAATGAAGCAGAATGGATAGATACAAGTCATTTTGAAGAAAAATACATGCTTAATATTACCTATGAAGAATTAAGGAGAAGGAAGAGCCAGAGATAATTGTAAAATTTCAAAGCCACATGTTAGTACCATTAGCAGAAGTTAGAGAATCAGAAACAAGTGTTATATATGAGGTGGAAGATTATGAGTGTACTTTAGGGCAGTCTGAGTCTGCAATTCCAGAAACATTCAAGTGGAAATTATTGTAGTTAGCAAAAGCCTGAAACATGAGTGAGAAAGAAGACTAGCAATTTGGGGTGGGATGGGAGGTGGGGGCGAGGGTGTTATCATCATCATTGGAATGCTGGTTAAAAGTTCTGAGAGCCTAAAGAAGTCACAGCAGAGTACTAAGACTGGAGCTTTTGGAGAAGTTCACAAAGGATGGGAGGAGCCAGCATGGAAGATGAAAGAGGAGAAGCAGCGGTCAGTGAAGTAGGATGCTGTAGTGTCAGGAAAGGTCAGATGTGGCAGAGAGATCAAGGAGAGTGAGGCAGATAATTGGCTGCTGAATCGGTTTAGAAGTTCATTGCAGGCCTTTGAGAGAAATTTTGTGGGGCAAAAGTGAGATTGTATTGTGTTTTGGAGGAAGTGAGGGAAGAACTGGAACATGTCTTCTTTGAAAAGTATTGACATTGAAAGGATCGGGAGGTGAGAAGATGAAAAGAATGAGGGACAAAAGATGAAGCAAACACTTCAAAAGAGAATAATAGCAATAACAATAACTTTTAGGTTTTATTTAGTGTTTATGATGTGCCAGGCACTATACTATTTGCTTTACCTTTATTGTTTAAACTCTATGACAACCCCAGGGAGTAGACATCATTGTAGATAAGGACCTTTGGAGATTGCTGATGGCTGGTGAAAGGTGGAGGGGTTGGGATGCAAAATGAGAGGAGAAAAAACACCTCAAAACTGGATGTGGAAAGGTTGTGTCATAGAAGACAGGATTTGCTTCAAGGGAAGGCAGCAGAAAGGATGGCATTGGGGCCTTGAAGAGAGGAGAGAAATTTGGGGACTATCCCTAAAGATCTTTTGGGAATTAAAATGTAAATAAAGAAATAACTGGGCAGTGCCACAGACCTAGTTCAAATCAGATATGCTACATTTTGAGTAGTACCTTGTGATTATGAATCAGAATCTAGATGTAATATTGAAACAAATATGTGGATAAAATCAAAGCCAAGAGCTTCAAGAACATTGAGGAACTAAAGGATACCTCAATATGCTATGGAAAATGGATTTGGAAAGGGCTGAATTATGATGGTGACAGGGTGAGGATGAACTAATCTGGAGCAAGTGAAGCAAATCATTCAGGATGGTGACCTAAGTCCATGGCAGCCAGCTATAATAGTTTAGTCTTAGTATTTTAAGGAGGTTTTCAGATTGTTCAATTAGGGGGAAGGGAACTAACATTTACTGAGTATCTAAGGTGCCATACTTTATATATACATTATTAAGCCCTACAAATCACTTACAAGATAAGTATTAGCTCCTCCATTTTCCAGATGAGAAAACCGCGGTCACATAGTCAGAAACTGGCAATGTTTGACTCCAGAGCCCATGTTTTTTCCATGTAATGCTGAATAGCATAGGTTATATGGCCAAATTGTACTTTTTGTTTTTAACAATAAATTTGATTTTGAAAATTTATATAAATGATAGCATGTTTTCAACATATGGGTGCTTATTGTAAAGAAAGCCAATCCCCTTGGCATAATGAATACTCATCCTCAAAGTGTCTGAAATTTGGATTTTTGTCTAAAGGATTTAATTAAAGACTTTTTTTTTTCTTTGCATTAACATCCGGTTGTCCTCATGGAACCTATGAATTTTGTGGCTGATATTGCAGGTTGGTAACATTTTATTTTCTGTTATTTTAGATTCATTGGTTTTCAATTTTCAACTCCTTCATGATGGTGATCTTCTTGGTGGGCTTAGTTTCAATGATTTTAATGAGAACATTAAGAAAAGATTATGCTCGGTACAGTAAAGAGGAAGAAATGGATGATATGGTGAGTAAACATTTACATTATATTTGTAGAAACATTTTAACTGAGTGTTAAGTTTTAAATGTTGGGAGGTAGGTCATAATTTCTTACCGGAAGTCTTTGAGTTTCCACAATTCAGGATTTTTAGAGTTAAGAAAGATGTAAAATGCCCAGTGTGGTCTGTAACCATGCCCTGTAATCAAATAATATTAATTTTTTTTCAGGAAAACATAAGAACATTCACCCGAAGTGGGATAAATAAATAGTGTAACCTCTTGTTAGTTCAAGCCAAGTTTTGCCACCAAGTAAGAATATGTCTAATACTGTTAAATACTGCTTAAAATTCAGGGAATGGGTAGAAGGATTAATTTATGTTCAGTTTAGTGGGTTCAGAGGAAAGATTTGTTTTCTAAGTTCTTTTACTAAGTTAGAGAACAAAAAGTGTGTTACATAGAGTGCTAGCTAATGGATATTCGGTATAGGTATACTGTATCATTAAATAAATTTAGGAAATTTGTTTTAAGAGACAGGCTGGAGTGTAGTGGTGCGATCATAGCTCACTGTAACTTCAAACTCAAGAGCTCAAGTGATCGTGCCACCTCAGCCTCCTGAGTAGCTAGGAATACAGGAACAAGCCCCCACCCCTGGCTATTTTTTTATTTATTGTAGAGATAATTTCACTATGCTGCCCAGGCTGGTCTTGAGCTCCTGGCCTCAAACGATCTTCCTGCCTTGGCCTCCCAAAGTGCTGTTATTATAGGTGTGAGCCACCGTGCCTGGCTTGGGAAATAGTTTCAAATTTTAAATTTTAATATACTAGGGTATATTGTGAAGTATCAGAGGGTGGATAAAGCATTTGGTACCTCTTAACTGTATCTGATTAGGATTCTCCCCACCAAAACAGATTACCTTGAGGGACTTCTATTCCTTAGGAAATATTGTTTTAGAAACAAGCTGTGTTAGAAACTGTTTAAGGAGCACTTGCTTACTAAGGTTGCAAAGTAAAAATTGAATTCTTTTTAAAAAAATGCATATAGACTGTTAAATAAAAACATTCATATTGAATATTTCCCCCATATGTTTTCTTAGATTCTAGGCGCTAAAGGACATTTCTGCATTCTTAGGGGATCTAGTACTGGTTTTGATACTCTTCTCTTTCATTTCTCCACCTAGCCCCTGATTGTATATGAGCTACAGCTATGATGTGAATAGCAAGAATAGTGTCTGAAAGTGGCATTAAGAGAGTCAGTGCACTGTTCTCCCAATTTGACCATTTCTTTTTGTTACTAAACCTTTTCTTTTTCCGTTATTTGAGATTCTCTGAGCACAACCAGAAGTCAACTTCCTGAACCTCAGCATTTTAACATTGTTATTAAGGCAGTGATCATTCTAAGTTTGGAATATACTTTCTCAATATTTTGTATTTCTTTAGCTATAAATTTGGAGGGAGGAAACTTACAACTGTAATTTTTACATACTATGTTTTAGTTTGATTCTGAATGATTTGCTTTTCTCTCTCTATATATATATTTGTATATAGGATAGAGACCTAGGAGATGAATATGGATGGAAACAGGTGCATGGAGATGTATTTAGACCATCAAGTCACCCACTGATATTTTCCTCTCTGATTGGTTCTGGATGTCAGATATTTGCTGTGTCTCTCATCGTTATTATTGTTGCAATGATAGAAGATTTATATACTGAGTAAGTGCCTACACTTAACTGTATTATGTCTTTATTGTTCTTAAATAGTTTTAATCACTGGAATCTTTTAAGTCAATCATAATTAAATCGTTACTTATTTCCTTTATCTTACAGTTTATGATAAATATCATAAATGCAGACAGACAAATTAAATAATGAACAGTAATCTGTATTTTTCTGTTACATGCCAAAACTTAGTAGCATTACTGAACATTGTGGTTAGTTATAAAGGTTATATGTTCCATTAAAGATATGAACAGAGGTTACTTTCAATCCAGAGCTGTTTGACAAAGTAAATAGCCTTTTTTTTCCTAAAGTTGAAGATCCAATTAGAGCTTCATCAGAAGTTCAAGAATTTCAGTTACTAAGTTACTTCATATTTACCTTCAGATCTGGAAAACATCAGAGTAGAAGAAAACATTGTAAATAATAGTAAAAAGAGTGATGAAATAGTCACATAAGGTTAGAAAAATAATTGATGACTTCTTTGAAAAAAAAACTCCTAGGTCAGTATGCATCCTATCTTGACACAAGTTTTGTAATTCTTTCTTTGCAAACAAAACCATTTGTAAGAAATTCTTAATTTGAGGTCTTTGAATTATGTGAAAAAGTTACACATTCACAGAAGATCTCAGGTCCCTATTCAGTGCTCAAGAAAGCCACAACCTCTGTGAAGCAAACACACTCTGGTGCCTGGGTGGTAGCGATTATAATTCAGGCATTTCAGGTGCGGCCATATGAAGTCCTCCTTCAGAATGACACTTTTCTCTAGTTATATTTCATGCCTCTGTTTTAGTTCATAATGCACTCTTTCCTCTATATGCCTGGCGTTTGATGGGCAAGCAATACATCCTTGCTGAAAGAATGGCTCTTTAGTTGCATATTAAATATTTAACTGTATACTAAATATTTGTTTCCTCTGCTAGATAGTAAGTTCCTTGAGAGTAAGGATCAGGTCATAACTTACCTTTGAATTCTCAAAGTACCTACATAAGGAGCTTTGCATGTGGAAGGTATTCAGTCAATGCTTGTTGAACTGAAGTGAATATGTATTAACCAACAAAGCTATTTCTCTGTAGCATTGGTTGTATTTCTTTAATATAACCTTTCTAATTCATTTACCGCATGAGCTTTAAAATAACCCAAATCTAAACTTCAGAGTTCTGGCGAGTAGTTCATATTTTCGGGCATAATGTATTTCAGATAAGCTGGACCCTAAATATAAGAAAACATTTCACATCTACCAAGAAGTTGTGCTTTACATTAAACACTGGATTAAGTTAATCACTATCGAATTGACACTAGCTGTACTGTCACAGTCTTAAGAGCCACTAGAAGATAATCTCTTCTAGAATCCAAGTTTTTGCTGCTTCCTTTTCAAAATGTTAGTGTTACAATTCGGCAGCTCTTTTTTTTTTTTTTTTTTTAAAATGCAGAAGCTCTTCTACTTAAAGACCTTCAACTTTTATAAATAAGAAACCACTCACTAATGTATAATATTAGCAGGCAAGTCATGCATTGTTATTTTAGCCTATAATTACTGTAAGTGGTTTTTCTGTGTTGTGTTTATTTGAAGTGAATGTAATTCATTACTTATGTAAGTACTAAAGCATTAAGGATTTATTATTATATAAAAGTGGCCAACTTATTGAGATTTCACTTTAGGTGTTTCATGCACATTTGATCCCTTAATCTTCACATCAACCCTATGAAGGAAATATTCTATTTCCATTCTACAGACCAGGACACTAAAGCTCAGAGAAATAATCTGACTGAGATCAATGAGCACCCTTTACTAGTAAAGAGTGTTAGTGAGCTGGGATTGGAACCTAGGCAATCTTATTCCAGAACTCTTTTCTTAATTTGCTATGTTACGGAAATGAAAATAGAGAAAATAATAATACAAAGTGGTGAGAAAATGAAAAATTTGCACACAAAATTGGGATAAGTCACTTGAATAGGAATGATTCTAAAGGATAAAGAGCAGATAATGTAAAGTAAAAATTACTTTGCCTCTGTGGTCACTATAGCAATCAGAGGAAAAGTATTTTGAGGGTATAAGGTAGAGGATCAGTATCAGTGTGGGTGCCTGTTATAGTGTGATATTGAGAAGGCATAGAGTTTGAGAAGGTGAGGAGTAAGCTTGTTAGTGCTGCTGCTGCTACTCTGAAAGTTTTCACTGGAGAGTGGTAAGGCTGTGGCAGGTGTAGGCTAAATACCTCTTCAGATGTTCCCCACATCCCATCTTGGAGAGATGAATAAGGAGGACTGTTGCCTCCCTCAGCAGATTTTTCAATGTAGATAAAAATGGTTTACTTGAGGGACATGGGGAGGGAATGCCCATAGAATATTTGTGAACAAAGAAGTGAAGGACCTATAGACTTTTTTAAAATCGTATGTCTGATTTTAATTTTTACATTTTTACTTTTTTTTTTTTTTTTTTTTTTGAGATGGAGTCTTGCTTTGACATCCAGGCTGGAGTGCAGTGACGCGTTCTTGGCTCACTGCCACCTCTGCCTCCCAGGTTCAAGTAGTTCTCCTGCCTCAGCCTCTCGAGTAATTGGAATTATAGGCACCTGCCATCACACATGGCTAATTTTTGTATTTTTAGTAGAGGCGGGGTTTTGCCATGTTGGCCAGGCTGGTTTCAAACTCCTGACCTCACGTGATCTGCCCACCTTGGCTTTCCAAAGTGCTCGGATTACAGGTGTGAGCCACTGTGCGCGGCCTAAAAATCATTTTCAGCAGCATGAGGGAAACAGGGAAAGCCTCAGTGTTATTCCATCTAAAATAATAGTATTTAATATAGATTATACTACTGTTTTATTTCTGTTTGCAGGCAAGATTCATAAGCAGTTGAATCAAGTTATGAAACAGACTATTCCAGTCATTTTTCTTAACAGATGAACATCTTGTTCCATATTATGGGATTGGTTTACAGGGTCACAAAACAGTTTTAGTGTCAGCTTCTAGTATTTTTGCCAAATAAATATGAAATACTTGCTTAGAATATATCATAACATTTAACTGCAGGATAAAAAAATTAGGATCAGCCAGGTATCATGTAAATGCAGTTTTAACTACAAATTCATTCACTATAGAGAATCTTTTGAGTTTTATTTGTAGTCCAGGTTGTGATATTTTTGTATTTCTGTTAAAGTTATCTTTGAAATTAAACTAATGCTAATATAATAGACTATGATGTTTTCTTTAAATTGTTGGTTTTAATTTTTTTTTTCTTTTTTGCCTTTTTAGGAGGGGATCAATGCTCAGTACAGCCATATTTGTCTATGCTGCTACGTCTCCAGTGAATGGTTATTTTGGAGGAAGTCTGTATGCTAGACAAGGAGGTAACTTACGAATTCTCACTTCATGTTGTTAATTATAGATGCTAATATTTTACTATGAGATTTTTTTTGTTTGTTTTGAGAGAGTCTCACTCCATCACCCAGGCTGGAGTGCAGTGGTGCAATCTCTGCTCACTGCAGTCTCCACCTCCTGGGTTCAAGCGATTCTCGTGCCTCAGCCTCCTGAGTAGCTTGGAATTACAGGTGTGTGCCACCATGCCCAGCTAATTTTGTGTTTTTAGTAGAGATGAGATTTCACCATGTTAGCCAGGCTGCTGTGAACTCCTGACCTCAAGTGATTCGGCCTCCCAAAGTGTCTGGCCTACTGTGAGATATTTGGAATTTAAAATGTGCAGAACAGCCATTGTAAAATTCTTTGTTATCTCATTTCACATAATTTCTACCAAACCTATTGTGTGTTCTGTCTTGCTTTTGTGGAATTCTCGCGTTTTATTTCCTAAAATTATGAATAATTAGTAGATAATCTCCTTTGTGCACCATGTAATTTGCCCTGAGGAACATGTAGGAGAGTGCATTTAAGTTATTGATACTATTTGCTTTGAGGTGCCTGGCTCTAGATGTGCTCCATGTGATGCATCCACACAGAAAAAAAGCTTTATAGATGAATATAAAGGCATGTGTAATGGTCTGTGGGTAAAGTTTCTGGACAATGGAAAGAGAATAGGAAGGAAAGTTATGTATTTCTGTTGACTGTTAGTTTTATCAAAGGACCCTTCGCAAAGATTTCTGCTATTCTTTGTCACTGTCACAGTCTCTTGCTAAGAGCACTTTGTCTTAAATATCCTGTTGCTCCTTTACTACTATTACCTGAAATTGATGGAACTAATAACACGATAATACAAGGATACTGCTCCTTGGTGTTTTTTTCTGCAGTGGCATTCAGAAATGCCTTGTATTCCCTGCAGTAGTCTGAGGTCAGAAAAGTACAAAAATTGGTAGATTTGCATTTTAGTTTATGAATGAAGTGTTGTTGAAATACCTTAAAATTATATTTCCAAGGATGGAGTTGTGATTTTCCACAGCCCATCTTAAGCAGTGTCAGCATTAGGGGATCCTGCCTTCTTTTAGTAGACTGGGCACACTTATAGGTTATAGGAAATCGGAGCGTAGGATTATATCTTGGTTTACCATTGCTTTTTTATTAATCTTCCTAGACTTAATGTGACCTGTACCTTCAGTATAGATAATTATTTGGATTGACTGAGGGAGTGTCACTATGGGTTCCTGACTATTTTAGGTAGATGTTCAGTCTCTAAATTCGACTCGCAGGTGTGGGAAATTAGTCCTATCATATAGGACTACATCCTAAGGAAATAAGGACACATGAGGCAACTTCTACTTTGAATTTGACCTGGAAATTAATTAGGCTAAAATTTTAGTTTATGACTCTCAAAATAGTCTCCACAGCAGAAACAGATTTATTTAAAACAGGAAATTTATTTAAAGTTGGACATAAATTTGTTTTTAGTCTGACTGCAAGTTAAGAACACCCAGCCCAACTTTCCTTTACTACACTTATTCTTGAAAGCTGACAGAGTTCAGGCTCAGGTCTAGGAATATCAAGTCTTACAAAATGTAATGTAAAGATTATGTTCTGATTGGTAGTGTCCTGAGGAGATCTGATAGTGTCCTGATATTTTGTCCGATCAAGCCTCAAAAACCAGGTTAATGTAGAAGTCAACCCAGGGGATCAATAATTTTTCAGACTTATCTCAGGATTTGAACTACAGTGAAGCTCAAGGTCTTCACACTGTCCTCAGTGCACTATAATGCTGTAGATCTAGTTTGAAGCCAGTGGTATCCAGGACCTTAGCCAGAGACTTCAAGGGTTTGAAGAGCAGTAGAAAACACAGCAATGCAGATACTTGGGTTACTGGTTGTACCCAGTGGAATGTGTACAGGATTCTTTTTGACTGTTAGAAGGAAAGGGAGAAATAGAGAGTTGGATAAGGAGATTGATTGATTGATTGATTGATTGATTGATTTTGAGATGGAGTTTCGCTCTTGTCTCCCAGGCTGGAGTGCAATGGCACGATCTCAGCTTACTGCAACCTCCACCTCCTGGGTTCAAGCGATTCTCCTACCTCAGCCTGCTCAATAGCTAGGATTACAGGCGCGTGTCACCATGCCCGGCTAATTTTTTATTTTTAGTAGAGATGGAGTTTCACCACGTTGGCCAGGCTGGTCTTGAACTCCTGACTTCAGGTGATCTGCTCGCCTCAGCTTCCCAAAGTGCTGGGATTACAGGCATGAGCCACCACGCCCGGCCACAGTTTTGTTGATACATGTCTGAATCTGAGAAGATAGTGGAAAATGCAGGAAAAGAAAATGCTAGAAAGGTGTTGGAATTAAATAGAAGTAATACTTTAATTAATCACCACCTTTTTGTATTGTTCCAATGCTGGCTATCAGTTAGAAAGGAGAGGTTCTTGAAACTTAGCTGGAAAAGAAATGAAACAGGAGAGAAAACTCAGGATTAAGGAGTTTTTCTGGAGGAACGTTATGATTTTAGGTAATAATTCTGTAACAGATGTTTTAAAAGAACTTTATATAGCAGAAAGCAAAAATTAGAGTATTGCTTATTTTTCTATGGTACTTTCTGTTTGGGTCCCTGTTGCTTATGATTGTGGAATTGAATTTTGATAGTGATTCAGTGTTTCTAAGCTGTTTGAAGATATTTTCTGCCAGCTTTACCCTCTGCTGTATTAGAAAGACAGCTCTCTGTTGCTCTTCTGGTCTGTATGAGCAAAATTGAAGATTTTTTTATTACATAGTTAAAAAATTTGTTCCCTTGATTATTTGAATAATAGAAGCTCAATGTATAGAATTTTGGCAATACACAGAGGTACAGAGAAATAGTAAAACTTATAAATCTGTAGTTCTGATTGCTGAGAGAGAGCTTATGAAACACATTGGTTTTTTTTCTTTTCAAACGTAGAAATGCTCTTAAATACATATTTATAATTATAATTTTAGAGCTAAGGACAAACTTAGAGGCTGTCTAACTCAGGGTTTTTTGTTTTTTATTATTTCACGTTTAATTTTTTTTTTGCCCTGTCTTAGGGTGCTGAAAAATCACAAGTGGGTTTCTTGCGAGGTTCTTTTTTTAAAAACTCACTGGTTTTTAGACTTTTTTCTTCTTTTTAAAGTAGTATAACCTGCTTTTCAAATGAAAACTTACATGAAACTCCAATGTGTAACTGTTGAAAATGTAATTGTTCTGGTTGAAGCAGGGGTAAGGGCACCTGGGATTTTTCTTCACCAGTGACTTCATGGGCATGCCAAGAAGCTCCAGAACTCCAAGGAATAGTTTTAAAACCCCTTTCTCTTTTTTTTGATCAGTTAATTTAAACCAGTAATAAAAACCCCTTTCTAGGCCAACTTGTAGCCTAGAGAGAGAGAGTGGCTTATGAAAGTTCACAGCAGTTCAGTGGCAGAGTCAAGACAAAATGTCAGAATATTTTATTACAGGTCATTGCTCTTTTCCAGTGCACCCACTTCAGAAGCTGTGATTTCACTATACGTACTTGGAAATCTTTGGTATTTGTTAGCTATTATTTTGAAGAAATTATTAAGATGTTAAATTTCATGATCTTTATATTAAAATTTCAAACAAATAATTTCGTACTAAATAATTATATTAAACTTTCATAGTTTCCTTTCTTTTCAGGAAGGAGATGGATAAAGCAGATGTTTATTGGGGCATTCCTTATCCCAGCTATGGTGTGTGGCACTGCCTTCTTCATCAATTTCATAGCCATTTATTACCATGCTTCAAGAGCCATTCCTTTTGGAACAATGGTGAGTTGCTTGAATCTTACTTTTAAACTGAAAAAGTATACACATTCTAACTGAGACCTACTCACCCTCCAAAATACTTCTTATTAGATGTTTTGATGGTTTCAGTCAGTTCATACTCAGTCCTGGAAAGTTAGATGAGGAGAATACTACTGTTGTTAGCCTCCATAAAATTTTGGTTAAGTTTAAACCTATAGTTGGCTTTTTATTTTTTCTTGATTCTGTAAGCCAGTAAAGTGAAAGGCTGACTTTAAAAGAGAGCACTATAGCTTTTTATCAGAGATGGGAAGAACTGGTGAATATATTTTAGAGAAAGAATCATGACAATCACAAAACATGGGTGTTTTAAGATGATAGGTGAGTGCAGTGGTAGAAAGTAAAGCTTTTCCATGACACATTTTTTTGTATTAACATACTTTTCTTAGAAAGTCACTAAGCATTGGCCAGGCGCGGTGGCTCACACCTTTAATCCCAGCACTTTGGGAGGCTGAGGTGGGTGGATCACGAGGTCAGGAGATTGAGACCATCCTGGCTAACACGGTGAAACCCTGTCTCTACTAAAAATAAAAAAAAAAAATTAGCCAGGTGTGGTGGTGGGCGCCTGTGGTCCCAGCTATTCAGGAGGCTGAGGCAGGAGAATGGCATGAACCTGGGAGGTGGAGGTTGCAGTGAGCCGAGATCACGCCACTGCACTCCAGCCTGGGCGACAGAGCCAGACTCCATCTCAAAAAAAAGAATCTCACTAAGCATTTTTGTAAATAATATACGTTGCTATAGATGTTAAAATGTGTTTGCATATCTTACCTGTAATCACAGTCTTGGAAATGCTTTGAATTATTTAAATATATTAAAACTAGAACACATAAAATGAGTTAACCCACGGTCTCCCAATTCTTCTTGGTATTACCTTTTTACTAGAAACAGAATTTTAGGCCTAGACTAGAGTGAAGGCTTAATGTACGCTTGTGCATACATGTTCATACGTATATATGCCAATGCAAGTTGCAGGGTGGTTACTGCTTTTAACAGAGCCTCAATAACTTAGTCACAATCGTACAGGCAGTTAATGGTAGAACTGCCATTAGAGCCCACAATATCTGTTTTAATCTTGTTTGGGTTTTCTTTCTATTATATGGGAGTTAACAAATAGTTTCCCAAAAATTCCAGGTGACTTTGTTTTATAGTCCAATTTTTTTCAAAGACACATTGAATATTATACATTTTTATTAAATATTTAATACCTTTTAGTTAGGAATATTTTGAAACTTGTTTCAGAATGGAAATTTTTTTTTTTCAAGCCAAAGTAAGTGATAATGCTTAGAAAAGGGAAAGGTAACTAATTACACCAGACAGGGAAATAATTTGCTTTGTAATAGTTCCAGGCCATCAGAAAGTACATAGAGTGAGTCAGGTTACTTCTCAAAGAACATCTGCTGAATTGATTATTTTCATAGTGCTTTAAAAATTAAAATTTTGATTCTGTTAAAATTTTTCTCAGAAAGTTTTGAATTTGATATTGGTAAAAATGGTATTTCAAAGTTGCTTTGTCTCGCTAAAATTGTAAATTTTTACCAATTTGTAAATGGAGTTTTAAATGTTAATATTCAGTGTAATTTGCCTTTAGATAATTTAATAATTACAAATTATTAGAATATAATATTTAAAGTCTGTGCTGAGCCAGAGAAGGTTTATAAAATTGTTCTTTAGTGAGTAAAAGACTAACTGTTGGTACTTGGCAGGCTCCTACAATATTATGTTCTTAATTTGCATTAGTCTAATGAAGGAATACTGGGGGAAGGGTATTCCCCTGGCCTCATGTTTTAATTAGGTGTGTACTTTACCGTCTCCTTTTCTCCGTTTAAGAGTATGAAAACTTGTTTAGAACATGAACTTGAAGAACTTGAAGTGAATGTTTCACCCAGCTCTTCATTAAGTACTTGAACTACTTAAGTTTGTGGTTTTAGTTGTTTGACTTCTTGACATTCTGAAGGAAATGGTTACATAGTCTCATAAACTCAGTGATTCTCAACCCTGGGCACACATTAGAATCACTTGGGGATTTAAAAAATTTTAATGCTCAGGGCTTTCTTTCAAGCTAATTAGTCTGTCCTGCTTTAAACCCAATCTGTAGTGTTTACCTGATTCCAGTTCCTGGGATCTGGGGATGGATCTGTGAGCCGAAAGGCTCCCAGACCATAGGTGCCATGTGTCTGAGAAGCCAGGTACCACTACTAACTGAATACCTTAATTTGAGAATCAGAGTCTTCAGATCCTCCTAAGTGCTCTTCCCCAGGTCTTATCTCTTTCTGTCCCCCATTCCTTTGATCTCTTGGCTATTGAGGCCTTTTTCTGGGTGATCTTCACTCTAGTTCTCTGTTCTATGAAAGTTTCCACATCTGGCTGGGCATGATGGCTCACGCCTGTAATTCCAGCATGGGAGGCTGAGGTGGGCGGATCACTTGAGGTCAGGAGTTTGAGATCAGCATGGCCAACATGGTGAAACCCTATCTCTACTGAAAAAGCAAAAATTAGCTGGGCATGGTAGTGCAGGCCTGTAATCCCAGCTACTCGGGAGGCTGAGGCAGGAGAATCGCTTGATCACTTGAACCCAGGAGGCGGAGGTTGCAGTGAGCTGAGATCACGCCATTGCACTCCAGCCTGGGTGGCAGAGTGAGACTCTGTCTCAAAAAAAGAAAAAAAAAATTAGATTGATTCTGGAAAGCTAAAAACTTTTTATTTTGGGAATTTATCCAAGAATGATTTAGATGCTCTACCCAAAGGTTTTGGTCCTGTAAGAGTTCCTTGGGAATGAGAAAGGATTCGCCAAGATGTTCTGGAAAAGGGTTTTAGACACAAAGTCTTTTCTTTCGTGGGCTGTAAATCTCAGATCCTAAGTTTTCATCTTATTGTAGGATTCCAAAGGACAAAGAACCAAATTACAGAGTTTTAAAACTCACAGAGGCAGGTTAGCATGGGAACTAATCACCTTTCTTTTCTTGAAAGATTTGTAAAACTGGCCGGGCGCAGTGGCTCCTGCCTGTAATCCCAGCACTTCGGGAGGCTGAGGTGGGTGGATCACCTGAGATCACCATGGCCAATGTGGTGAAACCCCGTCTCTACTAAAAATACAAAAATTAGCCAGGTGTGGTGGTGGGCACTTGTAATTCCAGCTACTCGGGAGGCTGAGGCAGGAGAATCGCTTGAACCCGGGAGGCAGAGGTTGCAGTGAGCTGAGATCGTGCCACTGCACTCCAGCCTGGGCAACAAGAGTGAGACTCCATCTCAAAAAAAAAAAAAAAAAAAAAAAAAGAAAGGTAATATAAAACCAATGTTAGAAAAGCTTCATCATCTAAGGTGAGCTGTTCACAAACGCTAAAGCAAGCAAAAGGATTTTATAAAGATATCAAGATCAAAGACTCATTGTGTGGGATCAGTGATGTAACAAAGTAAAAAAAAAAAAAGAATGGCTCTATCCCATTCTTCCTCTTTATTTTTCATCAAATAAAATATAACCCATAAACAAAAAAAAGTAAGAGGAAAGATTCCCTGGTAAGAGGGAAGTGAAGCCTAAGATACGCAAGGCAGTTGATTGTACAGGAGTACCCAGCTGCCTTAGCTTGAAAGTCTTGTTGCTCATAAAAATGATCTTTTAGAGATACCGAGAGATCACATTAAGTAATGTTTGAATAACTGTGTGAGAGCAGAGGTGCTGTAAAACTGGATGGGCAAATTTACTTTTCCAGGAGGGAAAGGAAGAAAGTGGGTTCTACCTTATAAGAGTATCGAAGTATTAGCCATAGTATGTACATGCTATCCTTTAGTAGAAGGTGACAGATATTCTTGATTCTGACCTATTCAAAAGATGATTAATAACTTAGAGACATGGTGGTCTGCTGATTCAATTGAAAAGGGATGTGAGACTAGGGAAGAAACTAGTAATATAAAATAATGAACTAGTAATATGAAATAATGAAGGCAGCATCTAAAAAGATCTCACCTGACTGAAATGATGTGCCAAATCTAAGAAGATGAATTATAATAAGGATCAATAATAATACATTTGTGTAGCACTTTGTAGTTTACAAAGCATTTTCACACGCATTATCTTGTCTGGTTTTCAGAAGAACGCAAAGAGATAGGCAGAGCTAGTGGTGTGGTTATTCCTATTTTACAGAACAGAAAACCAAGACTCTCCCGTAGTTAGTTTTCTTTGTTGCTGTGCTGGTGGTGGTGATGATAGGTTTTTGTTCTTTTTTTTTGGACATTTTTCTTTTCCTTTCTGTCAAAAGGAATCCTAGCCTAATTCTGAGAGCAGTGGTTATGGTTTTTGCCCTTTTTTGTTTGTGTGTTTTTACAGATGTACTGAGGTAAAATTAACATATGATAAGTTGCATAAATTTAAAGTGTACAATTTGATGAATTTTGATATACATACACCCATAGACACACACACACTTGTGAAACCATTACCGCATTCAAGATAAAGATGTTTGTCACATCCAGAAGTTTTGTTGTATACCTTTATAATTCATCCTTTCTTTTCTTCTTTTGTCTCTCCCCTATTCTTAGGTAACCACCAGCCTGCTCTCTCTTATCATAGTGTAATTTTCATTACCGAATTTCCTTTAAATGGTAGCTCATACAGTATATATTCTTTTTTGTTTCACTCATGAAAATTATTTTGAGATTCATTGATGTTGCATTAAAAAAATTTTTTTTTTGAGACTGGGTCTTGCTCTGTAGCCCAGGCTGGAGTACAGTGATGCAGTCTCGGCTCAAACAGTTTCACCATGTTGGCCAGGCAGGTCTTGAATTCCTGACCTCAGGTGATCCACCCATCTTGGCCTCCCAAAGTGCTGCGATTACAGGTACGAGCCACCACACCCGGCCTGATGTTGCATTTATGAATAGTTTGTTCTTTGTATTGCCCAATAGTATTCAATTGCATGGTTATACCATAATTTATCCATTTGCCCAGTAATTTACTAGTTTTTTGCTATTGTAAATCAAGTTACTGTATTTATGTGCAAGTCTTTCTATGGACTTATGTTTTCATTTCTCTTGGATAAATAACTAGGAGTGGAATGGCTGGGTCATATGGTAGTTTAAGTTTTCAAGAAACTGCTAAACTTTTCCAAAATAGTTTTGACATTTTACATTTCTATCAGCATTCTGTGAAAATTCCAATTGTTCCACATCACTGCCAGCACTTGATATAGTAAGTCTTTTTAATTTTAGCTATTCTAGTGAGTATATAGTGCTGTCTTTCGGTTTTAATTAGCACTTCCTAATGACTAATCATGTTGAAGATCTTTTTATTTGCTTTTTTGCCATCTGTATATTTTCTTTAATGAATGTTCAGATCTTTTGCCTATTTTAATAGATTGTCTTCTTATTGAGTGATAAGAGTTCTTATATATTGTAAATACAAGTCTTTTGTCTTATATGTATTTTGTAAGTATATACTCCTATTTTGTGGGTTGTCTTTTCATAATCTAAAGAGTATTTTTTGAAGGGCAAAATTACTAATTTTAAAGTCTAATTTACTGGTATATTTTTTCTTTTATGCTTTGTGCTTTTTCTGTTCCATTTAAGAAGTCTTTTGCCAAACCAGACATCACTAAGCTTTCCTTATATGTTGTCTTCTAGAAATTTTATAGTTTTAGCTCTTAAATTTAGGTCTAGGATCCATTTTTGGCCAATTTTATATATAGTATGAGTTAAGGGCCAGAGGGGTTTTGTTTTGTTTTATATATGACTGTTCAGTTGTTCCAGCACCATTTGTTGAAAAGATTATCCTTTCTCTGTTGAGTTGCCTTAGCACCTTTGTTGATAACCAGTTTACCATGTATGTGTGGATTTTTATTGCTGGATTTTCTCTTGTTTCATTTTGATTTGTTCTATTTCAATTTGTCTTGTTTTTAATGCTAATACCACATTGTCTTGATTACTATAGCTTTATAAGTCCTGAAATCAATTCTTTTTCAAAGTTGTTTTGGCTTTTCTAATATTCTTTGCATTTCCATATAAAGTTTAGAAGCAGCTTGTCAGTTTCTATAAAAAGTCTTCTGGGGTTTTGATTGTGATTACATTGAATCTATAGCACAATTTGGGAAAAATTGACATCTTAACATTATTGAGTCTTTTGATTAATGAGCAGAGTATATCTCTCAACTTATTTAGATACCTTTAATTTTTCTCAGCAACGTTTCATAGATTTTAGTGTTCAGGTTTTGTTATCTTCTGTTGAATTTATTCTCCAGTATTTCATATTATTCTGTTGGTGAATGATATTTTTTAAATTTCTGTTCCTCCATCTCCCGGGTTCAAGCGATTCTCCTACCTCAGCCTCCCCAGTAGCTAGGATTACAGGTGCACGTCACCACGCCCAGCTAATTTTTGTATTTTTATAGAGATAGGCTTTCACCATGTTGGCCAGGCTTGCCTCGAACTCCTGACCTTAGGTGATCCGCCTGCCTTGGCCTCCCAAAGTGCTGGGATTACAGGCATGAGCCACCATGCCCGGCCATTTTTAAATTTCAAATTCTGATCGTTTATTGCTGTTACAGTCATGCATCATTTAATGCCAGGGATATGTTCTGTGAAATGAGTTGTTACACAATTTTTTCATTGTGTGAACATCTCAGAGTGTACTTACACAAACCTAGATGGTATAGCCTCCTACAAACCTAGGCTATATGTTATAGCCTAATCTTACAAGGCTACAGACCTGTACAGCATATTATTGTACTGAATACTGTAGGCAATTGTAACACAGTGGTGTTTGTGTATGTAAACATAGAAAAGGTATAGTAAAAATACAGTCTTATAATCTTATGGGACCAACGTCAGATACGTGGTCCATCATTGACCAAAAAAAAATTGTTATGTGGCACATGAGAGTACAGTTGACTTTTGAACAATATGAGGTTTGGGGTGCTGACCCCTACCCCCTGCCCGTACAACTGAAAATCTCCCCAAAACCTTAACTACGAATAAGCCTGCTGTTGACTGGAAGCCTCACTGATGATCACATATTTTGTATATGTATTATATACTGCATTCTTACAATAAAGTAAGCTAGGGAAAAGAAAATGTTATTAAGAAAATCGTAAGGTTAGCTGGGTGTGCGGTTTGTGCCTGTAGTCCCAGTTATTCAGGAGGCTGAGGCAGAAGGATCACTTAAGCCCAGGAGTTGAGGCTGTAGTGCTCTATGATCGTGCCTGTGAATAGCCACTGCATTTCAGCCTGGATAATATAGTGAGACCCTGTCTCTTCAAAAGAGAAAATCATAAGGAAGAGAAAAATGTATTTGCTATTCTTTAAGTAGACGTGGATCATAATAAAGATTTTCATTTTCATCATCACATCGAGTAGGCTGAGGAAGAAGAAGGAGGGGTGTCTCAGGGATGCTGTCTCAGGGGTGGCAGAGGCAGAAGAAAATCCACTTGTAAGTGGACTTGAACAGTTTACACCCTATTTTTGAGTGTTGACTATATGTAGGAAAACAGTTTTTTAGGATATTGGCTTTGTATCCTACAACCCTGCCAAATTCACTTATTAGTTCTACAATAAGTGAGCTAGGGTTACTTTATTCTTACAATAAAGTAAAAACTTTAGTTTTTTACATAGATCAAAAGTTTTTTTATTTTTAATTTTTGTGGGTACATAGTGTTATTTAAAAAAATAGATTATCAAATTATTTAAACAGTTTCACTTCTCTTTTTTGATCTGTATGTCTGTTATTTCTTTTTGTTGTCTGATTGCACTGGCTAAAACCTGCAGTATAATGTTGAATAGAAGTGTCAAGAGCAGACATCCTTTCTTTGTTCCCAATCTTGGCAGGAAGGCATTTAGTTTTATGCCATTAATTAAAATAATAGCTATTTTATTTGTAGATGCCCTTCATCAGCTTGTTAAAGTTCCCTTCTATTTGTAGTTCGCTGCAAGTTTTTTTTCTTTTAATTTTGAATGGGTGTTCGATCTTAGAACAGCATTTTCTGTATCTTTTGAGATCTGTGATTTTTCTTTTTTAATTCTGAAAATATGGTGAAAGTATTAATTTTCTAATCTTTAATCAGTCTTGCATTCATTTGATGAACTTCACTTTGTCATGATATATTATTTGTTTTATATATGGTTGGATTACATTTGCTAAAATTTGTTTTTACATCTAAGTTTATGAGAGATATTGGCCTGTAGGCCAGTCTGGAAGCAAAGATAGAATAAGTAATAGCCAAATTCTTGGTTTATGTCTGAGATTGAGAAGATGTGATCAGTATGTAGATCTTTGGGGTATTAAGCACCAATAGGCAGTACTTGATTCTAACTTGTTATTGTTGTAGATAAGGGAGGCCCTCAACATGGAGTAAATCTTTCTTCTCCCCACTGCCTGCTTTCATTCTCCTCTGAACAGTGACTAGAGGAATAGAGGAGAGCCCCATATTAATTTGAGTTCCAGGGTTTTCACCAATATATTAGACCCTCTTAGCTGCTAAATTTCATTCCAAAATAATGTGGAAGCCCAGATAGAAAACAGATACAAGGATGATTTTATTAGTATATTTTGCAAATTAAGTATTTTTAACACTGAATTTAATAAGAGCAATAAAGTTGTGATGAATACAAATCTAATATCAAGGGGTTTGAATAAAGTAAGCTATTACTTATCTTCAGCACCCAATTTATTTAGTTATCAGTATTGAGAAAAATTCTTCACAAATGAGTTCATTCCATGTGAATTTTTTTTTAACAGCTTGCCTTGCAATCTTAGAGTATTTTTCAAGTAACTTCATCCAGAACTTGAACATAAAGGAGTAGGGAACTGGTTTCACAGCTTAATCACTATTTCTAACAAACTGCTCACATTTTTTATCATATATTAAAAAGTTGGACAACAAAAGGGAAAATATTGACAAATGCTAAGCAATTGATAATGTCTTTTTGAGACTGTAGATTCCTTTATTGACTGTTATGTGCACAGAAGGCAAGATGTGCCCTCACTTCAGCTGCCACTCAATTGCCTGTCACACACATTGTGCTGTAGTAGTACTTTTGCTTATACAATTTTTAGTGAACAAATATGTGCAGGCCTTAATTGGGATGAGGTGAAGGAGATAGAATAAAAGACCAATATAGCATTACAAGCCTTCCTAATCAATGACAAAATTCATTCAGTTCAGTATATACACAGAGATAAGCAGGAGAAACTTTATTCTGAGATTTGCATGAAAATGAGTTAACCTGGCTGTGATATCTCCAGTATACTGATATTTGGTATAGAACTCCTTTGAGCTATATATATCTTATTACAGTTGAAAGTGTTTTAAAAAGAAACTATTTTCAAAAGGATACTCAAATCAAATGCTTGTGGAATCCCAGAAGCTCTTCAGTAGGACCTGAGAGTTCTTTGGAACAGTTTGAAAACCATTCTTCTAGACCATGTAATTCAACATAGGAATGTTTTCTTCATTTTCTCTGTAATTCTTATTTGAAATTAGAGTTCTGGTAAACTAAGGGAAAAATATATAGGTCTTTATTACAATGTGTTAAGGTTTATGAGTCTTGTAGTTATTAAGAAAGTAAAAGCAAAAATTGAGATGGAATTTATCACTCCCCATATTTACGACATATGTATAGTTCATAACATAATGCTTAAACTATCTTAAAAACACCTGCTTATTTTTCACATTTCACGTATTTTAATATGAGCATAAATTCATATTATTCATAGGCCTAGGCCTAAACTGAAACGCAGATAAATTGAGTTCCTGAGTCTGATGTTTAAAATGGTATTATGGAGCTCTGTAATTCTCACATATTTATATTTGATCTGAAAAGGAGATGACAGTACCCTTTGGCTTGTTTAAAAACACATATACACACACAAAAGGATCTAATGAAGAATTTTTACTAATATTGGTTCAAAGAGATCTTTCCTTCTTGTGCAATCACTGTGGATTTCCTACCCCATACCTCTTCATTTCTCTCAATCAGTGTCTTCACATGTTTCATTCAGTTTTTCTCTCACTTTTACTTTCTATTTATTATAACCTAAAGTGTATAATTTAAAGACATCTTAGAGGTGATTCAATTCTACTCCATTTTACAGAAGTTCAGAGTGAAATGATCTTAATTAGATGGTTGGCCGGAAAAGAGCTGATTTTATAAAGAAAAAAAGTCACAAAAATAAATGTTTCTAATTGGCCACTTTGGTTCTAAAATCTCCGTATGGTCTTCTCTGTAATTTTAGACTTTGCACTACTAATGGGCAGGAAAATATTTGTACTATTTTACTAGTGACACATAGATAGCGATCTCCTTCTATTAGGATTCCAAGGTAGTGTAGGATAGAAAAGAGTGTGGGCTTTGAGGCTGGCAGATCTGAGTTGAAATTTTGGTCTGGCTCTCCACTAGCTATGCAATTATGGGAAGTTACTTATCCTTCTCTGAGTCTCCTTTCCTTCATTTGCAAAATAAGAAAATAACACATATAAAGCTCTTAGTGCATTTTATGAGCTCAAAAAGCATAGCCAGATAAGTAAGTTGGTTATAATAATGAAAGACAATGGATAAATATATTAAAAAAGCATGACAGCTGAGAGTGAAAGAGGAGAAAAAGGGATTGTGGCAGAGATAGTCTGGAAGAATAGGAAAGAATGGAAAACCAAATTGGATAAGAACTAGTTCAACTTGTATTCAGTTTAGTTCTAATACTTTAAAGCACACCTTTTTGTTTTCATTAGTGTACTTCTTGCACAATTTTAGCTCATATTGAACTTAAACATTTTCTTTTGTGGTCAAATTGTGTTTAAATTGTGTCTCTTTTATTTGTTTATATTAATGTTATTGTTCTCTGAGTAATCACACATTTTTATTTAATTTACAGGTGGCCGTTTGTTGCATCTGTTTTTTTGTTATTCTTCCTCTAAATCTTGTTGGTACAATACTTGGCCGAAATCTGTCAGGTCAGCCCAACTTTCCTTGTCGTGTCAATGCTGTGCCTCGTCCTATACCGGAGAAAAAATGGTAAAGAGAATGCTAAATCTTATGCGATTGTTTCACACAATATATAAGTTCTTAAGGCTGTTGTGTACATGTAACTTTAGAATTGGTATGTATTTATGATAATGACAATCTTAAGTTTGAGCCTAAGAAGTTCATTTTACTATTTCCTTTAACCTACATTGTTAAGAGTAATAATAAATTATACCCTTATTCCACTTTCTGAATATCGTGCCATTTAGAGTTAAGTCAAATGCTTTTCTATGGTGTAGAAGTGGGTGTGAACTAAAGCTGCAGTTTTACTAATCTGCAGGCCAAATCTGGCCTGCTCCCTGTTTTTATCTATAAAGTTTTGTTGGAACTCAGCCATGCCCATTTGTTTACATATTCTCTGTGGCTGCTTTTATAGTACAGCATCAGAGCTGGCAGATCAGTAATGTCAGAGATACTATCACATGCAGAACCTGAAATATTTACTATCTTTCCAGATATTTTAGTACTGTACAATTTAGTGTACATTTATTACATTCCCTATTTATAGGAATAGTTGTATAGTAAGTAGACTGCATTTTTATGATAACGGAGATATATATATATAAAGTCTCTGTCCCTAGATATTTTACCAGATTATAAATACAGCATATTCAGGTGCTTATACAAATAGGTGATAATTTTGCTCTGTCCCTTCTAGACATGGAGGCATGTAGACATTTATAGAAATGGAGGATGAATAAAATAGCCCCTATAGTTTGAATTGGCCATATTCTTTTCTTTCCTTAGATTGGTGCTTATGAGAGACTTTAGTTAGAACTTTTGTAGTTTATTATTTTATTTATTTATTTATTTTATTATTATTATTATTTTTGAGATGAGGTCTCACTCTGTGGCCCAGGCTGGAGTGCAGTGGTGTGATCTCGGCTCACTGCAAGCTCCACTTCCTGGATTCATGCCATTCTTCCGCCTCAGCCTCCCGAGTAACTGGGACTACAGGTGCCCGCCACCACGCCTGGCTAATTTTTTGTATTTTTAGTAGAGATGGGGTTTCACCGTGTTAGCCAGGATGGTCTCGATCTACTAACCTCGTGATCTGCCCACCTCGGTCTCCCAAAGTGCTGGGATTACAGGCGTAAGCCACCACGCCCAGCCTGTAGTTTATTTTTTAAAGTAATTTTTTTTTTGTAAATCAGTATGTTAGGACCCATCAATATCCTTACTGGGAAGGGTAAGTTTAAAGGAAAAGCATAGTCAGAAGTCACAAAAGTTCCTCTAAGTCACTAGGGCCAGTGAAGGAGAGGTCTGGTGAGAGCTTCCTCACCAGAGATGCATTGCAATTAGGTATAGGAAGGCTTGTGTGTGCCTCTGTTTTGGGGAGTATAATCCTGGGAACCTAAATCTGAATACTAGATCTGCCTCTCATTGACTGTGTCACCTTGGGCAGATCACTTTTAACCTCTGTGTCTTGGCTTCCTGTAAAGTAAGGAAAGAAGACTACATTAAATGATTTTTAAGTTTTTTTTTCAGCTCTCAAATTTTACCATTTTCTTCTCAGTTTTTTAGTTTGTTAATTTCATAGTTATTAGTTTAGGATCTTTTTTGTGCCAGGTATTGTGCTAGGCACTGGAAATACCTAGATGAATAGCTTCTGCCTGCCAGGGTTTATAATCTAGTGAGGTTTTTTATATATATGTACACACATGTATTTGGAATTGGACAGTTACAGTATAGCGTGGTAAGTACTGTGGTGGAGGTATTTTCAAGAGGCAGTGGAAGAATGGGAGAAGGACCCACCTCTTCCTGGGAGACTCAGCAAAGGTTTTAAAGGGAGAATATTTGAGCCAATGCTTTCAGGAGAGAAATACGAGACAAGAGAAGGCATCCAGGTGGGGAATTACCAATTACAGTCAGTAAATGTTTGTGGAATGAATGAATGAAGTTTCAATTTTATTTTTTATTTCTTTGGTGCCATTATAAATAAGAACTCATAATACCTTAATTGTATAATTTGTAGGAAAAGGAATTATAGAACCAAGGAGAGAGTGAGCAAAGAGATGGCAAGGCCACAATTTGGGAAACATTATTTCAAATGGAGGTCTCTAGACTCTTCGTTTCTTTCCCTTTGGCTTTTTGTGAATAAATGCCTGTAGAGTTCTAAGAAGTTATGGGAGTCTAGTAGAACCAGAGGGAACACTTAGAGACTTTTTGAAGTTCTGCCAGTGTCAGTAATTTGTGTTCTTCATATACTTGTCTCAGTCTTTAATGCAGAAAGAATATTGATTGTAACCTATGGCTAATTTGAAGTCCCACCTATGTATTGTGCCTCTTTGGGTTTTGGCTTTTCATTTTACTGGTTTGTTTCTATCCTTTAGAGATGATTTTTTAAGTGTCAAGTACCTGCTTTCTGTTATCAGTGTTTATATAACATGGAAATCATACTAGAAGTTTACTATTAATTTTAATATTTTCCAGGTTCATGGAGCCTGCGGTTATTGTTTGCCTGGGTGGAATTTTACCTTTTGGTTCAATCTTTATTGAAATGTAAGTTTTGATAATGTATTTATGTTTTGAGGGATTTGATTATAGTAAGACAATTTAGGAGTTAGGGAACATGTAAAGTTATCAGTTGGGAGAACATCTAATAATCTGTTAATTCCATGATTCCAGAAAGGGAATAGGCTATATAAAGGTAGCTGTTGGCTGTGTTCTTAAATATTCAAGTGATGTTTATACCTTTTTGTATTGTATTCTAGACCTCCCTCACCTAAGAGGAAATCTTAGAAATCAAAACTATGTGTTAAAGAATGGTAGACCAGCCTTTGATCATATGCATGATTTAAGGAATTCCTGGTTTTTATTGTATTTTAAAAATATTTCTGAGGATCTAGGGAACTAGGTAAACCAATACCTACTAGTCCGTCTAGGCCCTGACATCTTTTGATGCATAGTCATTTCCTAGGTTCCTTCCATAGAGGCCTGCAGGAGTGCTAGGAAGTGTGTATGTATTTAGAGATAAGAGGTATGCCACCTTGTGCCACTTACTGTGCTTTACATCTGCATCCTTTGTCACCATTGCAAAATAAAAAAGACTTTCTTTTCTTAGTCTATGTCCCCGTGCCCCCTGATGGGAATACTCTGGTTATTTTAGGCAAGAAAGTTCACCGTATGGGACTTTCTCAGGTATTGCAGCTGTACACCCTTGGCTCCTGTCCACTAAATACCAGTCATTGTGACAACTTAAAATAGCCTTACATGTTTCCAGATGCCCCACTGCTGATTGTCTCCTGTATGGTAGGAGTCTCCTTAACGGACGTAATTGGATTTGGTAGTTGGTTAATTGAAAAAGTTGGCTCATGTAAGATAATTATTTTAAAAGATACATACATAATATTTTAAGACAAGTAAATGTACGTCCACTGATTTTTTTTTTTTTAAATATAGAGCCATGGTCTTTTTTTTCATTGAAATTTTTTCATTTTTTTCCTTTGACATTGGTAATACAGATCCTGTGTTTTCCAGCCTTTTTAAAGTGAAGCAAGAACATAAAGTCCTATCTGAAGCATTCTAAGTGCAGAATCCTTCTAGATTTGTACATTTGTCCCCCAGTCTATAGCCGTCTCAATCACATCGAATTTTATAACTTTTTAAAAGGGACTCACCTTATTGAATCTTTCCAAAGCATTCAACATAATTTTTATAGTAACCACACATCCTTTTTACTCTGATGTTTATTGGTTTATGTAACATTTAATTTAGTCAGTTTAGTCTAATGGTACTAACAGGTACAACTGACATAAATAGATATGGACCAACTCTTGGTTGTCACTTACCAGCTCTGCATATGCTATGGGCATTAGTACCTTAGGAGTTGGAGTGTGTGTCTCTGTAACTCGTGGTTTATTAAAGTCAGTTCAGGAACTTCTTTAGTTCCAGTCTGACAATGCTTTGTGCCTTTATTCAGACTTGACCTGTGACTTCTTTTTCCCTTCTACCCCTGTCCCCAGTACTTCTGAACCACATGTCTTTGTGCTTCTCCAGGCACTGTGTTCCACTAGATAACTTCTCTGCTGTTTCTTCAACTTATCTTCTGTTTTGTCCACCTTCAAACCCATTCTCCTACCCATTTGGTAGCCAAAGTGGTCTTTTTAAGGTGTCATGTCATTTCTTTACTTAACACTTCTTATTTTAATTGAGGTGAGGTCCCAACACCATAACATGGCCATTAAGGGTCTTTATAACGTAAGAACTGGCCCTGTTCACTTCTCCAACTTCATTTCTTAGTTCTTTCCCCTTCATTTAAAGTATTAGCCATAGTGACTAAGAAAAAGAGGGTGAAAGGCTCTGTTGTAATTTAGTGATGACTTGATAATGGATTAGAGTGAAAGATCTTTTTCTTAATTAAAAATCTTAAAGCCTTTTCCCTTGCTGTCCTCTGAAGACAGTGTGAATCTTCTTCAGGCCTGCTTTTCCTAATTTTATACATTATTGCTCTAACTTATTTTTCTACTTATTATTTTATTTTCTATTTAATAAAATACAAACTACATTGCTTGAATTGTGTTGTATCTACAAAACAATATGGATACAAATACGGATTTTTTAGCTATTTTCATTTGTTCTTTTCTACATTATACTTCTTGAAGCTTCTGTTTTATTCAGTTTGTGTAGAGGTGAATGCCCTACTGAAGAATCTGTTTTTCAAAGATTATCCAAGAAAATATTTTTTGAGAGAATTCTAGTGGATTTAATTGATGAAGACATGGTAAGAGAAGCTGTTGGAAGATACTTGAAAGAAAGTCATTAAGTGAGAAAAAAATGAGAACTAAAATGTGAGACTCACGAAGAGCAGAGTGAGCTTTAAGAATAAAGACTGGAAACCTGTGTCTTTATTGCATTTACTTAGGTATTTCATCTTCACGTCTTTCTGGGCATATAAGATCTATTATGTCTATGGCTTCATGATGCTGGTGCTGGTTATCCTGTGCATTGTGACTGTCTGTGTGACTATTGTGTGCACATATTTTCTACTAAATGCAGAAGATTACCGGTGGTAAGTACCTATTTGTGGATAGAAATTTGGGGAACCATAATATTTTAAAATAAGATTTCCTTTGAAATCTATCAAGTGGAGTAAAGAGCTGTATAGAAATGTTGTTACTTAAAATAGCATAGGGATTTTTTTCCAGTTATAAAAATGATACATATTTTAGAGAAAAAATATCAAATTTTTAATGTATTAATGGAGTACTGTGTTAGAAATATTTTTTACAAAGTGCTTGATATGAAAAGAGTTTTATGAGAAGCATTGCTCCATTCTAAACACAAGGAAACTTAGATATGAAAAAGGAAATGGTGTATTTATGGTCACTGGTAATAGGGAATCTGACAAAATTCAAGATTGAGCTTTCTAATTCTTAGATGTTTTCCTTGTTGATAAATTTGAATACCATGTCTATGCATTTGTTTTTTAAATAAGTTTTAAAGGACTTTAAAGGATGTTTTATTAAATTCTTTGCTTTAAAATCTTTGTTTTAGTGCCATTCATTCAAAAGAGATTTATCTTCTTTCCCCCTCCCCCCACCAGGCAATGGACAAGTTTTCTCTCTGCTGCATCAACTGCAATCTATGTTTACATGTATTCCTTTTACTACTATTTTTTCAAAACAAAGTAAGTGGAGACATTTTTTTACCTTTTATTTAGGAAACTAAATTTGTCCTTTAAATACTAATATTTAAGGCCTTAAGTTGAAAGTAAAACTGGATATCCTATATATATTTTGTTTTATTTCAGGATGTATGGCTTATTTCAAACATCATTTTACTTTGGATATATGGCGGTATTTAGCACAGCCTTGGGGATAATGTGTGGTAAGTTTTGAAATTCTTTGAACATCATGAGTAAATCTGAGTTTCTCTAAATCCGAAAAATACAGTAATTGGAAATTAAGAAATTTTATCTGTTGTTTGATCAGAAACACCAAAATAAACCCGAGTCTGATTTCAGTCCTTTTGACTCTTCCCCACAACATAATTTATTACCTTATTAATTTCTATTTTTATAGAAATTCTAGTAATTCTGTATAGCACAGAATTTCATATCACAGTTTTTCATTCATGTTGAGAATTGGCTTTTTCATTTTATTTATTGTTTTTAGAGACTCAGCTTCTTAACTAGCTGGGACTACAGGCACATGCCACTGTGCCTGGCTTGAGAATTGGCATTTTTTAAAGCTTAGGTTCAATGGAAGATCATGATGTAGGCATGTTAAGGTGTTGCCTGAATGATTCCTGTTTGGAAACTTCTCAGAGTATTCTTGGAGAAACCAGGAGACACCTAGGAGACAGCACAGTTTACTTGTTATGATTGCATACTTGGGTATCTACAGACTGGACTTAAGTTCTAGCTGTACCATATGTATGCTTTCCACCTTGATCTAGTTCCCCAAGCTCTCTAAGCTTCTGTAAAGTGGGGATAAAACCACTATTTATGGATCTATCATAATCATCTATTAAAAGGAAGAGGTAATAGTTTTCACCATGTGATAGAATCTCTAGAATGTGTGAAATAGCTAGAAAATAAAGAACTTTTGGAAACAGTATGATAAATGGGAAAGGCATAAGCATGAGAGCCTGAAAGCACTGGAATAAATGTCCATGCTGTTGCTCAGCTTTTTTTATGGCCATGGAGGTCACATTAACCTTTCTAAGTCTCATTTTTATCTGTAAAATGGGCATATCTTTCAGAGTGGTTGTGAGGAATAGTGTCATGTGTGTAAAGCACCAAGTGTAGTGTTGGGACTGTTATTAGGTAGTAACGATAGCCATTTACATGGTGAGATATGGAAAGAGCTGGCCTTTTGGGGTCAGTCTGTTCTGGGTGTGAACTCCCCACTTAATAGCCATGTTACTCTGGCCAAATTATTTAACCTTTCTTCCTCAACTTTACTCATTTGCAAAATAGAAATAATACCTACCTCATAGGGCTATAAAGAGGATTCAGTGATTAAATGTGGATAAACATCACGTGGCTGGTAGATGCTCAGTGAGGGGTAGCTGCTGCTGCTATTGATGAAGGCTGAAAGTCCTTGGGCTTCCTTCTGCTCTGGAATTGTGTCTGTGTTTCTGCACAGTCTCTGTGGGATTCTACACCTTGTGTTTTCATCTCAGAACAACTTTATGACTCTAAGTTCTGGCAGAGGTAACTTAAGGGAAACTCATACAAGTAACTCACTTTTTTTTGGGCTCAGTGTTTTACTTGATAAATGAGACTGGTCCCTTAATTACTTTGTAGGAATGATGTGTTTTACTTGATAAATGAGACTGATCCCTTGGTTACTTTGTAGGAATGATGTAAGGCTGCGGGACTAATCATGGTGGAAACATTTCCAGAGAGTGGATAATTTTCCTCCTTTTTCTGTTACTTGCCATTGGCTATTTATGTATGTATGTGTGTATTTGATAATTCCACCTTTGGCTATATAAGATATATATAAGATATGGTAATCTTATTAAAAGCTAAGTCTTGGTATGACATTTATGGACACCTTTGGGGTACCAAGATTGCTTTGTTTCTCCATCAAAAGAGCCTGTTCAGTTCATATACACTATGTATGTGATCATGTGTGTGCGCACACACAAATGAGATTGTCCGTAAAGTAGTGAATGAAACATTCCACAAGGAAAGATCATTCTCTATGTTATAGTCACATGTTTTATTTATAGCTGCTGTGATAGCCATTCCCTGTGATAATTAGTAACCAACTTTGAGAGAAAGATGAGAGGGACTGAAGGTTAAAACTACATTGTGTCAGGTGGAAACATCCCTATTCTTGGACAGTCAGAAGGTTCCTTATTATTTGCCATCCTTTCTTCAGAGTATTGTTCACTGGACTCCTCTTTATTTTATCTGAGATTTTTCTTGATTATCACCAGCATTCAGTGAGGTATAGAATCGATTATGCAGAGAGTTAAAAAAATTTTTCTTGACTTGACTTTTTCTATATGTGATCTTAGGAAGACCCAGAGAGGTAACATCTTGACATTTACAAAGAAAATGGAATGAATCTAGCTAAATTTTTTGAGTGCTTTTCCTGCTGAAATTTCATCTTGCTGCCTGAAAACCTTGGCACATTTACAGTTCCCTGCTGTTCTGGCAATGTCCCAGCATTTATTCTTTAATGGGTTTATATGCCTTCAGTACTTCATTTTTCAGGGGCAGGTGGGGAGAAACTGTTTAGACTGGAAGTCATTAGAATGTCATCATAATACAAAAATTATATATATCCATCAATTTATGTTGCTAAAATGCTTGTCAGTAATTAAAACAAAAATATTTGTTGATTTTTTTTAATGTAGGAAAAAATGACTACATTAAGGTGGGATATTATGAGCATAGCATTTTTGTTTTGAGGAATTAAGTTTAAAAGTGCACCTCTATTATTCCTAAGATATTTACTTTTCTAGAGGGCATATTCAGTATTCTCTTTTTATAAAGTCATGCCCTTGTAAGTTTATTCTTGAGGTACTCATAAGATTAGGAAAAATGATTCTCTAGGTTGAAACTGTTTTGATTTTAAGCATATTTCTGCTCAAAGGGGAACAATGTTTTGTACGTCTGGAAAATTGGATTTGGTTATTGGACTAGTATTATACCATTAAAATTTTTGATGCTAATTAAAATTTTATACATCTTTTCGTGTCGTAAGGATTCAGGTATATTTTCACAAAATTGAATGATTTTTCTCTTATCCTGTAAAGAATTGTATTGTAACTATTCTAAAATGCATTATCAATATTTTAAAATGTAATATTGTTATTTCCTATTATAAAAGAAATGTCATTGCAAAAATAAGTGGAAATAGTGTTGCTTTGTCACTTTGGTTTTTTGTATTTTAATATTTAATAAAGGGAAACTTTGAAATACATACAAAAATAGGGACAATACTATATATAGTGAGTCCCCATGTACTAACACCCAGTGTCAGTAATTATCAACTCATGGCCTATCTTGTTTTATTTATATTCTCACTTTGTATCCCCCCCTTTTATTCTGACATGAATCTTAGACCTTATGTCATTTCAAGTGTAAATATTTCAGTATATGTCTCTCCCTGAAAGATAAATGTAATTTCTTAATATGATGGAATAATTCAGTTAATGTTCAGATTTACCACACTTGCAATGACTTCTTTTTAAATATAGTTTGTTTGCTTTGAGATCAATTAAGATTCATGAATTGCTTGGCTGAAATGTCTCTTAAGGCTCTTTTAGTCTATAGATATTCTCTCTCTCACTTGCAGTTTATTTTTAAAACTTAAACAATTTCTGTAGAATTTTCCAGACTCTGGATTTTGCTGATTATATTGCTGAAGTGTCATTTAAAGTTTCTTCAAGTGGTAGTTAGATCTGTAGGCTTGATCATACTCAAGAATACTTGTCCAAGAATGTTTAACAGGTGGTTTGTAAGCTTTTATCAGGAAAGCACATAATTTCTGGTTCTATTTCTTTGTGAAGTTAGCAGCCATTGATAGTTATTGCCTAGCTCAAATAATTCATTAGTGGTTATAATATTCTAATTCTGTTGTTCCTTTTATATTTGTTAGCTGGAATACTTCCATAAGGATAACCTTCCTTTCATCAACCAGTTGGTAGCCTTGGGGTATAGTTCATACATAGGAGAAACAGGAGAGATGCTTGATTCTTGCCTTTCATTCACCAGTTTAGTGAATAAAAGATTCACTAAAAGATTCGTTCAAGGATGACTAGGCATTTGTGTGTGCACTTAATATTACTAATTAATGGAAGGTTTTCTTTTAAGCTTTCAATAATATTGGGCTACATCATAAATTCCTGAGGCCAATGGAGATTTCTTCTCTGACAGTTCAATAACCAACTGCATTGTCCTAAAGAGCCCTTAGTAGGTTGGTACAAAAGTAATTGTAAAGCTGCAAATACTTTTGCACCAACCTATATTTGCAATAAAGAACCATCTAGTTCATTCATTCATTCAACAAATATTTACCAAGTATCTTATATGCCAGGCACTCTTTTAGACACAGGAGATAAATATTTTACTTAACAAAACAAACATCCCTGATTTCTGGTGTTTTAAGCTCTGGTTGAGGCTAATTGTTAAAAAACAACATTTCAAAACTTCTGACCCACTTACCTCTCTGTCCTGTCTATTCCCGCAAATATGTCATCCCTACTACCAACTACACAGCTTCTACAACTTAAAAATAAAAAAGAAGCTGTCAGAAAATGCCTCTTCTCTAGAGCTTCAACTGCTATTGGGACATGGTTCCCTGTCCTTCCTTAAGAGAATTTTCAGTCACTTCTAACTATTTATCTATTGGATTTTGGGAAGATATATTGATTTTTACTTTAATGACCTAGAATAGTATATCTTCAAATCAAAGAAGGCATGTTTTTTGATTTAACAACCTTTTGCCATTATCAAATTATTCTTGCTTTATAAGAGATGTATTTTAATTCTGTAGTTACTGATTATACAAGAAATAATTGCTACTTGATTAGACTTGGCGTATGATGGTCAGACTCAGTGTATTATGGTATCAGGTGATTTGCAAAGCAAATGATACAGTTTTAGTAAGTTCAGAGAGAATACTAACATAAGGATATTTTCTTTAAAAAAGAATAACTTTCCAGAGCATAGAGTATTTAGTGTTTTTAAATGATGGATACTGCTCTGTATGTATTTGTTTCAAAACATCTTATTTTATCTTTGCAGGAGCGATTGGTTACATGGGAACAAGTGCCTTTGTCCGAAAAATCTATACTAATGTGAAAATTGACTAGAGACCCAAGAAAACCTGGAACTTTGGATCAATTTCTTTTTCATAGGGGTGGAACTTGCACAGCAAAAACAAACAAACGCAAGAAGAGATTTGGGCTTTAACACACTGGGTACTTTGTGGGTCTCTCTTTCGTCGGTGGCTTAAAGTAACATCTATTTCCATTGATCCTAGGTTCTTCCTGACTGCTTTCTCCAACTGTTCACAGCAAATGCTTGGATTTTATGCAGTAGGCATTACTACAGTACATGGCTAATCTTCCCAAAAACTAGCTCATTAAAGATGAAATAGACCAGCTCTCTTCAGTGAAGAGGACAAATAGTTTATTTAAAGCATTTGTTCCAATAAAATAAATAGAGGGAAACTTGGATGCTAAAATTACATGAATAGGAATCTTCCTGGCACTTAGTGTTTCTATGTTATTGAAAAATGATGTTCCAGAAAGATTACTTTTTTCCTCTTATTTTTACTGCCATTGTCGACCTATTGTGGGACATTTTTATATATTGAATCTGGGTTCTTTTTTGACTTTTTTTTTTTCCCAATCCAACAGCATCCTTTTTTTTAAAAGAGAGAATTAGAAAATATTAAATCCTGCATGTAATATATCTGCTGTCATCTTAGTTGGACCAACTTCCCATTTATTTATCTTAAAACTATACAGTTACATCTTAATTCCATCCAAAGAAGATACAGTTTGAAGACAGAAGTGTACTCTCTACAATGCAATTTACTGTACAGTTAGAAAGCAAAGTGTTAAATGGAGAAGATACTTGTTTTTATTAAACATTTTGAGATTTAGATAAACTACATTTTAACTGAATGTCTAAAGTGATTATCTTTTTTCCCCCCAAGTTAGTCTTAAATCTTTTGGGTTTGAATGAAGGTTTTACATAAGAAATTATTAAAAACAAGGGGGGTGGGTAATAAATGTATATAACATTAAATAATGTAACGTAGGTGTAGATTCCCAAATGCATTTGGATGTACAGATCGACTACAGAGTACTTTTTTCTTATGATGATTGGTGTAGAAATGTGTGATTTGGGTGGGCTTTTACATCTTGCCTACCATTGCATGAAACATTGGGGTTTCTTCAAAATGTGTGTGTCATACTTCTTTTGGGAGGGGGGTTGTTTTCTTCTGTTTATTTTCTGAGACTCCTACAGGAGCCAAATTTGTAATTTAGAGACACTTAATTTTGTTAATCCTGTCTGGGACACTTAAGTAACATCTAAAGCATTATTGCTTTAGAATGTTCAAATAAAATTTCCTGACCAAATTGTTTTGTGGAAATAGATGTGTTTGCAATTTGAAGATATCTTTCTGTCCAGAAGGCAAAATTACCGAATGCCATTTTTAAAAGTATGCTATAAACTATGCTACTCTCATACAGGGGACCCGTATTTTAAAATCTCCAGACTTGCTTACATCTAGATTATCCAGCACAATCATAAAGTGAATGACAAACCCTTTGAATGAAATTGTGGCACAAAATCTGTTCAGGTTGGTGTACCGTGTAAAGTGGGGATGGGGTAAAAGTGGTTAACGTACTGTTGGATCAACAAATAAAGGTTACAGTTTTGTAAGAGAAGTGATTTGAATACATTTTTCTGGAACTATTCATAATATGAAGTTTTCCTAGAACCACTGAGTTTCTAGTTTAATAGTTTGCTATGCAAATGACCACCTAAAACAATACTTTATATTGTTATTTTTAGAAAGACTCAAAACACCTGTATTTAAACCTTAATATGAAAATCATGCAATTAATAGTTACACAAGATGTTTTCATTACAAAATATGTACCTATCTATTGATGGACTCTACATCCTATATTGTGACATGTAAGTCCTTTAAAAGGTGAAAAGTATGATTTCTTACCACTTAAGTATGATTGATATGATCCAACAAATTTGATCAGAAGCTGTAGGTAAATCCTCTTCTGAAGCCAAAATGGTATATTAAATATAATTTATTGGTACTTCCATTTTCTCTTCCTTCTTACTTGCCTTTAAGATCTTATAAAAAAGAAACTAAAAGTTAATATTTAGTTGCCTATATTATGTAACCTTTTAACTATATATAAAGTACTTTTTTGGTTTCTTTCTCACCACTTTTATTCAAAAGTACTTTTAACATACCAATACATAGTCTGTCTGATGGGAGTATAAATTGGACAGTAAGGTTTTGTCTTAATAAAATGAAATTTGTTTCTCATGATATGAATCTTGCAGGTAAGATGTAGGGTTTATTGAAAATGTGTGGGTTAAATGCTTTCAGGTACACCAATTCTTTCTACTAAATTGAGCTCTATTTGAAGTTCTTTGGAATCTGTGGTGAAAAATAATTTTCTGATTTCCAAATACATTAAGAGCATTAAATGAATATTAATCACCTTTAAAGTCTTTTAGAAAAGGACTTGTATTGGTTTTTGGCTGCATAGAGGGGTTGAATAAGTGTATGTATGTGTGTGCGTGTGTGTGTGTCTTCTTAAAGAAGATGTAATTCACAAATAGTTTAGCTCCCTAGCGCTCAGTTGTAGAATAGAAAATAGAACATTATTCAAGTTAATTGAAAGGTGAGGTTTTTATACCCCCACTAATGCTGTGTATCTGTCTTTCGTTTGTTAACATTATTTGCTTAATTTCTTTCAACTCACACTTTGGATAATACTATCAAAAACTAAGGCTAAACATTCCTTGTGTATCTTTAAGCATGCTTCTCCTGAAATTTAACTACATTAGTAGTTGACATTTGTATACATATATCCTAATACAAGAGTAGGATAAGGTGGAAATGTAATGGCCTGAGGGATGGTGAAGCATTCTTTTAGTATTTTTCATCATGTTGGGCTCCTAGATTGTACTGGGGTTGCCCATAAATCAAACCCCATACTCTTAGAATTCATTATATTATGGTGATATCCGAACCTAGTGAATGGTATGCTTGGGTGTTTTCCATTGAGAGTGGATGGACCTCTTTATAAAGTTGGTTGCTGCAAAATCCAGTTCTTCCAAAAGCCACTTTATTTAGGGTTTATTCACAAGTCATATCCATTTTGGTACAGTGTTTGTTTCCTAATATTTATTAACCACCTTATACCAAATGTCTTGCAAAGAAATGTTATTAAAACCTTGAATTTTTACAAATGTAAAAAACAAAAAGTGTATTAATGTATTTGTTCAGGAAAAGCTACATACCGAAGGGCTTTTGTATATGAATTCTGTGGTGGGGAGACCCATTTGTAATCTATATGGCAGTTCCATCTGGGTTTTAAGTTTAGATTTCACCGTGTCTTAGTGCTTCATTCTATTGGTTTATTGGAACATGTAATAAATAGGAGTAGTGATGTATTAAAACACAAGTATTCATTAATGTTTTATATCTTCACTAAAATTCTATAGTTATGAAACTATCAATCAAGGTGTTATATTTCAGTCAGAAGTGAAAATTTATGAAGAGTATTTGGAAGTGTGTACAGAAATAAACTAGACTTACAGGTAGGCTAGATCAGAACGTTAACATATGAACCTGCAGAAATCTGGTAAGACTTAAATTCAGTGTGAGGAATAACTCTAGTTCTCTCCTATGAGCATTTCCTAAAAGCCATCTGATTTGGCATTCTTACTGGAGCTGCAGACAGAAATCTACAAAGACAAAAGTAAACAAAATTAAGTTATTATTCCACTGTTAGGAATGGAAATAAACTTGTGAAGTCTGTTTATTTTGAAGTATTGGTGAACTAGGCTTGCTAATTGATAACTGCAGCAGTTTGTGTTTACTCCAGTTCATCAGCTTAGGTCATTTGAAAGATATAAGAGCTTAAGGCAAGAAAGAAATAACATGGAATTCTATTTGAAGGACAACAGAACATTCTTGGAAAAGCAGCTCCAGTTGGTTTTTCAACTGTCAAACTTGAATGTGTAAGTCCCCACAGAGCATGGACAGTCGGTGCAGAGTTCCAAGGAAACAATTATTGCCTGATGACCACTTCCATTTTGTATACACTCTTTGGTTCGTATAGGCCATATTCCAACTGGCTTTTTAGTAATAGAAATCCAGTATATAATGTATCAAATACAATTGAGGTTCTAACCTAGTGTGTTAATTTATCTGAATTTGGATTTTTAAAAAGTAATAAAAAGTTAAATGTACTTCCTTTGGATTCCTTATTTCTTTCCTTTTTGAAACATGAACCAAGCATAAGGGATAACCCATTATTGACAGGCAAATGAATAACTTAGTAATAGTTTTCCACAATTAAAGCAGGGGTCTGCAGACTTTTTCTGTGAAGGTCTAGATAGTAAATACTTTCAGCTTTGAGGGCTATGCAGTCTCTGTTGAAACTATCGTTGTAGCACCAAAGCAGCCATAGTAGACTACATAAACTAATGAGCATGGCTATGTTCCAGTATAACTTCACAAAAATGGCCCACAGGCCATAGTCCGCTAACCCCTGGAATGATGTATTTAAAATTTAAGGTTTAAATTTGTATTTCAAAAGTGAACTGTAATATACAGTAAAGTTGAGAGAATGGTCCAGTGAATAAGATTGGTCTTTCTTAAGAATGATTTTTCTTTTATTGCCATTCTTTTGACTTTTTTGTATACCTATTCTGACTCTTACACTCAGACTTTACCATCTATTTGCCTGCCATCCTCTGATTGATGATTCTTTGCATTTGTTTAGCATTTACTACTTTTTCAAAGCAGTTTCACTTGTTCCTTCACAACCATCCTGTGAAGCTGGTAGAGTAGATAGCTGTGTTTTATGGATAAGAAACCACAGCTAAAGGTGCTCTTATGTTTAGCCCAGAAGTCATCAAGATTCAGGGCCCTGTTGTCTTGACTATTGTAACTGTAAAATGGGGGTGTCACCCTCTCTAGCCTGGGAGGCAGGTAATATATGTAGAAGTCACATTGAAAATTAGTGTTCTATACGAATGGAAGAGATTATTTTTATTGTGCCACATTGAAATCAGTGGTTAATTTCTCCATGTCTATTTGTATGTTTTGTTTTTCCGTTTCTGACTAGTTTTTAAAAATCCTGACCAACCTCCTTGGTTCTTTTCCCCTAGTTTTATTAGGTGCCTCAGTCAACACCTGTACTTGGCAATTCCCGTTAGCCACATCATTGGTACAAATTTGGATTACTTTTTATTTCTTTAATGAACACTTTTTGTCTGGTTGGAAAACTAAGGACAGAAGGGACTCGTATGCAGCCAGCTTCTTGATTTCAAGTGAACTATTTTTGTGGAACTGTTACTCTGCAATATAACATTAGAAAAGGGGGGAATAAGCCTAATTGGGACATGTGGAATCAGTGTAGTTTACAAATGTATTTTAAATTACTTGATTATTTGAAATGATTTTCAAAGTTTGCACGATTACTTTGCTTGACAGCGATTTCAAAGGAAAAAAATGTGGGAGATGGTTGCAGGGGAAAATTGATATAAGTGGGGCTGGCCAATGTTATGGTTATTCTTAGTGTCTCAGTCTAAGCCACTAGGATTGCAAGACTTAATATTGAAGGTCAGTGAAGAAAAGGGAGAGTCTAGAAAGTGAGACATGGAAGGTGATTCTAAGTTGGGGTTGGTCAGAGAGGTCTGCTGCAGTTATAGACCAGAAAGGGCAGTCCTGGATAGGTAAGTGTCACAGATAGGGTAGCTGCAATGCTGGCATGAGGATGTGGGATATGCGATTATCAGTGTGTCCCAGGCAGAGACATGGAGGGTGTGAAGCAGCCTTGTTAGGATGACTGCAGGGTGTTTTAATGCCAGAAGACTGGAATGTGGGAGTTGTAAGGAGCCAAGACTGGAAAGGTGAAAGGAAGGCTTGATGATGGACGGAGGACCTGTTATGCCACCCTGAAGAACTTGAATAAAGGTTTTGGAGAGCCAGGAAGGGTTTTAAGCAGCTGCTAAAAATTGTAGTATCTTTAATTACATTCTCCAGAAAACTGAGTATCTTCTCAGTGGTGAGCAATGTAAATGAAGGAATGAGCTGGCCTGGAACAAATTATCATGTATAGTCGCTTGGAAAGGCAAAATGAGAAAGTGGCCCAGGTGGATAAAACTCAGTAGACTTGAAGGGGCAAGAGAACCCAGTTACTCTGGGTGGGAGATGGACATCTAAGAGGAGAAAAACACTTGTTCAGGTTCACAGAGGACCCAGAGATATGGCAGAGGAAACCCTGAAGTAATTATTAATGTAATAATGGAGCTAAGTTGAGCAGTTTTATGTCATAAAGCCTGTTACTCTACCTCCAGTTTTTTCATGGTTTTTAAATTAAAGAAAAATACATTATAAAAATCATCTAAACCCAGATTAGAGTTTAGCTTTTATAGTTCTATCTTATGGTGTCCCTTTTCAATTATTCTTTTCTGATCTTTCTAGTGAACCAAATATTTTGTTGCCATTTATTGGTTGATAGCCAAAGTAGCAACTAAACTGGCCTTCTACTTTAATAACATAAAACTGTGCAGCTTGTTCATTCTTCAACACCACTGTCTTCAAAATATTTGGACAAAGGGTGTTGGTGAGAAGACCTGGCCACTACTCACCAGCTGGGCATTAGAGGTCATAAAAGCTCACAACCTCATTGCTTGCACAAGAGGTGGCCTCTCATGTCTATTTTCCAGAGGAATTCCCTTCTAATAAGGAAGCCAGTTGGTGGTTTGCCTAGTGCCATCTGGAGACCTGGAAGTGTCACAGAAGTTTGTTAGGCCTTTTAGATGTTGACTCTTTGGACTCGTCTACTGAGAGGTGATGACCTTCATGGGGGTGAATGCAGAGAGCTATGGCGTTGGGTTTGACTCCTGGCTTTCAGGCAGAAATGCATGCCATTCAACCCCCTCCCACTCCTTTGCCTATGCGCTGGCCACTTGGCCTTCCTGCCATTTGGTGGCATTTATCCTCTTCAAATTCCTTCCTTCCACCTGCCAGTTTCTAACCAGATCTTGCCCTGTCTGGCTCCATTCTGTATGTTATGTGCCCATTTGATGAAAACAGCATGAGGCAGGGTCAACATTGCATTTCTTTCTAAGAACGAGGACAAAATATGAGTAGCATCCTTCCAATAGTTAACTTTTAGCCCTTTACTTGTGTGAAGGACTTGTTATCCCAGTTGATAGATGAGAAGACAGATGACCATAAGTGCAAGAAATTCAGAGTTTGATGTGAAGCCCAGCTCTGGGCTCCCTGTTGACTATTTTGTCATTGATGTATGTGAAACCATGTGGAAATCCAAAAGGAAAGTTGTCCATTTTTCTGCTTGCAGTTTAAATTGAAAAAAGATTCTACTGGGCATGATGCAAAACATTTCTACACATACACATTTGTGTGTTATAGTTGACAGGGCCATTTTACTTGCATAAAAAGATCTTTGAAAAGCCTCACAGTAATAATACTTTTTATATCTCTAAATCAAAATGGCTCAGTTCTGAGAATTTTTACATTTTAGGTACAAAATAGAAGTGGGTTTCAAATAGCTCTTGATTAGTGTCATTATTTGGGCATATGTTTTTAATTGGCAAAAAAAAAACAGACTTCAGAAATTGGTCATTTTTATTCCATCAAGTTAACGGTGAGTGGCTTATTTAATAAAAACATGTCTGTAATTTAACACAAGTAGCACGTACAGCTGTTCATTTGTGTCTTTTTGACTGTGTGAAGCATCTTAGACGGTTTTACTGAAAGATAGGGTCACCGAGAGGGGAAATCTGTGGACTTAAATCTTTTTTCATTACCTATCGCCGGCCACTAGGTTAGGTTAGTTGCCGCCAGCAAGCGCCCTTCATGGCTCGACTAGGGAATGTGGAGAGAGCTGAGAGAATCGAAATCCTCGATTTTTTTTTCTTTGCTGAGAGGGACCTGAGAGACATTCACTCATCCCTGCAAAGAAGCAGCTGCCCGAATGCACATAGCCAGTTGGTAGTGACATGAATCCGTACACAGGGCTCCTGGTCCAGCGCTCCGAGTTCTAACCACTCTGGCCACGTGTGCATCGGGGAGTTGTAAAGTGAGTTATGGAAATAAAACAAGGCGAGAAGCCCAGTCCCGATCTTCAGGAGCAGCATTCTCGGGAGCCAGAGGCCGAGGTGGCGCCCCGGGCAGGCGCCTTAGGCTGGGTGGGTGCGGAGCTGGCCCCGGCCTTTGGCTCCAGCATCTTCACCTCGCTCGCCTGCCTCCGAAGTTGCGAAGGTGCCGGGAAGAGGAGGGGCCTCGCCTCGGGCGCCCGAGTGATTGGCTGCTTAGGGCCCCGGGCGAAGGCTGTGTGGTCCAGCCCTGGTGGAGAGGGGCGGAGCGGCCACTGCTCCAACCACCGCCGCCACCGCCACACTCGCAGCCGCCGCAGCCTCGGCCGCCGGGCAAGTAGCTCCGAGCGGCTGCTTCCCGGTTGCCTCGACGAAGACAGGGGGCGCCGCGCTCCGCTTGCTCCGCGCCTGAGCCATGCCCAGCAGCCCTGTGTAACCACCGAGTCCCGGCCGGAGCCGACCGACCCAGTGTGCGCCGTCTTTCGGCCGAGCTGAGCTTTCGTGCACGCAACTCCCTCTGCCCCAGCCGGCCCCGCGCCACCATGCCCCGGGCGACTGCACTTGGGGCCCTGGTGTCACTGCTGCTGCTGCTGCCGCTGCCTCGCGGCGCCGGGGGACTCGGGGAGCGCCCGGACGCCACCGCAGACTACTCAGAGCTGGACGGCGAGGAGGGCACGGAGCAGCAGCTGGAGCATTACCACGACCCTTGCAAAGCCGGTAGGTGCCGCCGCTGGGGAAGTCCCGCAGAAGTTTGCCTTTGAAATGCAAATGAGGTGGTGGGCAAGCCTGCACTA
This sequence comes from Homo sapiens, assembly GCF_000001405.40. Lineage (NCBI taxonomy): Eukaryota > Metazoa > Chordata > Mammalia > Primates > Hominidae > Homo > Homo sapiens. Next base: position 96,513,433 of record NC_000010.11, on the reverse strand, counting down.
CCGTCTATGGGGCGGGTCTCCCCTCCCCTCCCCTGAGATCCCCGGCTCCCCCGGAAGACAATGCCTCCGAGGAATTGCTTAAAAACCACTCCGAGGCTGGGATGTCCCGGCCCCAGGTTTGCGGTGCGCACCGGGGGGCGACAGCTGGCGCGTTCCCAAAGCGAATCAGAGCGGGTGCCAGAGGCCGAGAGGGCGCCCAGGGGCCGGGGTGGGTGCCAGGGCCGCCTGACAGCGAGTGGGCAGCACTGGCCACCGCCAGACGCTCCGGGCCGGAGCAGAAGAGCTGGACTGGGCGCGGCGCTCCGAGGCTCAGATGGAGTTCCTGGCTCCGATTTCACAGCATTTTTAAGTTTCGCGCAAAGTTTCCCAAGATCTGTGGTTACTCTTGGGAGATTTTAAAAAGAAAAGCGTCACAGCGGGCAAAAGGAAAGGGGTCGCCGAGGGAGAATGAGCAAGACTCGAATAGCCGGAAACTTCCCTGTAGCGGTACCGGCCTGAGGGTCGCTCTGGGCGGGCGGAGATGGAAGCCGGCAGGTGCTCTAATCCCTCCAGGAAGCGGCGCCCCAGGACGTACGGGCCTTTCGGGCGCAATCGCCGCCCGGGCGCTGCAGCTCCCGCTTCCTCGGGGCCACTGATCGGCTCGTGAGTCCTGAGGGGAGCGGCTTCCGAGCTGGAGTCGTTGAAGCGTTAGCCTCCGAAGGGCCAAGCGCATGTTCCAGCAAGCTGATGAGTGTGGGGCAGTTCCAGCACGGACAGAGGGGTGCTCACGCTCACGCTCCCAGGGAGATGCTGGGCTCAGAGGCTCGCACAGACGCTCCTGGCCCATGGCCAGTGTCCCGCGAGTAGTGGTGTTTATCTCCGGCTTTGTGGGGCCCCGTTTCACTTGGCGGTCGGCAGAGAAGAATGGGGAGGGAAGAGCGCGACCTCCACCCTCGGCGAGGCAGGTGCTCCTTCCCGGGGCTGTGGCCGGCCAGGTCTCTGCGGGGCCTGTGGGCCAGTGGTTGCCCCTTCACGCCCTGGAAACCTCTATCAGTTCCAGGTTACTCATCTCTAAATTGGTGGCAGTAATTATAGGAGGACTCAGGTGATTTGTGGGAAAATTCTCTGCAAGTGAAATGATGGCATTGTCGTTATTTTTTATTGTTTCTATCACTGCAGTGGCTCGGGTCTAGGCTGGGGGTTGGGAGGGTCAGAACTGGGTAAAGTCTGGGGAAGACCAGGTTACTAGGAGGCAGGAGGAGTTTGTGAGACTTGAGAATCTTGTGAAGGTTTGAGATCAAACTAGTCTTGAGGGGCCTGGTCTTAGTAAGGGAAGTTTCCTGCAGAATATCTACCTACTGCTGTATCTCTTGGGGCTTCTGAGTTAGGAAGGTGGGCAGAGGAGTTGGTTCCTGGACAACTGGAGAAAACCTCAGCAGGTAGCATGCCTGGCCCAGGTACCATGAGTTCCTTATGGGACCTAATTCAAGGCCAGGGAGAAGAGGCTCCAGAGCACTATTGGAATGGCAGCCTGGCCCTGAAAAGAGGGCCACTGAAGCTGGGAAAATAGGTGTGGGATAAAGGGAGTGGCTGGACCACCTCCCCCACTTGTCAGATCCTAGACCCTGCTGGGTGTGACCTGGGGACTCTGGGAGGCAGTGTGGGCCGCTGAGGCCCGGAGTGGGGAAGTGATTGATTTGCTCAGGAATGTATTGTGCATCTCCAGTATGCTGGGTGCTGGTCTGGGCACTTGTGAATCCAGATGTGAAAGAGGCATGCCAGCTCCCCGTCTCAGCCTTGGAGGATAACCCTGAGGCAGGCTTGCCTGTTACAGCCTCATTTTCCCCAGTAATTTTAGAGAAAATGCAAGATAATCAGGGGCACGCATATTCTGTGATTCTTCACAGACAGAATGGGATGCACAGGCAGGGCTGGAAGGCAGAGGATATGGCCAGTGTGGCTTCAGCCAGCTGCAGGCACCCTCCTCAGACTCCTTGAATTCTCCCAACTCATTGGCCTCTCCCTGGGCTACACTGATGCTAAGAGTGGCCAGAAGAGGGCGATGATAAGGACAACCTGGGGGAAAAGGTAACATCTCAGTCCGCCCATCCTCTTGGAAATTGCCTGACCTGGAGAACAGCTGTCTGGAAGGCCAGCAAGCAGTTCATCAGTGTACTGAAGTCTCAGAGAAAGGACTTGCCTCTTGGCTAGCGGGACACTGCATTTCCTGGTTGCATATTTAAGGCAAACCTTTAGGGGCAGCCTCCCATTCTATCTCAGTGAAATCCTAACTCCCTGACTCTTCTGGCCAGAAGCTCTCCTTTTAGGACCTGCCTCAGGGCTGCAAAGCTAAAACACCTCCCACTGTCCCTTCTTGGTGTGGGTCTCCATTCCTACTGTGGACTCAGAATGCAGAGGGGAGGGTCTTGAATCTGTTCCTGGCTTTTCAGGATCTGTGTTACCGGGACGACTCCCCTCCTCTCTGGGCCTCAGTTCCTTACCTGCAGAATGAAAATGTCTGCCTTGTTAGAATTACAAAGTGACATGTCCAGAGAGCTTGTGCTCTTGGTCCTCATCAACCGTCTTGCCCTGGGCCTACTTCATACCTTGCAAGCACTTCAGTGTGAGCCCCCTGGCTGCTTCCTATCCAGTGTTCTATGAGTCTATGATCTTTGGTTCTAGCCCAACCTCTTAGAAGCTGAACAAACTGGTAATTTTACCATTTCTAATTTTACCATTTCACTACTTTTGCAATTTTTAATACCATTTTTACCATTTACTCTGCCACTTACAAGCTGTGTATCCTTGGGCAAATCACTTGATTTCTCTGGGCATTAGCTTCCTCATTTGTAAATGGGGATGATTCCTGATAAAGTACTTAGAACAGTGCTTGAAATATAGTTAGATACTTTTTATAAATGGATTTTCTAGAAACTGATGGAAAGAATATCTTCATGCTGACCTTAAAGCAGGTTTTAAGCTGGAAAATTTAAATTTGCTAATAGACAATCTATTTGATGCTGTAAAAAGGGATGACTTTTAAATCAAGTGACGGGGGAGTGGAAGTTAGTCTGTGAAGCCCTCCTGGCCTGGGGCTGGTGAGGGGCATGGGGCTTCTGGGGGGTGTTCTCTGTCTGGTCATCCATAGCTCTGCCAGTTGTTTTTCTTCTGATGCTGTCAATACAGCTAAGGGTTCAACTGGCAGTAAATCACAAGGCATTCTTCCAACCACCATGCCTCTGACAGCAAAGCTTGGGAGGACTGTTCCTGCCTGCCTGCCTATCCTCACCCACAAGTTTTAAGCTGATTTCAAGTCAGAAGGCCTAGGTTCTTATCTTGACCCTGCCCCGCCTTACTCACCGTGTGGCCTTGAGCAAGTCATTTTACCTTTCCATGTCTCAGTCTGCTCATCTACAAAATGGGAGTGGGAGCAAAAATGCTTGCCTTGCAGGGTAGACAAAAGGCCAGTTTTATTTACTTATTTATTTATTTATTTATTTACTTTTTTGAGACGGAGTCTCGCTCTGTCGCCCAGGCTGGAGTGCAGTGGCCTGATCTCGGCTCACTGCAAGCTCCGCCTCCCGGGTTCACGCCATTCTCCTGCCTCAGCCTCCCGAGTAGCTGGGACTACAGGCGCCTGCCACTATGCCCAGCTATTTTTTTGTATTTTTAGTAGAGACGGGGTTTCACCGTGTTATCCTGGATGATCTCAATCTCCTGACCTCGTGATCTGCCCGCCTCGGCCTCCCAAAGTGCTGGGATTACAGGCGTGAGCCACCGTGCCCGGCCAAGGCCAGTTTTAGTTGGATTCTTCAGAAAGAAGAGCCTTACACAAGGACTTTGGTGTAGATAGTTCATGTGGAAGGTGATCCCAGGAAGCAGGGTTAAGGGAGCAGGAGGAATGAGACAGGGAGGAAGGAAATCCAATGAAGGGAGTGGAATCAAGGTAGCTGCTTTAGGCAATGGGCCCCTGACCCCACTGGGAGCGCCTTTGAGGAGCTTACAGAATGCCTCCCAAATTATCTGCCCAGAGAATAGGAGGCTGCAGCATTTATCCAAAGCCTGCTGCCCTTCACTGTCTGCTCCTTGCTCTAGTTTCTATTCCTCTGTAAGAAAGCATTCCAGACCAGTGGGGTAGAACAACCTCTGTTTTATTATGTTCATGATTCTGTTGATTAGGAATGTAGAAAAGACACAGCAGGGGAGGCTTGTCTTTGTTCCATGATGGCTAAGCCTCAGCTAGGAAGACTTACAGGCTGGGGTGACTCAACAAGTGGGTTCTGAAGTTATCTGAAGGCTCATTCGCTCATGTGTCTGGCTGTTGAGGCTGTCTGTTGCCTGGGACCTGTTGGCCAGAACACTTATAGGTGGCTTCTCCATGTGGTCTCTCTATGTGGGTGTCCTCGAAGCATGGCAGCTGGATTCTAAGTGCAAGCATCCCAAGAGAACCAAATGGAAACTGTGTGACCTTTGATGGCTTTGCCTCAGAGTCACACATTATCACTTCCATCACGGCCACAAGCCCTCCCAGATTCAAGGTGGGAGAGCACAGACCCACCTCTCCAGTGGGAGGCATGTCAATATCATGTTGTTAAAAGGGCACATGAAATGAGAGATGTCATTGCGGCCAGTTTTGGAAAAGATGACTTGCCACATTCCCCGAGGCATTAACTTCCCTGAATATCCAGGAATAGAGGGCTCTACAGATTTAGAAAAAGTTCTCAAGCAGAAAGGTGGGGAGACATGTGGCAGAGGCATGGAACTGCCCAGAGGTGAGCTGAGGGTATGTGACTCAAAAATTGTCTACATGAGGCTCAAATGATATGAAAATGCTGTATAGCATTTTGGGTTTATTAAATCTAAGGGAACTGCCTGATAGCCAGCTTCACTTTTCAGTGGATGGCTTGGTAAATACCAGGGCCTTCTTCACAGCTGTGGGTCCCATGTTAGGATAGGATAAATATAGCTGGTGGTCCCTCTTGTCTTATGGCTCAGGAACCAGTAGTGAGGGTAAGCCCACACTTCAGACTTTACTTCTGCCTGGAATTTGGTGTTTCACCTCACTCTGCCATTCTCTCCAAGACATCCTACCAATCAGGTTTCATTTTGGGGCTCACCAAGAGCCCTCTCTGGGGCAGCTGTTGCCAGCAGCCCTCATGTTACTGTCAGCCTAGAAACTGAAGCAGCTCTGGGCCAGTGTGCCAGGGACTCCTAAAAGTGCCCAGAGTGGCATTGGGAAGATTGTAGAGACCTGGGCAGTGCTCCTCTGGAGTCGCCAACCTTCATGGCAGGGCGGGCATCCTGGTTTTTAAGCAGAGATGAGGCTCACATGGTGCCTCCTGGAAGCTTGTCTCCCTGGCATGACCCATCCCCAGAATGTGAGCTGCCATCTCTCTGGTACTCCACCTGCCCATCAGACTCCCACACCATGGGCCACACCTAGGTAAGGGTGGCTGATATTTTTACATCTTTATTTCCATTCTAACTTGTTATGATGTCCTTGCTGATGGGCAGGTGCTGATTTGATGGAATTAAAATATTTCAGGGCAATATTGGAGTTAAATGTTTGTCTTTTTTGTTTCTCCAGATGATACAGGTGCAGAATCTAGTCCACCTTCTCTACACAATTTCACACACCAGCATGCAATGGGGCAGGGTGTGAGCCAGTTAAGAGCACAGGCTCTGATGCAGGCCAGACCTAGATTCCAAATCTGCCACCTAGGCAAGCCTGTGTGACCTTGAGTATGTTACTCAACTTCCCTGAGCCTCAGGGAAAAAAAGAACTAGTAATATCCACTTTTCAGGATTGCTATAAGGATTAAATAATACAATGTTTGTCAAGTGCTGAGCACAGTATCTGGCACAAGGCAAGTATATAATGATATATACATTATCAGAGTACAGAGCAGGTGCTCACAGCACTTCTTGAACTCTTTTGTTGAAATGCTGTAGAGGAAATTGAATTTTTGCAATAAATGAGTAATTTATTTCATCTAGTATAGTTAGGGTTAGAGATTCTTAATTTCAGACCTGATCATTGTGGTTAAACAGAGTCTCAAAAGTAGTGAAGGGTGAATTTTATGGCATGTGAGTTATATCTCAATAAAGATTTTAAGTAAATGCAGATGAGGGCAGGGCCAGGGGCAGAGCTGGGGGGAGGCAGCTCATGGCCTTAGCCCCTGAGGAACAGTTGGCTGGCTGGCACAGCTGCTCGAGCTGAGAATTCAGCTCAGCCAAGCAGGTGTGGAGTGTGTGGCCATCCAATGCCAAGCAGAGCCTAGAGTTCTCAATAGTGGCCAGGTCTCACACTGGGGTGCCAGAGTCTGGGAAAGGGGGGACCAGGAAGGAAGACGTATCAGGCCCCTCTTGGAGGGGGCTGCTCTGGGAGCTGAATGACAGCAAGAACACCACCCACTGACCCTCAGCACAGCCCCCAGAGCAGACAAGCAGCTGCAATGGCTGCCATTTTGTATATGAGGAAACTGAGCTTCAGGCCTAGATTTTCTCCCTGACCTTGCTCATCCTTTGATGCCTCTGTGGACAGAGCCCATATTTGGTAGACAGAAAAGTCCACAACAACATAATCAAAGGTAGGTCTCCAAGTCTTACATCAGTGGAACTTGTTTTTTCCTTTTCTCTCCCGCCCAGTAGTGTAGTGATCAGTGCAGCACACCCTTCCCTCAGGGTGGCATGTGTGTTGGGAGAGCATCCTTTCCTCTGCTGTCCCACACAGCGAGAGGAGAGGAGTGGGGACAGGCATGATGCCACCGAGCCATCCACACAGCCCCAGATATGCAGTGCACCTGGCATGTGGGCCTGGCATGGGTGCTGAGGGTCTAAGTGCTGGTTAGACTCAACCCTGCCCTTGGGGAGCCTCCTACCCAGTGCTAGGCTCAGCCTGCTCAGCAGAAGAGGCTCCTAGATGGAAGCTGATTATAGACAGGTCAGCAGGGCATCTCATGCAGCAGCACCTCAGCTCTGGCCATCCAGCTGACCACTGGTTCTCCAGCCATTCTCAGGGCACTCCCCAGCCTGGACTATGGTTATTTGAGCACCTGGCCCCTCCCCAGACTGTGGAGAACAAAGACCTTGCTGACATGTTGTGGTTCTGTACCCATGCTTTGGAATTGGGCTGACTTAGGTTTTTCTTCTCAGCTTTGTCACTTTCCTTTTTTCTTTTTTTTTTTTCTTTTTTTTTTTTTTGAGATGGGGTCTCGCTCTGTCATCCAGGCCTGAGTGCAGTGGCACGATCTCAGCTCGCTACAACCTCCACTTCCCGGATTCAATTGATTGTCCTGCCTCAGCCTCCTGAGTAGCTGGGATTACAGACGCCCGCCACCATGCCTGGCTAATTTTTGTATTTTTAGTAGAGACAGGGTTTCCCCAGGTTGGCTAGGCTGGTCTCAAACTCCTGACTTCATGATCCACCCGCCTCAGCCTCCCAAAGTGTTAGGATTACAGGCACAAGCCACCGCGCCCAGCCTCAGCTCTGTCACTTTCTAACGGTGAGACCTGGAGCAAGTCCCTCAGCCTTCAAAGCCTCAGTGTCCGTTTGTGTATCATGCCGTTAATAGAAACTCTGATTAACAGGCTTGTATATGAAGGCACTTGGTACCATGCCTAGAAAACAGAAGCACTCAATAAATATGAAATATACAGTGCTAGAGTTATGTGGCCCTTGAAGAACTTGTTATGCCCCAACAAGTGTGTGGAGTGAACTGAATTGTATGAACAGCACTGCTTTCCATACTTCTGAGACAGCCTGTGGGCAAAGCAGCAGGTGCTAGAGGCAAATTTCCTGGGTTCAAATACTGGCTCTACCACTCCACGGCTGTAGGCAAACCTGCCTAGGCTTGCTGGGACACTGTCCTTATCTATGAATGTGGTTACTAATATCTACCCACATAGGGTTATTATGAGGATTTAGTGATTAATACAGAGAAAGCACTTAGAATCATGTCTGAACATGGTAAGCATCCAGTAAATACTATTTTTAAAATTATTGTCATCCCACAGAAATCCAGCAAGGTTTCCAAGTGGCAGGAAACTAAATATCTGAACAACCAAAGTGATCTGGCTTTGTGTCCCCACCTAAACCTCATCTGGAATTGTAATCCCCACGTGTCAAGGGAGAGACCTGGTGGGAGGTGATTGGATCATGGGGGTGGTTTCCTTCATGCTGTTCTCGTGATGGTGAGCGAGTTCTCACAAGACCTGATGGTTTAAAAGTGGCTGTTTCCTCTGTGCATTCTCTCTCTCCTGTTCCCATGTAGGATGTGCCTGCTTCCCCTTTACCTTCCACCATGATTGTAAGTTTCCTGAGGCTTCTCCATCAGACTCCATGCAGAACTGCGAGTCAATTAAGCCTCTTTTGCTTATAAATTACCCAGTCGCAGGTAGTATCTTTTATTTATTTATTTATTTATTTATTTATTTTTTATTTTTTTGAGACGGAGTCTCGCTCTGTCGCCCAGGCTGGAGTGCAGCGGTGCGATCTCGGCTCACTGAACGCTCTGCCTCCCAGGTTCACGCCATTCTCCTGCCTCAGCCTCCCGAGTAGCTGGCGCTACAGGCGCCCGCCACCACGCCTGGCTAATTTTTTGTATTTTTAGTAGAGATGACACGGTGAAACGTGTTAGCCAGGATGGTCTCAATCTCCTGACCTCGTGATCTGCTCACTTCGGCCTCCCAAAGTGCTGGGATTACAGGTGTGAGCCACTGCTCCTGGCCCTCAGGCAGTATCTTTACAGTAGTGTGAGAATGGACTAATACTCAAAGCCTGGTGATTTTTAAGGGATTTATGGGATTTTAAGGGATTTGTGTTTTCTAATGGTGCCAATTCTGATAGCTCATCTATACTCAGAGACTTTTTGTGTGTGTGCAGTGGTGGGATCCCAGCTCACTGCAACCTCTGCCTCCTGGGTTCAAGTGATTCCTGTGCCTCAGCCTCCTGAGTAGCTGGGATTATAGGCAGGCACCACCACATCAGGGTAATTTTTGTATTTTTAGTAGAGATGGAGTTTCGCCATATCAGCCAGGCTGGTTTTGAACTCCTGGCCTCAAGTGATCTGCCCACCTCAGCCACCCAAAGTGCTGTGATTACAGGCCTGAGCTACCATGCCCAGCTATACCCAGAGACTTTGACCTAAAACTTAAATCTTCCATGAATCTCAGTGGCCTCACTGAGGATGGCATTAGGCTAAGGCATTTGGTTCCCTGCAAGCCAACCAGATGTCTGAGCCCTACCGAAGAAACCAGCCCCTGGCTATTTGGAGACATATAAGTGGCTTTGGGCCTGAGCCTCCATTCAGCTGGTGGCTTCTCCCAACCCCTAGGAGTTGATGGGAGCACTCGCAGGAGATGGCCTGGGCTCACATGATCTCAGGGGCATTACAGGCCATGGTCAGGTTGCTTGCATAGGGGAGAGCCTGGGCTAAGACCTGCACACGACATTGAGACCTCTAATCCCTGTTTTCCCCTCTACGCCATGTGACCTCTTCAACCCTGGGGCCTCCAGCTTTGCCTGGCTGCCTCCACCCCCAGTGAACGAGCTTCTCCATGCTGCCCAGTCTGAAGGTCACATTTGTGTATATGTTCCCTGAGCACCAAAGCCCATGACCGTCTCCCTATCTTTTTCTTTATCCTTGTCTAGGAATCTGACAAGGACGAGAGAATTCTGGCTTTCCAAGTACTCTGTCCTAAAGCATAGGGAAGAATAAATGAATAATACCAGGTGTCAAAATGCACCTGTCCCCGTCTCTGTTCCTCTACCCCTCTTCCAGAAGGCCCAGGGTCAGTGCATGGGTATCAGGTCAGTTGAGGGTGATGGGTCCAACCACTCTCCTCACCTCCACAGGGAGAAGACTTCGATGGCCAATCTTTCCCAAGGAGGCTTGGCTGATAAAGAGCAGAAGCAGTGAGCATCCTGTTGTAGAGATTCTTTTTGGTATCACGCAGCCCATGGCTTTAAACCTGCCTCTGCCCCCCTTATTTCCTGTGTAGTTTTGACCAAGTCTCTTAATCTCTTTGAGCCTCAGTTTCCTCATTTGGAAAATAACGATATTGAAACCCATCATATAATCTTGTTTGAGGATTAAATGAGGCAGTGAACACGAAGTGTTTAGCAAGCAGTCATTAACTGCTGGCTCTTCTGCTTGCTATTATTATTATTACTCATAGTATTATTCCCTATTTTAGAATTTCCTTATAAGTAACAACCTCACTGGCCTGTGAATGCTAATCTCTCCCTCTCAGGGCTGCTAAGAGTTCTCCTGGGATACATAGCATGTGGCAAGTGATAATTTATTGCTCCACAGCTCACTTGCTCTCACCCATGAAGCAGGGAGAGGATGACACATAAACCAAATGTGTAGAAGCAGGTTTCTCATGGTACCCTCTCAGCCTGCTCATAATACGGTTCTGCCTGGATGCAAACATAGCAACAGGAACAGAGCTTTCCTGCTGATTGGTTACAGACCTATCTGTGATCACGCCACCTCTAACCACTTCTGCCAATTACCAATAAATATTCTCAAGCTCGCCCGCATGAGCACTTGAGTGGAGATGTTCAGCCCTGAGTCTTTGCCTGCTCTGCCAGCTGGGCCACTTATCTTCTGTCTCATCCTGCAATTTGCACCCAGCCTCTTTCCCTGCCTCCCACCCAGGTTACTGGCCTGGAGTCGATGTGAGTCCTGTAAGCTGGCTTCCCACAGCAACAGCCTCAAGCTACCTTCCTTCTTAACTCTTTTTCAGGTCGCAGGGTCGCCTCTCCTCCCTGTGGAGTCAGGGCTGGTTTCCTGTCCTGTCCTCCTTGGCTCACTAAGGACTGGGCCTCATGGGTGCAGATACCACACTGGTACCAGAGTCCACCCAGGTCCCTAAACCAGAAACCCAGTTGCTACCTGGACACCTGACTTCCCTCTTCTTCTCACCCCGCCCAACACAAGTGCTGTCAATTCTGTTTCCAAATTGAGCCCGTCCACTTCTCTCCATCCCCACTGCCACTGGTCCAAGCTCACACCTGGGCTGCTGCAGTAGTGGCTGAACTGGCCTCCTTGACGCTACTCTTGCCTCCCAAAATCTGTTTTCCACATTGCAGAGTGATCTTTCTCAAACTCATGTGTGATCACGTTTGCAAGATCAGACCTGCTTAGGATCCTTTAATGTCACCCCATTGCACTTGGGATAAGAGCAATCAGCAGGCCCCGGGGTGCTCTGGTCATTGCTTGTCCCTATGACTCAGCCTCCCTCCCCTTACCTGCCAGGTTCCAGCTCACATCGGTTCTTCTTCCTGCCTGGAAATGTCTCTGGACTCTATGTGTGGTCAACTCTGACTCATCCTCCAGGACTCAGCTTACATGTCATTTCCCCCATGAGGCCTTCCCAGTCCCCAGTCTCAATCAGGTCCCCTTTCAAGTTTCTCATCGCCTTTGTTTTTCTGAAAAGCACTCTTTACAATCTGTAACTGGGTCTATTACTGATGTGAGTATTATTGTTCAATGACTGTCTCTGCATTGGACAATGAGCTCCAAGGAGTATAAACGAGACTGATTTTGCTTCACAGTCAGGAGCATAGTGCCAGCACATGGTGGGTGCCCAACCGGTATTTGTCAAATGGAAAACTCAGTCAATGAGATACCAGAGGGATTCAGAAAGGGTAGCAGTCAACTCAAGGAAGACTTCCTGGTGAGGGAGTTGGTAAGCTCTGAGGCGGGTCTGGAAGGATGCCTTGGATTTGCAGATGCTGGGATGCAAGAGAAGGTATTTCAGGTAGAATGAACAGTGTCAGCAAAGGTGAGGAATGTTTGTGATGTGTCTGGAGTTGGAGATTTACTCTGGTTTACTTTGCAGAATGGTAATGACAGGATTGAAATAAGCTTGGAACAGTGGAAGTCAAGCTGAAACATTTGAAACATATCCCTAAGGAAATGGGGAGCTATTGATAGTTTCTCAGCAGAGGACTGTTACAGTGAAGACCTGTGATGCTTAGGATCTGTAGAAGCAGGAAGCAGGAGGACCTCTCAGAGTTCGAGTCCTGGAGCATGAGGATGCAGGCTATGGCCTTGAGAATGGGAAGGGAGGGAAAGTGGGAAGAGATAGTGGCTCTGTGGGTGGGAGGGGTCCGGAGCTGAGATGTACCCCAAGGTCGTGGTTGAAACATGTATGAGTTCACTCAAACATATTCAGCAGGCACTGGGGTGCCCTTGAGGTGGTGGAAAGGGAGATAATGGTTTAACATGAAATGTTTTCCTTAACTACACAGCTAATTCCCATCCACTGGAAAACATTTAGAAAATGCATACAGCAAGTAGAAGTAAAAATGTCCAGTAATCCCATTGCCTAGAAGTAATTGTTGTGAACATTCTGTTGTATGATATTCCCACACCTTTTCTAGGCATGTTTGCAACATTTTTCTTCTCCTGAAAATGCTGTACCTACTGGCTTGAACCTGCTTCTGTTTGAATTTCACTTAGTACCATGAACCTCTCTCTATGACAATAAAGATGCTTATGTAATAAACATTCTTATACAAAACCAATTTAAGTTGCTTTATACACTGTTGTATAGATGCACCATAATTTATTTAAGCAATCTCCTATTGTTGGACATACAGATTTTTTTCTCAATCTCTCCCCTCCCTCCCTCCCTCCGTCCCTCCCTCCCTTCCTTCCTTCCTTATCTTGCTTTGTCACCCAGACTGGAGTGCAATGGCACAACTACTACTCACTGCAGCCTCCGCCTCCCGGGCTCAGGTGATCCTCCCACTTAACCTCCTGAGTACCTGGGACTATAGGCACATGCACCACCTAATTTTTGTATGTGTCGTAGAGACAGGGTTTCGCCATTTTGCCTAGGCTGGTCCCGAGCTCCTGACCTCAGGTGATCCACCCGCCTTGGCCTCCCAATGTGCTGGGATTACAGGCATGAACCTCAATCTTTTTGTTTTGCTTTTATAAACAATGATGCTGGAATCATCTCTGTAGCTAGATGTTTATATACATCGTGAGTTATCTCTTTAGAATAAATTTCTAGAAGTAGAATTGCTGGGTCAAAAGTACCAATGCGTTTAGGCCTTCTGATTCTCCTTTTCAAACAACCCTTCAAAAGTTTTTTTTGTTTGTTTTTTGTTTTTGTGTTTTGAGACAGGGTCTCACTGTCACCCAGGCTAAAGTGCAGTGGCGCAATCACAGCTCACTGCAGCCTTGAACTCTAGGGCTCAAGTGATCCTCCCACCTTGGCCTACTGAGTAGCTGGGACTATAGGTGTGCACCACAACACCGGGCTAATTTTTGTATTTTTTTTTTTTTTTTGGTAGAGATTTTTTTTTCTTTTTCTTTTTTTTTTTTTTTTTAAATCATGTTGGCCAGGCTGGTCTCAAACTCCTGGGCTCAAGTGACTTACCTACTTCAGCCTCCCAAAGTGCTGGGATTACAGGTGTGAGGCATCGTACCCAGCTAAAAGATTTTTATACCTTTACACTCCCATTAGGATTAATAGTTTATATTCTAGTTTTAAAAAACCGTTGCTGGTTGGAGAAAAGTATTTTTCTATTTCTTCAACTTGCACTTGTATTGTAATTTGTATTTTTTTCAGTAATTTTGACCCTTTTAAAATACGTTTTTGATTGTTTGTATTTCTTCTGCTAATTGAGATTCCTATTCATGCACCTTTTCTTCTGTTCCTGCTCATTTTTCTAATTAGAGAATTGTTAAAAACATTTAGTGGGAACCCTTTTCCTACTAAATTAAGGACTTTCATTATTTTTCTGTCATATTTGCCACAAACAAATTTTTGGAGAGAGGATTTTTAAAAAGCAGAGGGCTCATTCTGCACCATATCATTGACTTTCCCATAGAGATGTTTGTATGGTTGTATCAGTTCAGATTAAGTTAAACTGCTAGTAACAGACCCAAGTTAATTTGCTGTGTCCATCAGGGTCCAGTTAGGAGACTGAAACCACACCAGTAATTTGAACAGTAATTAGAAAATGTAATATAATTATCAACTAGGAAAAGGGGGTTGACTACCAAAAGAGGTAAAGGGAACACTAAAGAAAACAAAAATAGCAGATGCAAGGAGCAACTACTAGGGAAGGAGGAAGCCACCCCCACCTCCACCCATCCCGGGCTGAAATTCTGACTTCTTAAGAGAGAGTGGCTATGGCCCACTGGAACTGGGGAGTTCACTGAGATACTGACCAGCAGGGAATTACCCAGTGGAAATTGGCAAAACTCTGGAGGGTTGGTGCCAGTGGTTTTCCTGAACACTGCTGGCAGCCCTTCCCATGGGTGCAAGGTGAGACCACTGGAACCAGGAAGAGCAATCCCCTCTTCTATTTGCGGTATCCTTCCAATGTCTTTTACTGATAAAGCCTAACATGGTGTCAAGTGGTGAAGGAGCAATGTTTACAGGGTCCAGTTCCAGTGTCACAAAGCAAGACAAAGAAGGATAGATTTGGAGCCAAGAGGCAATATATTGGTATCTCAGACATTGGCTTAAACAAGCTAGAAGTCTATTTTTTTCTCACATCAAAATCTGGAGGTCTCCATTCTGGGCTGATATGGCAGTTCTGCTTCAGAAAGTCCTTCAAGATCTAAGATCCAAGCTCCTTCCAGTCTGCCACTCCACTCTCCCTCAGTTGAGGTCCTTGTCCTCATGGTCAAGACGGTATGCAGAGCTCAAATCATCACGGGCATGGTTTGGATATGGAAGGGGTGGAAAAGTAAAAGAGACAAAGAATGTGTGAGAACCAGCTTCTTGGGAGCTGCCATTTGTCACTTGTGCTTCATCTCATTGGACAGAACTTAGTCACTTGGCCACAGACAGCTATTTGGGAGTCTGGAAAAGCTTTATTTTGGAGGACCTGGAGCTAAAAATCAGGGGTTCTCTTAAAATGGAAGAAGGGAGAGAAGTATTGGTGGACAATGAGCAATCTCTGCCACAATAAGCTAAACTGGCTGGACCTTTATGAGGAAAATGTAGTCAAAATGGCAACAGGCCCACTACCATGACTGAAAGTTATCCAGCTACACCAAGCAAGATCTTTGAGTCAAATCTTCTAGAATGTTAAAGCTGGAAGGAATCTTAAGGATTATTTATTCTAAGCTTTTAATATTTCCCGTGAGAACCCTGAAGGCCTGGGAGGGGCAGTAACTTGTCCAAGGCCATCTGAATAGCTCTTGGCATGGCCGTAGGTGGATCCCAGTCCTCCTTCCCTCTCCGCCTAGCGTGTCTTTCCATCCTCTGCGACTTAGGGTCTCCCATGGCCATTGTCTTCAGAATGAGTCCTGCATAATTAAATTGCAACTTATGGCTCTGCAAAAGATCATTTCACAGTGAAGCTATTAGGGCTTATGAGATGTGCCTGGTCCTCAAATCAAGCACATAAGATGTAAAATTAGAGCCCAAGAAGCTTTGGGTTATTAGGACCTAAACTGCATCCTCTCTCCATTACCTAATGGAGCCCGTGTGAGCTCATGCTGTGGGAACGCAGCAGGCATGAGATAGCAGTAAGTCATATTCTGCCCAATTAAGCAGTGAAAGGTGTTGGCATAGGCCAAAGTAGTCATCCCTATTACCAGCCAGAATCCCATCTTCCTATTTGGCTATGGAAATAATGGAAAGATTTTCTTAGCAAAGCTCTATAAGTCAGAGTCCCAGCAGGAAACAAAATTTATCCCAGATGTTTCAGATGAAGAGACCTTCACGAAGGGGCCAATTAGAGATGCAGGGTTAAGGGAACAAACAGGAGAGGTGAGACACACAGAGATGAGCCCATTATCCCTGTGGTGAGGGGCAGGGGAGGGAGCAGTGCTACTGGAGCTGGAACTGGGTAGGAGGGGAAGTTGCGGAGGGATGTGTCTATGGCTAGACCTGTAGCATCTAGCAGGGAAGAAATGCACAGCCTCTCTCCTCTTCCCTAGGGTCTGCCAAGATCTCTTCCTGGTTGAAAGCAACCAGAAGCTGGAGGAAACCCGAGGGGAAACTGGAGGATGCCGTCCACAGAAGCACGCTTCCTGGACACAGAGCAGAGTGGAGAGGGTGAAGAATAAGTGTACAAAGTATAACGTTAGTCGTAGTTCAGGCCTTGCCCCAGCTATTACCTGGACTGAAATATTTTTAGTATCTGTATTTTTTTGTTGTTGCTGTTGTTTTGTTTTGTTTTTGTTTTTTGAGACAGAGTCTCATTCTGTTGCCCAGACTGGAGTGCGATCTTAGCTTACTGCAACCTCTGCCTCACAGGTTCAAGCAATTCTCCTGCCTCAGCTTCCCGAGTAGCTGGGATTACAGGCGTGCACCACAACGCTGGGCTAATTTTTGTATTTTTTTTTTTTTTAGCAGAGACAGGGTTTCGCTATGTTTCCCAGGCTAGTTTTAAACTCCTGATCTCAAGTGATCCACTGGCCTTGGCCTCCCAAAGTGCTGGGATTACAGGCATGAGCCACTGCACCCGGCCATTTTTAGTATCCTTACAATGTAATATGTGAATGGCAAATGTGTGGCACAGGCAACCCCCTCCCCACTCCACACCTCCTGCTAATGGCAGATATTACTAATTGATCGTGGCTCTCTTTCCTATGGGTCCAAGAAGTCACCTTACAGTGCTCAAAGAAGCACCACCCATTGAGTGGGGTGGCATGTGAGATGAAACCTATTTGGAGCTGTAAAACTTAAACAGCCTTGCAGATATGGCCGGCCTGCCCAAACCAATCTTGTGGCTAATTTTTCTTTTTTGGAAATTAGCTGAGCAGGTGTGTTTGTTGATTCAACTGAGCCCTGCTGGGAAAGCCAAGCTGTGACATTTCTGTAATGTATTGATGCAACCATATTATGATATAGATGAGGAGGCGAGGCAGGAGACTGTATCTGCTTTAAGCAAGGTGGTCGCCAGCCCAGGTACCAGCCAGACCCCCTTGGCTCATCTGTCAAGTAGGATGATGCCAGCCAAGGCAGAGGGCAGGGCTGTGTGTTCTCTTGAGAAGCAGTCAGCTTTCAGAGCGGCTGTGGAGGACCTAGCTGTGTAGGGCGCTCTCCTAGGTCCTGACTGACCTTTAACATGGAGAGTTAGAAAATGGAAAACCCTTAGCTGGAACAAATGGGTAATGGATTATGAATGTTACCAGCATGCTGTAGGGCATAGGTGGCAAATAGGTCTCAACTCATGCACCATTTCTGTCCATTTCTGTTGACCCTCTGTAACACTGTGTTGAGATGGATTCAGAGACTGTGTCCAGGCTCAATGGACAGGAGAGCTGTGATCAATTAGGAATATCTATCCTGAGCAAGAGTGGGTAAGGGGAGGCACATGCTTGTCTCTTATTTGCCTTTTCTGGTGTAGGAAAAGCCCATGGTTGGGAGTCCCAGACATGGCTTCTAGATGCAATATTTTAAGCAAGTCATTTGACCTTCTTGGACCCCAGTTTCCTCATATGGAAAACAAGGACATTGCTTAGATGACTTTCAAATTCTCTGTCTTAGAAATTCTTCAGTTTTAAAGTTTTCCAAGTCTTCAATGTAAAACTTGCACCAAATCTGTTTGATCCCATTAAAACATTTACATCTCTCCACTCCTCTCTGCCGTATGCTTGAGCAACTGAGCCATCTATTCCTGGAGAAGGCCATCTCCCCAGGCAGGAGCAGCTGGGGACCCTGGAGACAGGAGGCTTCTCATACTAAACAGACCCTACCCTTTAATCTCAACCAAAAGATCCAGGAGGCGTGATTCACATCTCGCCTGTTTCCTCTCCTCCAAGAGCCCGAACCTCTCCCCTCCTGTTCTGCAAACGCGCCTGAATGCAGAGTCCTGAAATTTAGGGTCATGGTTTCAAAGTTCATGGTCCTGAGAATAAACAAAAAAACTATTGTGGTTGCATAGAGCTGTAGACCCCATTAACACCATCCCATGAATATTTATAGCGTGGAACTACAAAAGAACATAGAGGCCATATTGTATTTCCTAGAACTTTCTTTCTAGGGGTCCTTTCTCTGTGGGTCACTTTAATGTAAGCTTTGCTTATTTAGTTGCACACTTTAAGCCGATTAACTTTTTACTAAAAAAACCCTCCCTGTTTGTTTGTACATACACTCCCTTGACAAAGATTCACAGAAAACTGCTTTAAACCTGTTAAATCCCTCCGCTGGAAACTTGCAATGAACTAAATGCATCTGTGGGTAGGATTTCCCTGTAACGCTCCCCGCCTCTGGCCCCTCCACCCCACCTCAGCCTGTTTCCTGAGAGGAATTCCAATGGTTTGAATTCTACATATTTAGTTCCTCCAATAACCTGGGCTTATCTCTAGGTGACTATCTTATGGAACATCTATGAAGTCTTCCTCACTTCCTGAGTGAGGAAGTTATTGGAGTGGCTTGTTATTGGAGTGGACAAACAGCAGGCCCCAAGCAAATACCCTATGTTTCTCTAAAAGAAAATGTAGTGAAATCAAACGTAAGGTCAGTGACCATGGACTCCATTGGTTTCCAAACTGCAGTGTCCATGTGAGTCACCTGAGTGGGTGGGGCAGGGCATGAATTAAAGTGCGTATTCCTGGGTGCTGACTTCAGAGATTCTGATTTCATAGATCTGGGTTGGGGCCTGGGGATCCGCATGTCAACACTCTCCTTTGACACTTCTGATGTAAGTGGTTTGTGGGCCATGCCTCCAGAAACACTGAGCTGGTTCAGCTGTCTCATTGTGTGAGAGAAGAAAACGCTTCAAAGGGGAAGCACACAGCTTCCAGTACAGACTGT
Organism: Homo sapiens; assembly: GCF_000001405.40. Classification (NCBI taxonomy): domain Eukaryota; kingdom Metazoa; phylum Chordata; class Mammalia; order Primates; family Hominidae; genus Homo; species Homo sapiens. The sequence continues at coordinate 96,494,707 of NC_000010.11, read as the reverse complement.
GGAGATGCAGACCTCGTCTCTTCCCCCGTGTAGACCATGCTTCATGTCCCAAGATACAGAGCCACTGCAGAATATTTGTGATTAGGTCCACGGGTAGGAAGCTGACTGAACAATAAACCATGCCTTAGTGTAGCCCTGAGGTCTAAGTGTAGAAATGAAAATCAGGAAGTGTCCTGGTTGATGAAGGTGAGATGAGGTAAGGTGGGCCTGCAGGCCACTCTCCTCGGATAAAACCCGGGTGTTTGTTGGTTTGGAGCAAGCCCTGGGGCAGGGCAGGGCATATGGCCAGGATGGACCAGGAAGGTCAGGGGGCTGCCCTGGGCCTGCCATTCTCTGAGAGCCAGGGAACAGAGTCTTGGGGATAGTGCAGTTGGTGATAGGAGGTGGCAGCGGAGTGGAGGGGTCTCCCTCTGACTGGCTGGCTGCTGCCTGGCTCGAAGTCTCCCCAGCTCTGCAGACCCCAACTCAGGGGCCGTTCACCACCCCTAAAATCCCCCCACCAGACTCTTGGAATCTTCAGTGCGGAGGGGTGTGAGGACTCCTCCAGGCCCAACCCCTCCTGCACTCTGTCCCTTGAAAGCAGCCGCCCGGGCTGTCCCCGGCTGGCCAGGCTGGTGGCTCCTCTGTTGGCAGAGCACTTCCTGCTGACCCTGAGGTCAGTCCTCACCTTGAATCCCAATGCTGGGACCAGCATCCTGTGCAGGGCAGTGAACCGAGCTCTGAGTCTTGGAGCCAAAAGGTCTGAGTTCAAGCCCTGTCCCCTTCTTACGGATTGTCAACTTGGGCTAGTCGTTAACTTTCTGAAGTCTCACTTTCCCCCATAAGATTGGGCTGGTGGCCTTCCTGCCTTCTTCTAGGCCTTCTGCAAGGAGGTATTTGTTCACTCACGGATTCGGGGATGAGAATGTTCTGAAGGTCAGTGCCAGGCCCTGCGCTGGATGCTGGTGTTTTGGGTGTGGGGGGTGTTTGCAGGAGAGGAGGATGTGTGCATGGAAGGGGTAGCATACTGTAAAGTGCTATACCAGAATGAGGGACTCCTGATTACCCTCTCCACCCTGGGTGCTCTAACAGCCTCAGGATCCCGTTCCCCAATTCTCAGCCTCCCTTTTTGCCCATGCTGAGCCTCTCAGATCCCCTGGCCTCCTGTCCTGCCTTACCCTCACTGTCTACAGCAGTCCGCATGGCTGGGCCCCCCACTCCAGCTGGCTTGCCCTCACTGCACCCCTCCTGCTCCTGCCCTGACAGTGCCTTGCTCTTTCTCACCCCAGGGCCTTTGCACATGCTGTCCCTTTAGCCAGCATGCCCTTTCCTCTTGTTATCCACCTGCCAAACTGCAGCTCACTCATCATCCTCCCACTCATCCCCTTTGTGAGGCTTTCCTGATTCTACATTTCCAAGGCTGTAAGTTAGTCATTCCTCCTCTCCATGCTTCCATCTTACAAAGGGAGCCAAAGACGCATGGCAGTTAAGAGTTAGAATTGAGAGGGGGCCTGGAGGAAGTTGCCTAAATCTCTCTGTGCCTACAGTCCTCACCTGACACTGGGTATGATGATGCACATTGCACGGGTTTGCTGTCCTGAGGGCTAGAGGAGCGAGAGGAGCCTGCACGGTGTGGGTGCTGCAGAACCATCAGTCCCTTTCTCTTCAGTGCACTGGTCCTGAGAGGAGATCTAAAACACCAGATTTGGAAGAAATAGAGATTGGTGTTCAAAGATCAATGGGGACGTGATGGAAGGGCGTGAGCTCCCTGTCTCTGGATAGAGTGTTGGACCCAGTGACCTGTATGGCCCCTTCAAGTCCTAGAAGTTTGTCATTCCTGGAGGACTGTGGAGCAGTGCAACAGTCTCCAAAATGTGTTCCTTAGGTCAGGAGACCCAGTGAAAGGAGATCTCAGAAGCAACTATGTTGGGAAATGCCGCATTCCCAGTCTTTCTCTTGGAGAGCCGTGATATTTGTTAGAATTGTAAAGGGTCTGGGAAGTCCTGCGGTAAAGAAGGTGGTTTAACAGCATTTCTTAGTAACTTTTAGAATGTGGAACTTTGGGGAGAATTGGATAAGAGATCTGATTTTTGTTTGTTTGTTTAAGACGGAGTTTTGCTCTTGTTGCCCAGGCTGGAGTGCATTGGAGCGATCTTGGCTCACTGCAACCTCTGCCTCCTGGGTTCAAGCAATTTTACTGCCTCAGCCTCCCGAATAGCTGGGATTACAGGTGCCCGCCACCATGCCCAGCTAATTTTAGTATTTTTAGTAGAGACGGGTTTTCACCATGTTGGTCAGGCTGGTCTCAAACCCCTGACCTCAGGTGACCCACCCACCTCGGCCTCCCAAAGTGCTGGGATTAGAGGCGTGAGCCACGGCGCCTAGCAGGGATCTGATTTTGGAATTAGAGAGACTTGTATTGACTCAGAAAACCTGTGCAGCTTCTTCCTGCCTGCATGACCTTGGCCAATTCCTACCTCCCTCATGGCCTTTTTTTTTTTTTTCCTCTCCCTTCTATAGAAAGGGGACAAAATGGCCTCCTCTTGAAACTGGTGAGAGGACGGATTGTGGTAATATGTAGAGGGCATTCGGCCTGGTCCCAGGGACACAGTGAGTGCTGCTTGCTTCTGCTGTCAATGGAGAAAAGATAGCCAGGGCAAGATCTGTGCTGTGCAAATCCTGGGTGGGAGCTGCAGAGATGAGCCTTGCCCTGCAAGGCTCAGATCATGGTTATCTTTTGCAGCCCCCAAAATCAGGCACACACATGGCATCAGATGGGGAACATAACAGAACTTCAGAAACTGTGAGGTACTTTACAGGTACTTACTGTCATTACTGCAGTGGCCCGGAGCTGGCTGTTACCTCCTTGCGACGCCCAACTGTGCACATCTTTTCCCAACTCCATGTTCAGTGACCTGAAATCAGCCACAGTGGGAGCATTTACACAGGGAAATCAGCAAACACCACAAACCAAGGCTCTCCCCTACCCCAGCCAATTGTTAAATAGCAGCACACCACTGACGGATTAGATATCATTAGAAAGCGTGTCTTTAAAGCTAGACCTTTTACATTTCCAAATTTATTACATAACAGCTTTAAAACTGTATTTGACTAATTTATAAAGATTTCAATTTTTGATTTCCAAAAAACATTTTTCCTATTGCACTTCATAATCTATTCCTGAAACATTTACTAGCCAGAGCTTCATAAGGAAACACTACCACCTGGTGATGAGTCCCTCAGTTGCAGGTTGAAGGTCTAGTGGGGTCAGTCAAGACTGGAGCTGAGGGCATTTTCGTGGATGTGCTTTTTTTCTTTTCTTTTCTTTTCTTTTTTTTTTTTTTTTGAGACAGAGTTTTGCTCTTGTTGCTCAGGCTAGAGTGCAATGGTGCAATCTCAGCTCACTGCAACCTCCGCCTCCTGGATTCAAGCGATTTTCCTGCCTCAGCCTCCCGAGTAGCCAGGATTACAGATGCCCGCCACCACGCCCAGCTAATTTTTTGTATTTTTAGTAGAGATGGGGTTTCACCGTTTTGGCCAGGCTGGTCTTGAACTCCTAACCTCAGGCGATCCGCCTGCCCCAGCCTCCCAAAGTTCTAGGATTATAGGCGAAAGCCACCGCGCCCAGCCGGATGTGCATTTTAAATGCTTCCTGCGGCCCATATGTTCAAGCTCTACATCTCTGTGAGGAATTGCCCTGCCTACCCTCTTCACTACAGCCATGTCGAACACAGAGAGGTGGAGGGGAGCCCATGACCCCAGGGTCATAGTTGGAAACAGAGTCCCTGGTGCCTTCGGTCAGTGCTTCTCAAACTCCAGGGTGCACCCGATTTCCTTGAGGGATGTTGTTAACATGCAGATTTTGACTGAGCAGGTCTGAGGTGGGCTCTGAAATTCTGTATTTCTGTTGAGCTCCAAGATAATGTTGATGCTGCTGGTCTATGGATTACACCTTGAATAGCTGGGATTGGTAGTGGAAGAGGTGATGGGAATACTTTGAAAGTCTTCTCTTTGCCTTTCAGTAAGAATTCAATAGCTTTGTGTGTCGAATCCATAGACATAACTCATTTGCTTCTAAGTATAGTTCAGTCCACTTGTTGATTTAATTTTTTATTTATTTGAAATTAATTTTGGTGTATAGTATAAGGTTCAAAGCCAACTGACTTTTCCTCAAATAGCTAACCCATTTGCTTCAACGTCATTCATTGCTTAGTTCCCTACTTTTCACAAATGTGCAAGACCTGTTTTATCCTATGTAAGTTTTCTTAGATAAAACCTAAGGGCTGCTTTCAAACGATTCTACATTGCAGGCTGTCTAATGAAGCCAGTCCTCCTTTGGTACTCTTTTTCTCCGCTGTTCTCACCTGATTGTGCAGATTAACATTAATATCATCTTGCCAGTAATAAAAAAAATTGGGATTTTGATTGAAGTGTATTAAACGCACACATTCATTTGGAAAGAGTTAACGGTTCTTTACTATAGTCTTTCTTACCAGAAACATGTCTCGTCAGTCACTTTTTATAGCTTTTAGTAGAATTTTACATTTCCTGACTTAGTAACACATTTTTGTCATCAAGGTTGTTCCTAGCTATATTATTTTAATTTTTTTCCAATTGTTTTTATTTTTTTTTGAGACAGAGTCTCACTCTGTCACCCAGGCTGGAGTGCAGTGGTGCAAATCTCAGGTCACTGTAACCTCCACCTCCTGGGTTCAAGTGATTCTCCTGCCTCAGCCTCCCAAGTAGCTGGGACTACAGGCGCGCACAACCACGCCTGGCTAATTTTTGTATTTTTAGTAGAGACAGGTGTCACCATGTTGGCCAGGCTGGTCTCGAACTCCTGACCTCACGTAATCCACCTGCCTTGGCCTCCCAAAGTGCTAGGATTACAGGCGTGAGCCACTGCACCCGGCTGAGATATGTTATTTTGAATAGAATTTTTACATTATTTTATTTTATAAGTAACATATAGTTGTTTGTATTGTATCATTTACAATTTGTATTATTTATGTTATGCTTATATATAGCTAGCCACATGTGGCAATTTAAACTTAAATTAATTAAAAGGAAATAAAATGTAAAATTCAGTTCCTCAATCATATAATCACATTTCAGTGCCCAATAACCACATGTGGTTAGCGGGTACCATGTTGATGGGATCGCTTTCTTTCTTTCTCTCTCTCTCTCTTTCTTCTTTCTTTCGACAAGGTTTTGCTCTGTTGCCCAGGCTGGAGTGGACTGACACCATCATGGCTCACTGCAGCCTCAACCTCCCGGATTCAAGTGATCCTCCTGCCTCAGCCTCCCATGTACCTGGGGCCACTGGTGTGTGCCACCATGCCCAGCTAATGTTTTGATTTTTTGGTAGAGACAGGGGTCTCACGTTGTTGCCCAGGCTGGTCTCAAACTCCCGTGCTCAGGTGATGTTCCCACCTTGGCCTCCCAAAGTGCTGGGATTACAGGTGAGCCACTGCACCTGGCTTGGGATCACTTCAGTTTATTCTTTTAGGTTATCTAGGAGAGCAGCTGCTTTGATACCAAACTCCTGGTTTCTCTCCTGCAGCAGCATTACCCTGATTTCCTTCTTAATGAGGAAGGCAAGGATGGCAAATGTGTGCCATGAGGGTTGCCCTATGCACTCATGCCCATGGCACACATCACAATTAGTCACAGCGCTCTTTGCTGTTCCTGGGCTATGTTGGTTTTGAACTTACCCCTTAGTGCCCTGCTCTTCTCTCTGAAGACACACATTTCATGTAATGGAAGGACCTCTGCTATGAAGAACGCATTGTGTCAGGAGTCTAGGTTCCCACAGCAGCCTTTGGTTTATTTAGAGTATCAAGGGCAGTTTCTTCTTCCTTCCACGCAGGGGTTTCCATCCTTGGCTCCCAGATACATGTGGGCCCTGCTGGTTCAGACACCATTGTTATGAGTGGTCCTGGACTTGAGTCTTCACTCTGCCAAATGACTCACTATGTGACCTTGAATGAATCACTCAGACCCCCTGCAGAACATGCTGCTGTCTATGGAAGGCGGTGGTGGCTTGGAGACTCCAGCTGACATTCTGGACCTGTGTTCTGGGGTGCAGCCACTCTTGCTTGAAGGCTGTATCTGTGAGCCTAAGGGGCAGCGCTGACTCATGCTATGGGCTGTGTCCCCTCTGAGTGAAGGGCACGTGGCCTTCTTGGACTGTCTTTGATCCACAGGAACTGTCCATGGGATCCTGGGGCAAGATCTGTAGAACACAAGGGAAGAGTCTGCAGGACCGCAGTGTGGGAGCCCGGGCTGGCGTGGGAAGGGGCTCTCTGGGCCTTGAGGTGGGCTAGGATCCAGTCCCACACCATGGGGGCTTCCCGCAGGTGCTGCGGAAGGGCCAGGCCATGCCCTCTTGCAGCTGTTGTCGGTAAGGGCTGCCCTGGGCTGGGCACGCAAGCGCTAAGTCAGTGCCTCCCAAAGGGATCAAACCTGTAAAAACGTCTCTTAGCTCACTACACATCACACTGATGTGGGCCATGGCCGGTGACCTCAGTGCCTGCAGGGTGCAGCTCCTCCATCTCATATTTGCTGAGTGGGGCCTGGTGCCAGTTCTGTGCTGAGCATGGATCCGCATTATCTCAGCTGATGCTCGCAACAACCCCATGTGGAAGATATTATGACTCTTTATTCACACTTGGAAGATGAAGAAACTGAGGCTTAGAGAGGTAAAGTTATTTGTCCAAGGCTTCCCAGGCAGGACGTGAGCTGGGGGCTATCTGATTCGGTTCCTTCACCGTCAGCCACTGGGCCCATACTGCACCGTGTGATGACTTTCCTTGGCGAGTATAAAATGGGATTTCACAAGTGAAATGTACATGGGAGCCTGTTGTCATGGCGTTTAGACTCTGGCACAATCTGGGAAGTTGAGTAGATGCTAAGAGCTTAGGAAGCCGCTGCGGGACTGGGAAGAACCCTGGCTTGGGGGTTCTGGCTCTGCTGCTTGCTGGCCCTGTGACCCCAGGCGAGTCATTCTCTTTTCTGAGTCTCAGGTTCTTAATCGGTAAAAGTGGAACGAGACCAATATGCGTTGATGCAAAAACTAAAAGAAGCGATGCCTGTGTACAATCCAGTGTTAACTGTAAAGCATTACAGAGAACATGATCTCCTCTCCCTCCCCCAACTCCACCTACTTCAACCCCCACCCCTACCCCTGCCAATGCCTGGCGTGTGCTGCCTCAGTAAGTGTTAGATGAGTATAGCAGCATGATTTAGCCCCCGCTGTCTGGTTAATATTGTCTGGTTGAGACCATTTGTCCTAAAGGAATACAGAGAAAGGAAAGAGTGTGTCGGGGTGGGAGGGCAAATAGTGGTGATGGAAGCTGAGTTGAGTTTTGCAGGGTGGGGTCTTCTGGATGAGGACAGGTGGGGGAGGGAGAGAGACAGGAACCAGGAGGAGCAAAGTGGAGGTTGGAGAGGTACCACTCTTCACTGCATGCTTGCCACAGGCCAGGCCTGGCACTGGCTGCTTAACAGACCTCATGTTGTTTAATTCTCACACACTTCTACCAGGTAGGCACCTCTATTTCCAGATGAGGAAACCATGGCTCAGAGAGACCAAGTGAGTTACCCGAGGTCACACAGCTCTTCAGTGATGGCACTGGGATTGGAACCCAGGTCTTTCTGGCTTAAAAGTACATGCTTTTAATGAGCCTGCCTCCCCAGGTGAACAATACGAAGACTGCAGGCAGAAAGTGCCTTCGTAAAGGATTTCCCTGCAAGGGAATCAGCCTGGGGCTCCCACCCTTTGGTGTCAGGAGGACGCCTGAGCACTGGACATGAGGAGATGGAGACGAAGCCAGCTGAGCAGGCCCAGGGGACAGTGTGGGAGGAGTTTCCCAGCAGCCCTGTGACTTTGGGAAGGGGCTGCTGCAGAGCGGCCCCCGCTGCTCTGCCCTGCTTGGCCCCTCTGCCATGCTCCGCCTTCAAACTGTGGTGTGCAGGGGCATTGGACTTCCCAGGGGTGCTCTCTACAGATGGTTCAAGGGAGTGAACTTCCAGGTTCTGAAGCATGCATCTGGGATTCTATACTAAGACAGCAGGAGGATGCTGGGCACGTGGCCCTTCCTGCACTTCATGGGAGAGAGGCTTACCTGTCACCCATCTGGAATCCCACTGTGTACAAAACCCCCGAGTGTCAAAGGAAAAATGAGAAATGGTTGGTTATAGAGCAGCCTTCTTCGATGAGGAGCCAGAGTGTCTTAGACCTGCAGCTCTTCTGTCTCTTCTCATCTATAGGAATTTCTATTAAGGGAAATGCTTGGGGCAGGGAGGAATATTTTGATTTCAGAACAACTGAAGTAGGGTAGTTAATGATAGTGATTCTCTTAAGTATAACTAGAATGCTCCCTGGACCTCTAAATTTTTCAAACTATATGGATAAAACCCAGGATGAACATTTTTCTTGTTTTCTTTTGGTTTCAGCATGCTATTCCAAAAGGTAGTTAAACCTATTTTACCAAACCATATCATGAAACATTTATTCCACGTATAGTCAATCCTCGTCTTATAAAATACTTATTATTTTCTTTTCATGAGCAAAATAAGTATTTAAACTTATCGTGAAAAATCTGAAGTGTCAGGCTAACAAAGGGATATGTAGCTTTTCAAAATGATTCAGGAACATGTGAGCACAGAAGTTGGAAGACCACTATGTAACTTCCTTGGCTTGGGTGGTTTTCCCAGTGCCCGTTCATCTGTTCCCTTCTCCCACCCCCTGCTTCTCTCTTTCTTCTCTTAGAATGTTTGAGAAGTATTCCTGATTGCCTGCCATTGCCATTGCCATAATTGACATCGGACACTTTTTCTTTGGGGGAAAAATGGCGCTGCACCGTGGACTGTCTTGTGCCAAATCTTCAGGGAAGTGGGAAACCGAAGGGCTCAGCGCAGGCAGCCGGAAACCATCTTTGACCAAACCAACCTTGTCACACATTTCAAGGGAGTTCTAGATGACAGTCAGATTTCAAGGAATTGTCAGATAGACTTCCTTGTACAAAGTTTGGGTCCCCAAGAAAAGCTTTAAATTGAGAGACAGTTATTGTATTCAGTCAACACTTTTTATTTTCTAATTTTTTATTCTAGCCATCCAAATGGCTGTGAAGTGGTACTTCATTGTGGTTTTGATTTGCATTTCCCTAATGACTGATGCTTTTGAGCATCTTTTCATGTGTTGGCCATTTATATCTTTTCCTTACAGATGTGTTTTTTCAAATCCTTTGCTTAGTTTTAATTGGGTTGCCTTTTTGTTGTTGAATTGTAAGAGTTCATTTTATATTCTGGATTCTAGGCTCTTATAAGATATATGACTTGCACAAATTTTCTCCCATTCTGTAATTTGTCTTTTCACTTTCTTGATAATGTCCTCCTTTTCTGATAATGTCACAATGCACAAAAATTTATAAATTTGATTAAATCTAATTTATTTATTTTTTCTTTTGTTGCTCATGCTTTTGATGTTATATCTACGCCATTGCCAAATCAAGATAATGAAGATTTATGCTGATGTTTCCTCCTAATAGTTTTTTGGTTTTAGCTCCTACATTTAGGTCATTGATTCACTTGGAGTTAAATTTTGTATATGGCTTGAAGTAGGAATTCAACTTTATTCTTTTGCACATTTGTTTCTTTTAAAAGCCTCTGGTGGCTTGTGGCTAAATAAAAAAGGGAGATGGAGATCTGGGAAACTCCGACCTAGAAATATAAAAATGAATGCTGTGAGGAGCATGAGTCTCAATTCATAGATTTCACAATATGGACAGCGTGGATGGATGACATGGGTTTCAAAGTTTCGAAAGCTATATTTGACCTCTGTGGGGAAATCGCCTACTATGTGCCAAGAACAGGGAGAAGCATGAGGCAGTTTATAGATTTTGTAATATGGACAGCTTGGATGGATTACTTGGGTTTCAAATTTCAAATTATATTTGATCTCTGCAGGGAAAGCATCTATGTGTCGAGTACAGGGCTTGGTTCTTCATTGCTCCATAAATTTTATTTTTCTTCCTTCAATAGATTGCATCTACTGAAGAAAGATTATATCTATTGAAGAAAAAAAAGAAAGCCATGGTGTGTGTGTGTGTGTGTGTGTGTGTGTGTGTGTGTGTGTACTTATGTGTACATGATCTCATTTAATTTTCTCAACAGGTTTCCAGAATAGGCAATATTATCTCTATAGATGAATCATTTGTGGCTCAGTGAGGTTGAGTAATATGTGCGAGGTTGCCAAAGCCAGAATATGAATACAGATCATTTTGCAAAGGCTGTATGTGTCAATCATTATAATCTAGATTATGATACAGGAATAAATAATCCTTAAGTATCCATGCTTTATAACCACAGAAGTTTTTGTCTCATGTTACATGTTCAGCCTGGATCATATCATCTTCACTCTATGTCTCAGCCTGATAGAGCGGGCTGTTTCCGGAATATCCTTTGTCTTATGGCTTTGGGAAAAGAGAACATGGCAAACCATGTGCTGGGTCTTACAGGTTCTGCTTGGAAGTGACACATGTCACTTCCCCTCACTTTCATTAGCCAGAAAAAAATCATGGTGGGCCAGGCGAAGTGGCTCATGCCTATAATCCCAGCACTTTGGGAGGCCGAGGCAGGAGGATGACTTGAGGTCAGGAGTTACAGACCAGCCTGGCCAACATGGTGAAACCCCATCTCTACTAAAAATACAAAAATATTAGCCAGCATGGTGGCGCATGCCTGTAATCCCAGCTACATGGGAGGTAGAGGAACGAGAATCGCTTGAATCTGGGAGGCAGAGATTACAGTGAGCTGAGATCGTGCCACTGCACTCCAGCCTGGGCAACAGAGAGAGACTCCATCTCAAAGAATAAATAAATAAAATAAATCACATGGTGAAGCCTGACATCTGAGAGAGGGGGAAGTATAATTTGTACCCAGGAGAAGCAGCAAAAATGATGAACAATAATAGACTCTGTCACAGGCCTCCTCCCCTCTTGTAACAAATACTTGCTTTCCTTCTCCTCCCGTATATACAACATACTTACCTTTCCCCAAAGTCCTGTCCAGTCATGGTACCAGGCTCCAAGTCCAAGATCTTGTGATCATCTCTATACTAAGTCAGGATGTGACTCCTCTTCATCCAAAGACTAGTGAACTTTAAAACAATCATATACTTCCCCACCCCACCACCAAAATACATACTCAATATACCATGATAGATAAGGGACAGGATAACCATAACAAACACTTCCATTTGGAAAGAGGAAGACTGGGAGGCACAACAGTCACTGATCCATAACAGTTCTGAAATCAGGCTGGACACATGTTGCAAGAGGCGCCTAGGATGGGGAACGTTCCTTCATGAGGCCCTGATGCCACCTCCTGCCAGTAGCTCTCCATTCATTTTCCCTGTGTGGCTTTGAGCTCCACACTCTGGGAGGTCCTGCCCTTCCTTTTCCCTTATTCTTAGCCACATCTGGAGAGGGCATCAGAGAATATGCCCTTCATGGGGGCAGCTTTTTCAGCCTGTTTCTTTCCCATACAAGGATGGAGGCCCAAGGGTCATTTTGTGTCATTTTAAGTGTCAAACATTAGCAGCCTCTTATAGGCCATGCTAATGACTTTTTTTGGTCCTACGCTTTTCTACAACATTAATCATCTTCTTATCTGTTTGGTTCAGCTGTGTGTGCCATAGCCACATACAGTTATTTTCTAAACATGTCTATCTCTCTCCAGACTTAATTATTGCTACCTTGCACTTATGAAGCTTCTGCGAGAGAAACACATTCTTAGTTTTCTTTATCTGAACAATTCTTTCTCAACTGAAAGGATTTACCAGGTACCATCTTGGTTGGTTCTTGCTACAAGGTTGAATTTTTTTTCTTTAACAGACATCTTGAGTATAATTTACATGCTGTGTAATTCACTTATTGTAAGTGTACATGCGATTTTAGTAAATTTATAATTGTGTAACCATAACTACAATCCAGTTCTAGAGCATTTCCAGCAACCCCCAAATTTCTGCATGTTCATTTACAGTCGATCCTTGTTTCTGCCCCCAGTCCTAAACAATTACAAATATTTCTACTTCTATAAATTAGCCTTTTGTAGACATTTCATATCAATTGAATCATATAATATGTAGTGTTTGGCAACAGTTATTTCATTTCGTATGATGTTTTTGAGATTCATACACGTTGGAGCCTGTGTCTATAGTTTGTTCCTTTTAATTGCTACATAGTTCTGTTGTATAGATATGCCACGTTGTGTTCATCCATTCAACAGCTGATGGACATGTAAGTTGTTTCAAGATTAGGGCTATTAGAAAGAAGGCTGCCATAAACCTTTGAGCATGTCTTTGTATGAACATGTGTTTTCATTTCTTTTGGAAAGATCCCTAGGAGTTGAATTGCTGGGTCTCACGATAAATTTAAGTTTTCAGGTTTTTTCGTTTTTTTTTTTTTTGAGACGTAGTCTCGCTCTGTCGCCCAGGCTGGAGTGCAGTGGCGCGATCTCGGCTCACTGCAAGCTCCGCCGCCCGGGTTCACGCCATTCTCCTGCCTCAGCCTCTGGAGTAGCTGGGACTACAGGCGCCCGCCACCATGCCCAGCTAATTTTTTTCTATTTTTAATAGAGACAGAGTTTCACCGTGTTAGCCAGGATGGTCTCGATCTCCTGACCTCGTGATCCGCCTGCCTCAGCCTCCCAAAGTGCTGGGATTACAGGCGTGAGCCACCGCACCTGGCTAAGTTACTTTTTAGAGAACCTTCCAGTTTTCCATAAAGGCTGTTCTTGACACTACAATGCTGAATTTTCATCAACCTCTGTTACTCGAAGTTCTCAGCTTTCTTTTTTTCTGTAGTTATGAGGATAGGTTAGCTCTTCCAACTTTCTAAGACCCTGAAGTTTTGGACTCTCTATTCTTTGTCATTCTTATAAAAATTGTCATTTTCGAGCCTGTTTCTTTCTTGTAGAACCTTGTCAAACATAGTTAATAACAACCAAGGCATGCTATCAGCATTCTTAGTCCATGTCTTCATTTGAAACCATAGCGCATTCAGTTCATCATCTGCCTTCCGAGTGAAGGCAGGCAACACTTTGACTAAATACTTCGTCACCGTCACTGCATAACATAGAGATGACTTCCTTTCAGCCTCTAGTAACAGTTTCCTTGACACCTGGCCCAAAGGCAATGGATTTTTGTTACAGAACATACTATTTCTGATAGCAATTTCTGTATTAGTGAGGATAAAGAGACTGTGCTCCAGTAATGAATGCCCATGAATCTCAGAAGATTATGAAAACAACATCACACCTGTAATCCCAGTGTTTTGAGAGGCCGAGGCAGGAGAATTATTTGAGACTGCACAACATAGCGAGACCCTGTCTGTACAAAAAAAATTATAAAATTAGCCAGGCGTGGTGTCACATGCCTGGAGTCCTAGCTACTTGGGCAGCTGAGGTGGGAGGATTGCTTGAGCCCAGGCTTTCAAGGTTGCAGTAAGCTATGATCGTGACACTGCACTCCAGACTGGGCTACAGAGCAAGACTCTGTCTCTCTTAAAAAAAAAAAAATCCATCCCCCAACAAAAAAAACAGTGTTTTCATTTTTTAATCCATGCTGCATATCCATCCTGATAAGCCACACTGTGCTATACATCATCTTTATTCCAGAACCTAGGGTGATCCCCATGAACCCAGATGAACCCCATCTGGAACATTGCTTGTCTTCTGGGACAGGGCAAAGAGGATGCAGTGAATCATGCACTAGCTCTTAAAGCTTCTGCTCACACTGAATTAGAGCAGGCTGTGTGGCCAATCCTGACACCAATGGGGCAGTGAGCTATAATCTTTCCCCAGGGAAGGGCAACAAAAATTATGAGCAACAGTATAATTTATCACATTATTCGTTTTCTTCTACATCTTGGGGACCATAAAGAAGAAAGAAGCAGCTGTCTTTTTGTGGTAGTTTTGCTCAGAGCTGCCTAGAGCGAGGACAAGACAGGTGACCTTTCAAAATACCTTACAGACTTAGGATTTGGATTTTCATGGTGGTTGGCACAGCCCCAGGCTGCACAGAACTAATACCTGCTGTTCCTCTGCCTCCACCAGCCCTATCTCTTAGGCTCAAGGAGAAATTTTACTGGATGGGCTGTCTTTTCCAAAGTTTACCACCCAACACCCAATGCCCTTTGGGGCATTAGTGAATCCATTTTTCTTGACTTCTAGCATAAATTCACCCACTTATGTGTTTCCTTCCCAGCTGTCTTTTGGGGAGACATTGCCTTAGATGAAGATGACTTGAAGCTGTTTCACATTGACAAAGCCAGAGACTGGACCAAGCAGACAGTGGGGGCAACAGGACACAGCACAGGTAGGTACTGCTTCCTCCCTTCTCCTGCCCAGATGGGAGGGATGAGGGACTTCAGCAGGGGGAGATGTGGTCCACGAGTCATCGGTGTTTGACTTGCTAGTCTAATGCCCCCCTATTTGTGGAAAATCAGAGGGGTCACTTCTCCTTCTCCACTGGAGCCAGTGGAGCTGGGGCTTCCAAGTTTGCTGATTCATCTAAGAAAATCTCCATTTGCCTCTTTATCAGAGGGTTCAGGCTGGAGCTCGGCATTTGTTCTTAGGACTCTGGCCTCGGGGTTCAGCACTTTCCAGATTGGAGAGTCAAGTGAAATGTAAACAGAAAACCATAACACCTCATAGCAAGTGTGTGAGAAACCAAGAGCAGTGGGAAGACAGAGAGTGAGTGGAGAAGCCTGCCTGGTGTCATGTGAATGGGCACTTGTGTGTGGTGTCTTGAAGGGTGAGTAGGAGTCCTGAGTAGGAAAAAAGGGCTCTTCAGGTGGAAGGAGAGTCTTTTGCAAAGGCAGAAAGTATGGGGGGACTCTCCTTATTTGAGGAACAGAGGTAAGGTACAAGTCACTGGAGGGCAGCCCTTTGGGGTGGGCTGTGGCAGGAGATGTGTCTGGAGAAGTTAGCTGGGGTAGACAGTGAAGGGCTTGCCTGTTGAACTCATGAGCTTGGGCTTTGCCCACTGGGCTGTAGGGGTTCTGGTGAACAGGAGCATGACTTGCTCATCTTGAAATCAGGGGTGCCTTGATGGAGTCTCCTCTCCCACTGCTCTCTGCAGCCCACCAGGTGCCCTTGGGGTGCTGGGTTCCTGGCTGCCTGCTTGGGCAGCTTCACTATGCTGATTGCAGTGGGGATGGTGCTGGGGGGAGGGTTGTATCAGGCAACCCCTCTTCCAGGCTGCTCATGTATGTGGTGACATCCAGGAAGATCTCTGGAACCTGGAGGGAAATGTGTGGGCATGTGCCCAGGGCAGGGGCACCTCCCACGGTTCATGAGGAACCAGAGCAGCTACAGGGACCTGCCTTCAAAGCTCCCTGCAGGGGTTGGTGGATGAGGGCTGACATTGCCAGGAGGTCACGGGGACCTCATCGCCAGTGGCTGGGAGGAAGGTGGGGCAATTATGTACTTTAGGATTTCTTTTTGGTGTCTTGTTTCATGAGTGTCATTTCTTAGGATTTTTGAGGTCTCGTATAAGGTTTGAAATTCTATTCACATTTTAAATGGAGTTTTCAATTATTTTTAATACCAATATATTCAGAACTTTACTTAAGCTCTTACTAAAGGAAGCATCTTTGCATAATTCTACCACTCCATCTAATCACACTTTTCTCCCCAGCTCTTACCTGGAGGCCTGGAGAAGCTGACCTGACTGTAATCTTGTATGTGTAGTTAAAATAGTTTTAAAACTTTTTTGATGGTGTTACTTAAAAATAGTGAACTTCATGTATCTCAAACATACAGCATGATGAACTTTTACATATGTACACGCCCATGGGACCACCACCCACACCAAGATAAGGAACATTCCAGACCCCAGAGACTCCTCACATCCCTCCCAGTTAATACGTGTCCCAAAGTAGCCACTGGTCTGACCTCTATCACCCCAGACTCCTTTTACCTGCATGGAGTCGTACAGTCTGTATTACTGTGTCTGGTTTCTTTTGTGCAGCCTGTGACTGAAATTCACTCACATTGCCGTGTTGCTCTTTTTCATTGTTATGCAGTATTCTATTGTATGAACGGACTCTGGTTTATTTGTTCTTCAGTTGACAGACATGTGGGCAGTTTGTGGTTTGGGCTACGATAAATAAAGCTGCTGCAGTCATTCTTGGACGTAGTGTTTTGGTGAACACGAGCACTCATTTCCACTGGGCCTGTGCCCAGGAGTGGGGGTGCTGGGTCATAGGGCACACACAGTTCAGCGTTAGTAGGTACTGTCGTAGAGTTCTCCAAAGTGGTTGTACCACTTTACGCTCTAAGTGGGTGCATACTCATTTAGAAGACAGGAGTGGTGTCTGTGCAGGATCCAGTAAGGCTTTGAGTCTTGGTCTCCCCGGTTTGGGTCTCACTGGCTTGACGCCGGCCCACCATCAAGAATGCTCAGGGTTGCCTTTCTCAGCTGTCCTGCTGTCCTTGGGGGCCCAAGGTTGGCAGATGGGAGTGAGAGACCCCAAAGAGAGGCAGGGCAGTGGCCAGCCACCACGCCAGCTGCATACCCGGCTGCTAGAGGGTTGTGTTGAGGGAAGGCTGCCTGAGGATGCTGTGGTGGAGGAAGCCCAGCAGCCCTGCCTTCTCCCTCATGCCACTTGCTCAAGGTGGACATGACCTAAGAATTTGGAGGCCTGTCTTCTCCCTTCTCTCCAGTGAGCTGATAGAGCTGATAGAGCACAGAGCCTACATCCTGCCTGGATTTAGATCCCCCAGAGTCTGGGCCAGGACCTTGTACCCAGAAGGTGCTGGCCAACATCAGCAGAGAGGAGATGGAGGCAGATGAAGATGGCAGACCCTGGAGCCGTCTCCCAGGGCCTTAGAGATCCAGAGCCTCAGCAGGGCTTTGCTCCCAGAAGGGTGGTGAGAGTGCTGACCGTGGTCACAGGCTTTGGGTCAGACTGCCTGGACTTGCATCCTTAAGCTGGGCCTCAGTTTCTTCATCTGTCAAATGCAAATAGCAATAATCCTTACCTCAGAGTAATGCTGCGAGGATGAAAAGAAAGAATATGTGCAAAGTGCTTAGCACAGTGCCTGGCACATAACAAATGCTTAATACATTTCATCTGCTTCCTCCTCATTATTATTAATATTTGCAGAGAGAAGACTGACCTGGGAGGGTTTACGATTAAAGTGGAGAGTGGGGAGCTGGGCATTCACCCCTGTGGTCCCAGCTACTTGAGAGGCTGAGGTGGGAGGATCGCTTGAGCCTGGGAGATCGAGGCTGCAGTGAGCAAGATCACGCCACTGCACTCCAGCCTGGGCGACAGAGCAAGACTCTGTCTCAAAAAAAAAAAAAAATTAAAATTAAAATTAAAACAAGTGGAGAATGAGGGAAATTTGCTGTGTACATAGGGAATGTGGGGCCTTAGGAATGAGGCCTTTGAAATATATATCATACTTGGTGTTTCTTCCTTCCCAAGCTTGATATTTTTTTTTCTAGTGTGTTTTTATGGCAAAGTGATTTTTATCCTGATCATTTTTCTCTGAGGTCCAATAGTACTTTGCGTCTACCTAGAATAGTATGAATAGTTATTTTATCGTCAGAATGGGAATATTTTTTATTGTTTTTGTTGATTAAACTAATGCTGCTTGTTGTAAAAAAAAAAAAAAAAAAAAAAGTCCAGTAGCTCATAATTGTATAAAGTGGAAGATGAAAATCCCCTGTTATCCCAGCCCCAAAGATCCCTGGCATTACCAGTTTGCTGGATTCTTTCCAGACTTAATGTGCTCAGGCTGTGTGTGTGCATGTTTGCGTGTGTGTGTGTGTGTGTGTGTGTGTGTGTGTGTGTGTGTAACATAAAAGGGATTAGGGATTTTACTCAATGTGCTTTGGTGTTGTCTGAATTTTTTACTTAACACTTTATCATGGACATCTTGTCATGCAGCACGTTGTGGTCTCTCTTATTTTAACGGCAGTAGTGATTCAATGTGCAACTCTGCCATGATTTACCTAACTAAGCCATTATAGATAAATGTGAAGATTGTTTCCCATTTTTTTTCTGTATTTTTTTTTCCTCTTAGAAGCAATGTTTCTATAAATAACTTTCTGCATGTATCTTTAAACATTTGTTTTAATTTTAAAAATCACAGGCCAGGTGCGGTGACTCACACCTGTAATCCGAGCACTTTGGGAGGCCGAGGCAGGCGGATCACTTGAGGTCAGGAGTTCAAGACCAGCCTGGCCAACATGGTGAAACCCTGTCTCTACTAAAAAATACAAAAATTAGCCGGGCATGGTGGTGGGTGCCTATAGTCCCAGCTACTTTGGAGGCTGAGGCAGGAGAATTGCTGGAACCCGGGAGGTGGAGGTTGCTAGTACGATTTCACTAGCCAAGATCGTACCACTGCACTACATCTGAGTGACAGAGTGAGACTCCGTCTCAACAACAACAACAACAACAAAAATAAAATATATATATATATATATACATATAAAATTAAAAAGGAACCACACCTTTATCCTCTTTTCCTACTTCCAAATGTGTGGGAAGATGTATTCTTAGATGCAAGTTAATCTCATTTCCAAGCTTTGGTAAGTGCCTCTGTGTATTAGTCTATTTTTACTCTGCTGATAAAGGTGTACCCGAGACTGGGCAATTTACAAAAGAGAGAGGGTTAATTGGACTCACTGTTCCACGTGGCTGGGGAGTCCTCACAATCATGGTGGAAGGCAAGGAGGAGCAAGTCACATCTTGTGTGGATGGCGGCAGGCAAGGAGAGCTTGTGCAGGGAAACTCCCATTTTTAAACCCGTCAGATCTCGTGAGACCCACTTACTATCATGAGAACAGCATGGGAAAGACCCGTCCCATAATTCAATCATCTCCCTTTGGGTCCCTCCCACAACACTTGGAATTACGGGAGCTGTAAGATGAGATTTGGGTGGGGACACAGAGCCATCCTGTTTCTTTTGTTGGAGGGTAGGGAGAGGGCTCAAGGGGAGAGGTCTGAGGTCCCTGGAGGGAGACATGGGGGGAAGGGCCCAGAACCCTGCAGTGCAACCCCAGAGGCCTCCTTTGCCTGTTTATCCTGTGATCTTGGCACTGCTTTTTTGGCTGCAGAAGGAAACCATGTCAGTTGCCCTAGAGGTGACCCAGTCAGCCTCATTTGCTAGATGTGCCCAAATTTATTCAGTAGCAGAATCAGGACTAGAACCCAAGTTTGTCAACTCCAGGGTTGCTGTGTCTTCTACTTTACCAACCTGCCCATCATATTGCCAGCTAGAGGAGCTGAGAACAAGAGTGCAGGTGGTTATTCCTTTGTTGTCACTTGTAAAGTAGGCTGGAGTCTTTCTGTGCCAATGGTGAGGCAAGACCTTATGCCTGGGTTGGCTTAAGAGCCCACTTAGTGCACTGCAGTGTCCACAAAAAGCCACTGACAGCTTTAGGATTCACAGCAGGGAGCATGTCTTCTGTTCACTTGGGGCCACGAGCTGTGTTGATTTCATGCCAATTTGTCTTCCTGCCTCTAGTCTCTCTTACTCCGTTCTGCTTCTAGCTTATCTTTCTGGCAACCTTGTGACCACTGTAGTGGGTCCTCCCAAAACCCATGTCTACCTGGAACCTCAGAATGTAATCTTATTTGCAAATAGAATCTTTGCAGATCTAATTAGTTAAGGATCTTGAGATGAGATCCTCCTGGATTTAGGGTGGATCCTAAATCTATTGACTGACATGCTTATAGGAAAAGAAGAGGACAGACAGAGAAGGCCATGTGAAGACAGAGGCAGAGATTGAAGTGATGCAGCCACAAGCCAAGAACACCAGGGTTGCCAGGAGCCACCGCAAGCTAAGCAGAGACAAAGGTGGATTCTCCCCTAGAGCATTTGGGGAGAATGCTGCCAACACCTGGCCTTCAGACTTCTAGCCTCCAGGATTGTGAGAGAATAGAGTTCTGTTGTAAGCCACTCAGTTGTAGATTGCATGGCAGTCCTAGGAAACGAATACTGCTGTGCTGTTTAGAGCCTTCAATAGCTCCCCCTTGCTTATTAGAAACATTCCTTGGTCGGACTCTTAAGGCCCTTCATGCTATGTCCACAACCTGTGTATCCAGCCTCTCTTCCCACTCCTGGTCCTCTAGCCAAATGCAATGATGTGCCTGTGCAGGCCCCCAGTTTCCTTCCTTACAGCCTCTGTTCTAGCTGCTCCCTCTGCTCAAAGTCCCCATTCTACACATAAGGAAATGAAGACCCCCAGAAAGGTTGGATGACCCATTCAAGCCTCTTTATCCATCTCTACCCAGCTGCATTTGTGATGCCTCTTTGCTCTGCATGCCTCCCAGCTTGGGGAGATGGCCTGGGTAGATGGTGCTATTAAAATTGGCCACATTTTGTGCTTGGGATGGAGAGAACTGCTATTTCTCCCCCATTCTCCGATGGGCCCATTCCCTTGTCATGGGGCTGCTGGAGGATGTGGCAGCCGCATTTTGGATGTGTGTGGGGGCAAGGCGGCAAGAAAGGATTCTTCAGGGAAAGAAAGTCTTCTGTGTGCATTTTATTTGCAGTGAGAAGAATGGGAGTCCTGGGCAGGCATTGGCCACGCTGTTCTATGAATGGGGCCCTTGAATTAACATTACAGAGTTTCCTAAAGCTGCTAATCGGATTAGCTGTGTAGTGAAGGAAGTACTTAGTGGGAGACACACACAGACACACACACAGGCGCGCATACACTTTCCGACCCTCTTGCACCCTTTTCGATACGAGAGTGGCTGAACCTGACAGCCCCATTCCTGAGTTCTTAGACACCTCTCCTGTTAGCCACAGGAGATGTGGAGGAGAAGCCTGTGTGGCTGATGCTTTGAACTTTCTGTTTGTTTGTTTGTTCCCCAAAGAGTCCAGGAAGTCTGCGTTGGGCACATCCATCTTTGTAAATGTACCTGAAAAGGAAATCTGGATCTGATTTCTTGATGTTTGTAATGAGGACTTTAAAAGGGGAAATGGTTTTAATTACTTATTGGCTCGGATGGAAGTTGATGTTTCCCGCCTCATCTATTCTGAGCCACGGGGCCATGTCCATCTCTATTTAAGAAATCAACCTTGCTCTAAATCCTCACTTCCTAAACTCCTGCCATCTGTGTAGGATGTCTGCATAACCCCAACAGTTTAGGTATTGGGTTTAAAATAATACATTAGCAGGAGAGACTCTGAGACATGTCCCCTCTCTGGGCCCTGTCTCTGAATCATGGGGACGCTTTCTTTTTTCATTGTATTTATTTTATTTTTTGAGACAGAGTCTCTCTCTGTTGCCCAGGCTGGAATGCAGTGGCATGATCTCTGGTTCAAGCAATTCTCCTGCCTCAGCCTCTTGAGTAGCTGGGATTTCAGGCGCCCATCACCATGCCCAGCTAATTTTTGTACTTTTAGTAGAGACAGGGTTTCACCACGTTGGCCAGGCTGGTCTCGAACTCCTGATCTCAAGTGATTCACCTGCCTCAGCCTCCCAAAGTTCTGGGATTACAGGGATTAGCCAACACGCCCAGGCTTGGATTCTTTCTTTACCCACAGACCCTTTGGTTCCTAGAGTTCCTATCTGTACTCTGTCCATGACTTTGAGTGGCACACATTACTCTCACCTGGTCTCAGTGTTCCCATCTGATTGGGGGGGGCTGATGGAACCACATTCTAACTTCCTTCAAGCCAGTTTGAGCTCTGGATTTGAGTGCTGGTGTTTCAGGCTAAAGAAAAGAGGGGAACCAAAGGCTATCAGGCATTACAGGGCTAAAGGTAGGCATTGAACACCAGTGCATACCCAAGAGATACCCAATGTCCAGAATCAGAGAACTTGGATTTAGGGTTTCTGGGCTCTGCTTTCCAAGGTTTGAGGCTCTAAAAAGAGATCCAACATGTTTCTGTTCCCAGCATATTTTTAACTTTGAAGCTTTTTTTTCTTTTTTTCTTTTTTTTGAGACAGGATTTTGCTGTGTCACTCAGGCTGGAGTGCAGTGGTGCACTGCAGCCTCAACCTCCTGGGTTCAAGCCATCCTCTCACCTCAGCCTCCTGAGTAGCTGGAACCACAGGCACATGTCACCGTGCCTGGCTAATTTTTGTATTTTTTGTGGAGACGAGATGTCATGTTGTTTCCCAGGCTGGTCTTGAACTCCTGGGCTCAAGCAATCCTCCTGCCTCAGCCTCCCAAAGTATTGGGATTATAAGTGCGAGCCACTGCACTCAGCCCAACTTTGAGGCTCTTGAGAGAGCTTATAGATGGGGCTGTGATTTTTCAGCCTCTGCCCCTGTGCAGACATTCCCCAAGCTTTGTAGACATGGCTTCCTCATTTCACTAGTTTTATTTGTTGGGGTAGGAGTGCTACTGACTGCCAAGTGTCCAAATGAGAATGGGTCAGTGGGGGGCTCCCTATGATATCCTACAGAAGGGACGATGTCTCGATTTTGTGAATGAACGTCAGGCTGGACTCTTGCTGGGCCAGTTCATTGGATTCAAGTCTGTCTTCTCTCACGTCATGCATTGCCAAGTGCCATCTCTGAGAAATCTCAGGGCCTCTGCTGCCAGGGCCACAGGTTTGGAAATCTGAAGAGTCACAGGGGCCCATCAGGGAGCTCTCTTACACATCCCTGTCTTTCCTCTGTCTCCTCCAAAGCTAGGTGAGGAGGGGGTCCAGAGAAGAAGGTCCTGGTGGCCTCTTTTCTCTAAGTATGTTGTGCGTGACATTTTGAGATTCACAGACTCCTTTGAGAATCTGACGAACATTATGAACCTTCTCGTAGGTACACACACACACGCACGCACACAGACACACACACAATCGTGCTTGCAGTTTTCAGATTGAGATCCATGGATCTCAAGTTACGAAATTCTGACCCCAGTCCTGTCTTTGGTGTGCCTCCCCACTGTTGGAGCTGCGACCATGGGCATCAGGACCTTGGAGGGCTGCAGTGTGGGAAGACGTGGGTGTCGGAGCCCAGCAGGCCTGAGTTTGCGTCTCTGGCTCTGTACTGATTCTCTGTGGGACTCAGGGCAACTCATTCCTTATTTGTAAGATGGAATAATAGTACCTGCCTCACAGCGAGGATTAAATAAGTGTGACACGTAAAACACTTATTCCAGCGTCTGACACCAAAAATAATAACAGTAATACCCGCAGGGTTGGCCCTTTGCTGGCTCTCTTGTCTTCTCTTCTCTATGCGACCCCCAACTTCTGTGTCCCAAATCCCATGCTTCCTAAGTGTCCAAGTCTCTTGGAATTCTTCATTTTAGTACTCTTCCGGAACCTGCAGGGGACTCTGGAGCAGGGCCTGTATCAGTGTGCTCTATCAGATGCTTGGATTTGGATTCCAACCAGCACATGGGAAATCTCTGAATCAATCTCCAACATAAAGACTTCCCAAGTGGCCGGGTGCGGTGGCTCACGCCTGTAATCCCAGCACTTTAGGAGGCCAAGGCAGGTGGATTGCTTGAGGTCAGGAGTTCCAGACCAGCCTGATCAACATAGTGAAACCCCATCTCTACTGAAAATACAAAAAAAAATTAGCCAAGTGTGGTGGCAAACACCTGTAATCCCAGCTACTCAGGGGGCTGAGGCAGGAGAATCACTAGAACCTGGCAGGCAGAGGCTGCAGTGAGCTGAGATCGCACAACTTGCACTCCAGCCTGGGCAACAGAGCAAAACTTTGTCTCCCCCCTCAAAAAAAAAGACTTCCCAAGTTGTCCTGAGCCACACTCTGGGGTCATCACAAAGTTGGCCAGAGAGGGATCTGAGAATGGATTCAATGCTGGTTCCTCTTTAGTAGTAACAGTGAAAGAATGAGAACAAGTACCATTTGTTATGTCAATTATGGGCTAAATGCTTTATAGACATGATTTTATTTAATCTTCACACAACAGTTCTATGTGGTAGGTACTATTAGTACGTGTAGGTGTGGAAATGAATTTTCAGAGAGGTAAGTAAGCTGTTGGTGAGCATACAGCTAATCATTGGCAGAGCCAAGATTAGGACTCTAGTCTTTGAAGTGTCAGAGGCCCTGTGTTTAGCTCCTACACTCCATTGCTTCTAGAAACAGACACTGGCATCACTTCTAACCCTGTTCCCTTGAGCTGCTGACGACTTAGGCTCTCCATCACTCCCCTAGAGAGGTGCTGGGGGTGCACAGGATGTGTTTTGCAGGCTTATGGGTGCTAAACCTCATCCTGCCTGCTATTATTTATTCAGCATCTGCCCGACCCATCAACCAGTCTGTCAACAGCAGTGACAGTCTGGCCTTTCTTCTTTTATTCCAGCATCAGGCTGGGCACATCAGTGGTGTCAGACAAACACGTGTGAACTGTGGATGGAGCCAGGAGGCTCAAGACTGCCTGATGGCCTTGCCTGCTCTCCTGCTCCCCCATGAGGCTGTCAGGGGTAGGATGGATTGTTTGAATGTGTGATGCCTCTGACCCCCGGCTGGGGATGGGTACCAGCAGCAAGAGAAATTCTCAGGCTCAGGGATGGAGCTGGGCAGGCCCACATCACCTTGCAGAGAGTGTCTGGAAAGGAGACCCTTTAGCCATGTGGTCATTAGCTTCTCTTTACAGGGCCCTTTGTACAGATTCTCAGATGGAAAATGTGGTCCTTAGGTCTGCAAGCCGGGGAGAGCTTGCTGGGGTCTCTGTGGACTTTCAGTCTTTCTTTCTCAGACCTTTGGGGGTGTCCAGCTGGCCCTCATCATCACCCTGCCCCGCCCACAAGAGTTCTTGGCTCCCACCGGTCAGAACTTGATCTTCACATGGTGCCCTCCTAGCCTGTCATTCCCCACACTCTTCCCTGGGATCGACCCCACAGCTCTGCTGCCTCTCTGATGCCAAATTCATGATTAGAATTGCTTTCTCTCTATCTCTCCTTCCTTATGTAAAATATGCTAATTGAGGACCTCTTCTGTGCTCAGCACCAAGGATACAGCAGTAACCACTTTTTCTCCCACCATTAAGGAGATTGTGTTTTTAAGATGGGAGTGATGATTGTCGTGCTCTGGGAGCACTGGAGGAATGGGTCAGATTGGAGGGTGGGATCTGGGATCAAAGCCCCCACTGGGTTGGGGGAGCCACTGCCCTCTCATGGCAGGCTTCCCCCACACCTACGGGGAAGGCCCCAGGTGACAGCTGTCACCCAGGCGGGAGGCTGGTGGTGGGGGTCCAGCCTGGGTGCACAGGGCCCCACCAGAGGCAGAGCAGAGGCACAGACACAGGGAGGCTGGGGTGTGTGGGCCAGAGACCCAGGCAAATCCCATCAGAAAGGCTGTAAGCAGGCTTCTTCTTCCATGCTGGGAGCTCAAAAGAACAAGGCAAGAGCGACTGGTTCTTGTAGGAAGTAAGGATTAGGGAGGAAAGCAGAGAGCTGGCCTGAGAGAATAAGATGGCTGCAAGAGTCAGAAATAATACAGAAATCCACAAGTCAATATCGGAGCCCAGGTCAGAGTCAGACCGGAGGGAAGGGTAGTGTGCTGCTGAGACTCTCGTGTGTTGAGTCCAAACCCCTGAAATCCCTCTGTCAGAGGACAGGGCTGGCCCCAGAGCCAGGGCTGGGCTCAGCCCGCAGAAAGCAATCAGCAGGTGCTAGCTGGAAAGGAGGGGGATGTCAGCACAGGAACCAGGCGCAGCCTGGCAGTTATTCCACCCATGAAGTTTTGAATTTAGTGAGATGATTTGAGATGATAAGGAGGCATCTGATAACGTGCACATCTGCTCTTTGGGAAGGAAAAAGAATGCAGCATAAGGAGTTGATCATCTCATCCTCCAGGGCCTCATTCAGGGGCTGACTTATACCTTGGATTGAAGCCAGAGTTCACTGAGAACTTGAAGTGTTGGGAAAAGCAAATTCACCTTTAAGTTAATTTTCATTACGAGCGTGTTTGTCAGGATTTGGAGAAGCTGGGCTGGGACTCCACCTGGGGCCACGGTGGGGTGCAGGGCCAGGTGGGGCAAGGGTGGTGCCTCCTCTTGAGTGTCCATCCAGGGAGTGGGTATCCTCATGAACCATGAACCTGAGAGCCTGAATCAAAATTGGGAGATGAGCTTAAGAAATTGGGACAAACAAGAGTTTAGTACCTGACGTTCTAGCCAAGGCTCTTTAGTTGTGAGATACAGAATCCCACTCAAGATAGCTCAAATAGAGGAGCGTCTTTTAAGAGTATATTCTCGTGGCCCTATAAGAACAGAGGCAGAGTAGAACTGGCCTCTTGGGGACTGGACTAGGAATTGGAGAGAAAGGAGCAAGGCTGATCTCTCTTCTCAGGGGCCACGAAGTACCTCTCATTTTTGTTTTGTCTCCTCTTCTTGCACCTGCCCCTCATGGCCAGCCTGCTGGAGCCTCTGTCATGATCCCTTGGCTGCAGTGTCCCCTACTGAATGCCTCCGGCAGCTACCTATGTAAGGCACTGTGGGAGTTCTGAGAATGGAAGAGATCTCTAAGGGAGGGGGTTATAAAATGAGCGAAGCAGAAGGCTGACAAGGCGTGCTGGGGAGGGAGGACGTGGAAATGAAGTAATAATGGGAGCAGATGGTAGGTCCACGTCTGTGGCGCAAGAGAATGAATGAATGAGGGAGAAGCTTCTGGTTTGGGGAGGTGATGGGCGAGTGAACTGACCCCCGGGGTAGCCCAGCTTCCTTTTGAGTTCACCTGGCTTTAAGGACCAAGCCTGGGAGTACCACCCCCACATGGCCATTTATAATGCTGTTGTCATGGGAAAATACTTTGAGTTCTCACCAGCCATCTTAATACATGGAACTTGGGGACACAGTCTCATGAGTGCTGGGGATCACGTGTATCATATGTATCAGTTGAGGATTCAGTCTTTGGCCTCTCAGCTTTGACCAACAGAAAGACTGTGTCTCAGCCTCTCAAGCATCCCCCTTTTGGTTTTTCTTAATCTGATTCCACTCTTCCTTTTTTAAACTGTGTATGTATTTTTGTTTGTATTTATTGAATGGAGTTCTATGTTTCTTGTTCTTAAATAGTAGTTGATATCTAAAGCAGAATGAAATGAAATAAACCCTACTAAAGGCTTTTTACTTATGTAGCCTCCAATACATTTTCGCAGTATAGTGTCATATATAGAAAAAATGTTTCTTACCATGACTTATAAGAACACTGTGGTGAATTCTTGTTGACAAAATAAAAGATCTTTTATGGCCAGGCATGGTGGCTCACAGCTGTAATCCCAGCACTTTGGGAGGCTGAGGCAGAAGGATCACGTGAGGCCAGGAGTTTGAGACCAGCCTGGGGAACATAGCAAGACTCTGTCTTGACAAAAATAAAAAGTAAAAGTAAATAGCCAGGTGTGGTGGCATATATCTGTAATCCCAGCTACTTGGGAGGCTGAGGTGGGAGGAGTGCTTGAGCCCGGGATTTCCAGGCTGTATGGTGAGCTATGATTGTGCTTGAGCCTGGGATTTCCAGGCTGCGGTGAGCCACTGCTCTGCAGCCTGGGTGACAAAGCAAGATGCTGTTTCTAAAAAAATACCTCCCCCAAATCCCTAAATTTTTAAACTTAGCATCTTAGTTTTTGTAAAGCTATATATATTTGCTCTTGTATTTCCTAACCTCTTTTTAGATGGGTCTACTTTGTTACAGCTGGAAACTGACCTTTGTTGCAAATGCATTTGCTGCTCAAACATGTTCTTACTGGGCATGATAATGAACTAAACTAATTTTTTATAAAACCAGTGCCACCATTCTTAGGGCTACCTATGACATGACAGACCTTGAAGATGTTACTTCACCTTGGGGGACCTCGGTTTCCTCATCTATAAAATGGAGTGCTGGACTCTAAGCTTCCTGAGGTCCAAGAATGAGTCCTTTGGTTCTTTTGCCAAATTCCCTGAGTGTAATGGGGACTGGATACATGGTGTCTGCTGCATACATTACTGATTAGATAACCACAACGTCTGGGTTCTCCTTCCTTTGATGCCTCGTGGAACTTCAGAATAGTCTGCTTAGATCATATCTAGCCAGGAACCTTGCAGAGACCCACTAGTGGGCTCCCAGAGGTGTTGACAGTGATGTGGCTGTGAGCTTCCTTTATCCCTTCTTAGAAAACAACAGACAGCAGTGGGCTGGAGAGAGGAGGTGAAGAAAGCCCAGGCTGCATGAAGGGTGTGAAACTGAGCACCCGACAAGTAGGCCTGGCCATAAGGGCTGAGGACACAACCTGAAGAGCCTCAGTGGGACGCTGCTGATGTGAGTGGGATGAGGCTCCCCATCCTGGTACCCAGTGCATGATGGCCCAGACAAAGCTGCATTTCTGCCGGAGCTGTTTATACCAAGGTCTGTAGGTTGTTATTTCTGTGGTTTCCAAGGAGATCCAGAGAGAGAAGGTGATGATGGTAGTGGAGTTGCCATTGGAATCTTCTTCCATGTTCTGGTCATCCTATTTCTCTTTGGTCCTCTTTAAGGAGCCTTGTTTGCCCACAAACACTGAGGAAAGGCCCAGCTGGCCTTGGCACTGAGCTGGTGGACTTGGTCCCACCCACCTCTAGCTCCCGCTACTACTTGCTTTCTGCTCCCCAGGTTCTCTGTCTCTTCTTTCATCCCTGGACCTTAGCTGCCATTGTCCAAGGAATCCCTCTCTTCTCTGACATTGTCATCACCTATAGGCATGACTTTCCCATTCCCCTTCAAGCGAGAGGTCCTGTGTGGTCAACCAGCCAGCCAAATCTTGTCTGCAGATGTGTTTTGTTTGTTTTGTAGTGCTTACATCTTTTTAATTTACTGCCAACATTTAAAAATCAGATTTCTCATAAAAATCCAGAACTCTGGCTTCTCTTGAAAAGCTGGAAGATTTGGCCACACCGGTCCAGTAATCCCACATGGCAACGATCAACAGAGTTGCGTAACAACAGGTTGCACTCCATGGTGAGCCGCAGTCCCCACCACTCCCTATTCATCTTCACACCCAACCCCGTTCACTTCAGTGCTCCCTGCCTGCCTGTCCCCCTGCCAACTCTAGGTATTTGAGCATGCATACGGGGCCAGTGGGTAAGAGGCACCACCTTGGGTCCTAATTCAGGTCCCCTGACATTGGTCAAGGCTGTTTTTCCCCTTCCTCATTAAAGGAGGAGGATCCTAGAGCTTCAGCTATTGCTGGGTAGTCTGGAAGAAGATCCTTCTTCTGGTGCCTCTTTTCTTCCTTTTCTTGAGGGTTCAGTCTCTATCACCTGTTGTAATATAGATGCTCATGTCCTGGGCACTGGATGGGACTGGGGTAGGATGGGACACAGAAAAGGCAAACAGAGGACACACTCAGTGTTTTGCATGGGATGGTTTATGGCCCTGCACATGTGCTAGCATCAGACAGATTCTTCCTGCTCCAGTCAATCAGTGAGGTGGGACCACATTAGTAGATATTAACTTCTCTAAAACAAACGGGCCATTGCATTTTACTGACAAATGCCAGCCCCCAGGAAAGCACTGGTTACCTTAACCTCTATTTACCGACATTGTCTCTTAAAGTTAAGGTCACTGCTCTGCAGTTCTTCTTGAACAGAGCTGACATCTGTCCCGCAAAGGTCAAGGACAGGGGGTGGAGTTCCTTGCTACTCTTTCTGCCTCTCTCCTCCAGTTCCCTGAGAGAGGACTGGAGTTGGTCTCTTCCTTTCTTTGATCTCCTGAGTTCCTTGCTACTCTTTCTATGACCTAATGAGTCTGGCTTGCCTTCTGAGACATCTGTAAATCTTCATTGGATCTATTGCATTTATGCAAAGACCATGTGATAAAATCCTAAGATTTTTTTGTAAGGACAAATCAGGTAGTGAGAAAGACTTAATCCCTGAGTGTAGGCAACCCTTTCTGCTTTTCAGAGCTCAGATTTAAATTCAGTGTTCAGTCCTCAAACTGTATAACTTTATTTTGGGGTATATTTATTTGCATTTCTGTTTACATTTAAGAATTTTTATTTCTATTTGAAAACATGTATTATGGATATGTCTTCTCTTAAAAGGAATTGCAAGCTTGTTTGAAAGCAGGTGGTGTAGACACTATTGATACAGAAGCAGTATCATGTTAAGCACTGTGCAAGACCCTTGGTGGAATATACCATTTCTGCCTCCAGGGAGCTTACAGTTGTTGGATTAATTGCCATCTGGGCACTCTGCTTCCTGCCCCGGGCTGGCACGTGCTAAGTGAGTAATCCATCCCTGTCTGTACTGCTGCCGCTCACAAGGCCAACATTCTAGGGTGTAGGGGAGCCAGAGTTGTGACTGCTCACAGATTGAATCTTTCCATGTTCTGGCAGTTTCTTCTTCTTTTTTTAATGTTTAATTAATTAATTTATTTATTTTTGAGATGGAATCTGGCTCTGCCACCCAGACTGGAGTGCAGTGGCACAATCTCGGCTCACTGCAACCTCCACCTCCTGGGATCACGTGATTCTCTTGCCCCAGCTTCCCAAGTAGCTGGGATTACAGGTGCACACCACCACACCTGGCTAATTTTTGTATTTTCAGTAGAGATGGGGTTTCACCATGTTGGCCAGACTGGTCTTGAACTCCTGACTCAAGTAATCCTACTCCTGACTCAAGCAGTCCTCCTGCCTCAGCCTCCCAAAGTGTTGGGATTACAGGTGTCAGCCACCGTACCTGGCCTGTTCTGGCAGCTTCTACAGAAAAGGTCTCCATTCAGCAGGCTCTCGGCTCCTGCCTCAAAGCTCTATGCTCCTCCAGTGCCGTGAGAGAGGGCTTGGGTGTTTTGTTCCTCTCTTCGTTTCTTTCTTTGAATTCCTGGTTGGCTCTGGGTCCTGATCTCCACTTCACTGCCCCAGTTCAGCCCTGACAGGACTCAGCTCTGCTGCCCTGGCTGGTCCACTTATTAGTAGATGACTGTTTTCCATTTATTAGTTTTTACTCATTTGGTCAAACTGAAAAACTAATGAGGCCAGGTGACAGGTTCACTTCCCATGTGGGGCCGTGAGCTGCGTCTGCCCTGCTAGATGGCATCCTGTATGTGTAGACGAAGGTCCCAAGGGAGCTGGAGCTGGGTGCACTGGTGGCCCAGCATGCCCTTGTCACAGCCACTGAGGATCACCCCCAGTGTCCCCCTCCCCCTGCCTGGGAGCCTGGCAAAGGCATTTTGCATTTGGGTGGTGCTTGAAGCCCCCTCACAACTCTAATTTGTGTCAGTTGTGGAACCGAACAGGATCCTTCTGCCCTTTCACAGCAGAGGACATGGAGACCCAGAGGAGTCCCTGGTTTGCCTGAGGTCCCGAAGTCTGGTCCATCATGCTGGGAGAACACAGGTCATGAGCCCCAGCTTCAGGTCCTTCCCGATACCTGACTACCTGCTGCTGATGGGCCAGGACCGGCCCCTTTCTCAGGGGCTCTCCTTTATTACTCTGAAATGAACGTTGGGTCTTGAGAGCTGGCTTCGTTTGCTGCGTTCGTTTGCTTTCCTGCTGTGACGCAGTGGGAAGCTGCAGGCTCAATGCCTCGGAAGACATGACCGTAAGAAGCCCATCAGTGCTGGCTTCGGGAACCACATGGGGGTCCTTGGGCCCATCAAATCGAACACCTCTCCCTTCTGTTTTCTTTAGTGAGGTACAGTTGATCCTCACAGATTTTATATTCGTGAATTTGCCTACTTGCAAACATTTATTTGTAACCCTAAAAATCAATATTCATGGCACTTTTTTGGTTATTCACAGACATGTGCAAAGCAACGAAAAATTTGAGTCTCCCAATTTGCATGTTCCCAGCTGAGGCCGGATGATCTGCCTTCTTGTTTCAACTCACATACTGTAAACAAGTGTCCTTCTTGTGCTATATTTAGTGCCATATTTTAAGCATTTTTGTGCTTTTTGTTGGTGATTTTGCTATTTAACATGGCCCCCAAGTATAGTGCTGAAGTGCTGACTAGCGGTGTTCCTAATTGCAAGACGGCTGTGATGTGCCTTATGGAGAAAGTCCCTCTGTTAGATAAATTTCATTCAGGCATGAGTTATAAATATAGTGCTGTTGGCTGGGAATCCAATGTTAATGACCTAATGATAGATATTAAATTAGGTGTCTTTAAACAGAAACACACATAAAACAAGGTTATGTATCTATCGGTTGATGAAAATGTTGTGACCAGTATAGTATAGAGCACTACATGTTGTGCAGTATATAGTAGACAGTACTGTACTTTATACTAGAGTGTATATTGATCTCCTGGGAGCAATGGTTAGGTGTTCACTAGTTTAGTGAACTTGGACTTCCCAGCCTCCAGAACTATAAGAAATCAATTTCTGTCATTTATCAGCCACTGATATTTACTCACAACAACTTTAGAGAACATAACTACTTCAAGTAATGAGAATTGACAGTGTCTTATTTCTGCAGGACAAAAGTACCTCACTGAATATTCTGCACTGTCTGGAGGTTTTCATCCTCCATCTCTGCTCCTGTTAGAACACTAGGGGAAGGAACAATGAGGCAAAGGGCTGGGCAGGGAGGCAGACCCTCTCAGCTGTGCTAAACACCACAGTGACCACAGGCCAAGGACTTTACCTCATTGAGCCTCAGTCTCCTCATCTGTAAAATGGGGATAACAATAATAATAACTTACAGATAATAATACCTCACAATAATAATGGCCCACACAGATGCAGTGAGAATTAACTGAGATAATATATGCAAGTACTGGCCAATCCAATTCAGTCCACTTCACCTGGACATATTTTGTAAGCGTCTGCTGTGAACACCGTGTGGGTGGAGATGCAGAGGATGTTGCTCCAGTTCTTAAGGAGTAGAGCGTCTTATAGGGGTGATAGATGGGGTCACACAGAATTATACTATGGGACTGATATGGTGAGTGTCAGGAGCTCCTTGGGGGTGGTGACTGTATCTGATTCGCTTTTGTCTCTCTGGCACCTGGGATGGTGCCTGGCACAGAGAGGTGCCCTATGGAAGCTTGTCAAATGAGGGAATTAATGCATGAGCACAAGGCCTTGGAAGAGATGTAAAAGAAGCACAGAGGACAGAGATGGCTTCATGGAAGAGATTGAGGTGGGCCTTGAAGGATTTTCATCAGGGTTGCAGTGCAGGGGAGTCATTGCAGGTGGAAGGCAGAGGCTAAACAAAGGCATGGAGGTGAGAATTTGGCAGTGAGAACTGAGCAGCACAGGAAGTGTAGAGTCCAGGGTGGTTGGCAGGAGGGTGAGTCCTGGGAGTTGGGGAGAGAAGTTGGAAAGGCGTGCTGGGATCAGATTCAGGCAGAGCTTGGGCTGAGGCCTTGTGCCTCCCCTCTGTAGGCTGCCCTCATCCGCACCTCCATGTGTGGAAGATCTTTGCCACTCCCCTCCTGCCTTTCCATCCAGATCAGTCAACCCTTCTCTGGGCAGCCTCCGGATGCCCACATTGCTTCCTCTTTCTCCCACACTGGACCATGGACTCTGCCTGAGGTATGTGAATTCTTATGTATTGGTGCATTCCCAGTGCCTAGTCCTGTGATGGGCACATTTTAGATGCATAATAAACTTGCTGAATAAACTGCTCACACAATGAAAAGTCCACTTCCACCAGACTCTTCATGATTGAGCCATACCATTAAATTTTTTATTTTGCTAATTTAATAGCTGGAAAGTGGTATCTTGTTTTTGCTTTTATCTTCATTTCTCAAGGCTAAACGTCTTCTATATGATTATCTACTCTCTTAGTTGGTTTGGGCTGCGGTAACAGAATGTCATAGACTAGGTGGCTGATAAATGACAGAAATTGATTTCTCACAGTTCTGGAGGCTGGGAAGTCCAAGATCAAGGTGCTGGCAGGTTCAGTTTCTGGGTAGCGCCTGCTTCCTGGTTCATAGATGGTATCTTCTTGTGGTGTTTTCACATGGCAGAAGGGATGAGAGAGTTCTCTGGGGTCTCTTTTATAAGGGCATTGTATTAGTCTGTTCTCACATTGCTATAAGGAACTACCTGAGACTGGGCGATTTATGAAGAAAAGAGGTTTAATTGACTCATAGTTCCACAGGCTGTACAGGAAGTGTGGCTGGGGAGTCCTCAGGAAACTTACAAGGAAGGCGAAGAGAAAACAGGCACATCTTCACATGGTGGCAGGAGAGAGCGAAAGAAGGGGGAAATGCTACACACTTTTAAACAATCAGATCTTGTGAGAACTCACTCACTATCATGAGAACAGCAAGGGGGAAGTCTGCCCCCATGATCCAATCACACCCCACCAGGCCCCTCCTCCAACACCGGACATTACAATTTGACATGAGATTTGGGAAGGGACACAAAGCCAAACCATATCAGGCATGAGCCCATTCATGAGGACTGATCCCTCATGACCTCTCAAAGGTCCCACCTCCAGATACCATCACATTGGAGGGTTACAATTTCAACATATGAATTTTGAGGGGGCACAAAAACATTCAGTCTATATATAGCATCTACTAAATTAGAATTTCTTCTGTGAAGTGTTTGCCAATTTCCCCTCTCCATACGTCTATTGGATACAAAGTTTTTCTCATTGATTTGCATGGGCAAATTATATAATATGGATAGTAATCATTTATTATCTTCAATGCAGGTATTTTCCCTTATATGAGTGGTTTGTTTTCATTTTGGGGAATTACTCAACACATACAAAGGTTTTGAAATTTTATACAAACTTTTAAGGCTTTTGAAGTTAAATATGTCAAACCAAATTTTCTTAAACTTCTAAACTTAAAAAAAATTATTCTTACTGAAGCTTTGGGAAATAATTTATTTTTTGGTAGAGTTTTTCCATATGGTTTATTTGTACTTGAAATTTCTTTCTTATACTTTCTTTCAATCCATTTGGGTTTTATTTTGGGGTAGGACTGATACCCCCCAGTTCTAAATAATAATCTCAGTACCATCTATTTCATATTTTCCCTGTGTCTGTGATGTCTCCTCTATCAGAGAGTGTGTTTTTATATATAGAGTTAGCATTTATATCCAGCAATCCATGTGTCTTTTCATTTTAGCTGCTATATATATATATATATATATATATATTTTTTTTTTTTTTTTTTTTTTTTTTTTTTTTTTTTTGAAACAGGATCTTGCTCTGTCACTCAGGCTGGAGTGCAGTGGCACAATTTTGGTTGACTGCAACCTCCGCCTCACAGATTCACGTGATTCTTCTTTGCCTCAGCCTCCCGAGTAGCTGGGATTACAGGGGTGCCGGCTGATTTTTGTATTTTCAGTGGAGACGGGGTTTCACCATGTTGGCCAGACTGGTCTCAAACTCCTGATCTCAAGTGATCTGCCTGCCTCAACCTCCCAAAGTTCTGGGATTACAGGTGTGAGCGTGATCTGCCTGCCTCAACCTCCCTAAGTTCTGGGATTACAGGTGTGAGCAACTGCATCCGGCCTTATATGTTTTAATATTTGGTGGGTACATCCTTCTTCATTGCCCTTGCTCTTGATTTTTTGAAACTTCTTGAAGAGTTTCACTCATTTATTCTTCTTGATGAATTTGAGGAACATTTTCTACAAAAACATGAGAGGATTCCAGCAAAATCCTCTTAGAATTTAGGTCATGATTGCATTAAACCCATAACTTCGTTTGGGGAAAATGACACATTCATAGCATTTACCCCTTCCATTGAGGAACATGGAATCTCTCTCTGTTACTTATTTATTATTTTCATAAATTGCGATAAAAATGCATAATTCTCCTCTTGCAGTTATACACATTTCCTATTAAAGTTATTCCAAGTCTCATGTTGATCACTCTGATTGGGCTCTCTTTTTTCCTTGTTTTTTCTTTGTTTTTAAATTTTTTTGTAGAGACAAGGGTCTTGTAATGTTGCCCAGGCTGGTGTTGAACTCTTGGCCTCAAGTAATCCTCCCACCTTGACCTCCCAAAGTGCTGGAATTATAGGTGTGAGCCACTGCTCCTGGCCAAATTTTCCTTTCTATTGACAGATTTCTTTTTTCTTTCTTTTTTGACAGAGTCTTGCTCTGTTGCCCAGGCTGGAGTGCAGTGGCACGATTTCGGCTTACTGCAACCTCTGCCTCCTGGGTTCAAGCAATTCTCCCACCTCAGACTCCCTAGTAGCTGGGACTACAGGTGTGAGCCACCACGACTGGCTGATTTTTTTTTTTTTTTTTTTTTTTTTTTTTTTTTTGAGACGAAGTCTCGCTCTTGTCCCCCAGGCTGGAGTGCAATGGCGCAATCTCGGCTCACTGCAACCTCCTCCTCCCAGGTTCAAGCGATTCTCCTGCCTCAGCCTCCCGAGTAGCTGGGATTACAGGCGCCCACCACCAAGCCTGGCGAATTTTTGTATTTTTAGCAGAGACAGCGTTTCTCCATGTTGGGTAGGCTGGTCTCGAACTCGTGACCTCAGGTGATCTGCCTGCCTCGGCTTCCCAAAGTGCTGGGATTATAGGCGTGAGCCACTGTACCTGGCGGACAAATTTTAATGTGAAGAATGGCCAAGTGGGTGCCTTTGTCAGGTCTCTGAGAGTAGAGGAAGGCTTTCCCTTCATCTCCTCCCATCCAGCAGGGTAGTGGTTGTCTCATCACCTAAGCAGCTCTCCTCCCCGTCTCCACACCTCAGAACATCATGGTTTCCTGCCTGGCGAGCAGCATCCATGTCCTGCTGGCCTTACATCCTACAGCCTCCCTTTTCCCTATTCCCCTCCCCACCAATCCTCCCACCCCACCTCCTGCAGCCACCACCTCTTATAGGCCAGGCACCGTCCCAGAGCTGGGGAGACATCAGCAAAGGAGATGGAGCTTGCATTTTAGAAGGTGTTGGGGAGACAGACAATAAAAACATAAGCGAATAAATGAGATCATTGCCGATGATGTTTAGTGGGCATGAAGGAAACAAATGGAGGCTGAGAAGTTTATTCTAGAATCTTCCTCTTAGGCTTTTAGCCTCCAGTCCAATTTTTGGCCTTCAGCATCTCTGGGAAGAATTTAACTGGTGTCCCGCTGTGCACCCAGATCCCTGCTGTCCCTTCCTCTTCACCCTCAGCCATGGAGGCTGTGGTCTGATCTCCCCATCCTACCCCCCAAGCATTTCTGTGGCTCCATAGCCACTATACCCGACTCCTTCCTGCTTCAGAAAGCACCCCGCTTAGAAACTTCTGGAAGTCTGCATGAACGAGAGGCCCCTTAAGAATCCCCTGAGAGCCCTTGAGGAAAAGGAGTTTCCCTCTACAATTTCACTGAACCAAAAAGAGCCAGGCCCCAGTGGCTGTTCGGCTGACAGTTGTTTCTGTGAAGGAAGGAGCAGCTACTTCCTTCCTATCTGCCTTCCCTTCCCTCTCTCCCTTTCCTCCGACTAAATGAAACCAGAATGTGCTCTGAACACCCTGCTGAAGTCTGGACCATGGGGTAGGACAGAGACAAGCTGTCATTCAGCCAGGTGAGTTCCGGGCAGTCCTATA
Source organism: Homo sapiens (assembly GCF_000001405.40). Classification (NCBI taxonomy): domain Eukaryota; kingdom Metazoa; phylum Chordata; class Mammalia; order Primates; family Hominidae; genus Homo; species Homo sapiens. Next base: position 96,457,317 of record NC_000010.11, on the reverse strand, counting down.
TAGAGGGAGGCTGGGGTGCAGCAGGCTGGGGCCTGGGAAGAGCTTTCCCTGAGGAGGCAGGGAGGCTGGTTCAGCTGTGGTCCTGGCCACAGCCTAGGCTGCAGTGTGGTCACCAAGATACAGGAGGTTGAGGCCTTCCAAGGGGACCCAAAAATAATCATCAGTAAGGCTATGTCTGGGTCCCTACAATGTGCCAGACATAGCATTAGGTGCTGCTCACAACCTGAAAAGTTAGCACCTATTATTCCCATTTGTATGGATGAGAAAATTGAGGCTCAGAGAAATTAGGTATCTTTCCAAAACCACTGGGGTCAGAAAAGCTGTGCTACCAAATTGGACGTGTTGTTTCCCTCCTATGTTCTATCCTAACTGACTCCCTCCCATCCCCGTTTGTTGAAAACCTTCTTGTCCTTAATGCTGCCTCCAGCAAGCTCCCCTGGGGACCAGGCTGGGAGTACGAGTTCCTTCACCAGGTTGCTTGCACTGTTCTTTGTGCCTTGTGTCTCCTGCAGGTGGGCAGTGCCTGGGTCACAGCTGTGTCTCCCACATACCCTGGCACATTGTGGATCTGATTTGATTTGAGGCAGGTGGTAAGCCCTGGCCAGAGGTCTGCACCTTGGATGGCTCCGAGGGCATCCAGTGGTTCTGAGCTCAGCCCGAATTGAAGGGGCCCTCCTTTATGTCTGGAGGGGACAATTTTCTATTCCTGAGGAAGGACCTGCTCAGTCTTCAAGGACTTCTGGTCTGATTCCTGGTTTGGCGGCTGAGAGGTCTGACTGTCAGTGCCCTTAGGGCAGCTCCCTGGTGGAATGGAGTTACCCTGGGGAGGCAGAGAGCGGGTTACCAGGGACAGCTTCTCTGTGGACTCAGGCCTCATGTGTCATCTGTCTTCTTCTCCTTGCCAGCTCCTCTCTTCTCCTCTTCCTCAGAGGCCCTGCCCCTGTCTCCTGGGAACTTCACACCTCAGAATACACACATGTGTCTGTGAGCCTTCAGAATCGTCCCTGAGATATGCACTCTGAAAGATCTCCTTGTGAAGGTGACCTTTTGTCTTGCCCAGGGAGCAAGGAGCTAGGATTTTCCTGACCTTTCCTACTGGGATATTTGCTATCGAGGATTGAGGCTGGAATACCTAGCCTTGTATTATAAAGGCTATCGGTAGAGTCAGATGGGTCTGGGATTGAATCTGGGTTTTGCCTCTTACTACCTTCTTACTACCTAATCCTCACTTCTCTCATTTGTAACTAAAGCTAGTGATAGACTCTACCTCACAGGACTGTGCTAAGAACTAAATGAGGAAATGCTCATAAGGTAGCAAGCACAGTCCTTGGCACATACAAAATAACCAATAAACACGGTCAGTTTCCTCAGTGAAGCTCTAGCCTGCAATTTGGAAGCCATTATGTTACTGGAAAGGGGTGCCGATCCAGACCCCAAGAGAGGGTTCTTGGATCTTGCACAAGAAAGAATTTGAGGTGAATCCATAAAGTGAAACCAAGTTTATTAGGAAAGTAAAGGAATGAAAGAATGGCTACTCCATAGGCAGAGAAGCCCAAAAGGGCTGCTGGTTGCCCATTCTTATGATTATTTCTTGATAATATGCTAAACAAGGGGTGGATTATTCATGCCTCCCCGTTTTAGATCATATAGGGTAACTTCATGATGTTGCCATGGCATTTGTAAATTATCACGGTGCTGGTGGGAGTGTAGCAGTGAGGACGACCAGAGGTCACTCTTGTGGCCATCTTGGTTTTGGTAGGTTTGGGCCGGCTTCTTTCCCACAACCTGTTTTATCAGCAAGGTCTTTATGACCTGTATCTTGTGCTGACCTCCTATCTCATCCTGTGACTAAGAACACCTTAACCTTCTGGGAATGCAGCCCAGTAGGCCTCAGCCTTATTTTACCCATCCCCTATTTGAGATGGAGTTGCTCTGATTCAAACGCCTCTGACAATTACCCAGTGTATCTTGGCCAATCAGCTCCACTGTCCCAGGGATAACAGGATGACTCCATATAACCTAGTCACTTGAGTCCTTTCTTAGATTATATCTTTAATAAATTATTTATTTATTTAATTTTATTTTTTTTGAGGCGGAGTCTCACTCTGTCACCCAGGCTGGAATGCAGTGGTGCGATCATGGCTCACTGCAAGCTCTGCCTCCCAGGTTCACGCCAGCCTCCCAAGTAGCTGGGACTATAGGCACCCGCCACCATGCCTGGCTAATTTATCTTTAGTTAATTTTTTTACTGCTATTTGATATCTCACATTGTTATGGGCAAGCACCATATGGGGAAAGGTTTAAAGAAATACCATGCCTGGGGAACAGTGGGATGCCTTCCTTTCACTGTCAATGACTGTCCATGGGTTCTCAGACTGAACTTGGTTTTGTTAAATCTGCTTTGAGGAGAACTTGAACTTCTTCCTCAGCTTGTGGTGCTTCAGGTATAAAATATGGCTTATTGTTTCAATCTATTCTGCTCCTTCAGACTTCAGAACAGTTAGAGTCAATAAGGATAATAATAATAGCTATGATCACTAACTCAATGAGTGCTGATTACAGGCCAGGCATTGTTTTCTGCCTTGCATGTATTCGCTCTCTCAATCTTCATAACAACCCTATGAGGAGGGATGGTTTGATATACAACAATAAATAATGGGTACAGCCAAGAAGCCAAGGCCATAAGAGATTTAATAGATATGGACCAGGTAGACAAGGATACCTGGAGTCCAGGGGCCAGGGGAGAACTGGAGGTTTGATGCCAGGTGAACAACAGAGGTACTCTAAGAGCATGCCTAAGGGGAAGGTCTGGCAGTCACTCATCCAACAACCAGAGAACAGGGAGAATGCAGACGCAGGCATGCAGGAGGAGAGGAGGGTCCAACACCAAGCAAAATGGACTTCTGGCTGAAGGCACTGGAAACAGCTCAAATTTGCATGAGGGCCTCTGCCTGGGGGCAGGAGCAAATTCTGAGACTTCATCAGCCAGTGCCAGGACCCAGGCAGGAGCCAGTGATCTTGACTAGAGAATGGGAGATGGGATCTCAGAAGAGCCCTCCCAGCACTGTCTGAGAGAAAGCACTGGCAGGTCCCATCTCATTCCCCCTCAAAAGCTTTTCTTTCCTCCATCTTGCCAAGGTGAGGACTCGGAATTTTTTCTTTCTGTGATCAGAGCAGAAAAGCAGAAAAAAAAAGATTGGATTACAACTTTTCCATCTGCATAAACACAACTATGTTTCTTTCTCATCAGAAAAAGGTTTCCCTGACAACTGTGTGTATATGTGTGTGTGTGTGTGTGTGTGTGTGCAGGCGCACACTACAAAATGCAGGCATAGTGTATGATGTAATCTAGTTCTTTTAAAAAATAAGCCTCTGTTTCCTGATTATAAAGTAATATGTTGAACAAAATTTGGAAATTACAAAAGTATATAAGAAAATAAAATTCACCCCAGAGTCACCACCAGAGATAATCACAATGGACAGTGTGGTGATTTCCATCCAGCATTTTTTCGGCATGTTTTTTGCCTATTTTTTTAAAGAAAAGATGGAATCATACTGGATTCTATTGAATTTATACTGAATTTATATTGAATTATATTTCCTAACCTGTTTTTTGACTTATAATCCGAGCACTTTCTCACCTAGTAAACTTCCTTCTAAAACAGTTTAAAAGGTTACGTAGTGTTCTATTATGTCATAATTTATTTCACCACCCCTGTTGGGGATGTAGTTGCTATAGCCTTTTTTATTATACAAAATGTTGAGATGAACATCCTTTGACTTCATTGCCAATTAATTCCTTAATACAGGTATCTAGAAGTCATATTATTGCCTGTTTTATTTATTTTTATTTTATTTTTTTGAGACAGAGTCTCATTTCATCATCCAGGCTGGAGTGCAGTGGTGTGATCTCAGCTCACTGCCACCTCCACCTCCTGGGCTCAAATGTTTCTCCTGCCTCAGCCTCCTAAGTAGCTGTAATTACAGGTGCGCGCCACCACGCCTGGCTAATTTTTGTATTCTTAGTAGAGACGGGGTTTCGCCATGTTGAGCAGGTTGGTCTTGAACTCCTGACCTCACGTGATCCGCCCGCCTCTGCCTCCCGAAGTGCTGGGATTACAGGTGTGGGCCACTGCACCCAGCCTTATTGCCTGTTTTAAAAGATTTTGATTAGTCCTGTGAAATTACCTCATGAAGTGTTACCAATTTATAGTCCTCCTTCACCAGGAGTGTATAAGCATTCCCATTTTATTATACACTTGCCAATATTAAATCATTTCACAAACAAAATCTGGCAATGGTCTTTTAACTCATTTTCCCGTTCTCTTCTGTAGCATATGAAATTTGGCACGGATATAAAAGTTACTTGGCATTGAATCACTTAAGATTACACATTGATTGCTTTAGTGCTGTAGCGATTGCCTTGTTCATTCCTGAATCAACCTTTTAAAAGGGCTTTGCCTTTTAATTTTTTTCTAATGAATAATGAATACTTCACCTGATTGATGTGTCTTGCAGGTAATTTTCCAACAAAGTTGTGCAGATGTTTCATTCATTCATTCATTGCCCTTCCCCGGGATGCTTGCTCAGGCCACACCTGTACCCGTCTAGGGTAGAGGGCAGGCTTTGTGAGCATGGATTCTGGAGTCAGACGGGCCCTCTTTGAAATGCACATTCAATCATTGACTAGCTGGGTGACCTTGAACAACTTATTCATGAGCCTCAGTTTTCTCCTCCTTAAAAGAGGAATAACAGTACTTATTTACGGGATTGCTGTGCAGATTACATGTGACCTAAAGGCCCAGCAAATTAAGAAGGCCTAAGACATGGTCAGAAAGGTAAGAGTCAAGGGCCTTGCTCTAGCTGGCCGTGAGCTGGACCTGTGTCCCTCGCAGGTGACAGTTCCTATCTTGCTCGCCAGCCCCAGCTCCAGCCACGTTGGACTCTTACTTCCCCTCCTCAGGACTTTTTTCCTTGCAGTTTTTGTTTGTTTGTTTTTTGCTAGAATACTGTCCCCAGATGGATATCCATCTCTCATCACTTAGCTCAAATGTCACCGACTCTGAGAGACCCTCCTAGGACTCCCATCCCCCACTGCTCTGACATACAACTCTGTTTTAATTTCCTCAAAGTGCTTAATCCCACGAAATGATCTCATTATTTATTGTTAATTTCCATCCCCTCCATCAGAATGCAGGCACCAAGAGGGCAGGCACTGCCTGCAGGAATCCAGCACAGTGCTGCCCAAAGCAGGTGCTCCACCAAGGCGTACTGAATGAATGGAGTAGGAATAAGGTGATTTTTAGGATCTTGTGCTGGATATATATTTTTTTCTTTTTCTTAAAGTAAAGCACTGCAGTTTTATGATAGATTTAGCTCTCGTGGGTCAAAGCTGTAAATACAGTATTAAAAAATGAGTAAACATGAGAGCTAAGGCTGCCGTCCTGCAAGGTTTCTTTAGTATGTAATGTCTATGAAGGGCTTTGATATCAGACCGATATGGAGAGAATCTCAAATTCTCCACCCAATGGCGGTGTGTCCCTAGTGATGTCTTAACTGCTCTAAGCCTCAGTTACCCTGCATATAAAATGGGAATAATACCCACCTTAGAAAATTGGCTTGGGGATTAAATAGAGAACATATGTGAAGTACCTGCAAACAATTGGCATTTAAAGTTAAATGCTGGCAGTTAAAAAATGGTAGGTATTCTCATGTTCAAGAGAACCAAGGACCAAGTAATGTTAGTCTTTAAGAATAAGAGATGAAAGGAATAATTAATATAGAGTTTTGTTTATGAATGATATTAATGAATATGAATTCATAGTCACTGTTGTTCAGATGGGCAATATTAATCTATGGCACAAGGCTTTACCCCTAGGGCTTTGGAAAAGCCCATCTCTTTCTGCCTAGATGTCTTTGGGTGTATACAGTTAATATTTCATTAATTATGGTGGAGGGGCGTTGTGTGTACATCAATGTCTCATATGATGCATCTAATTAAGGCACTTTTTGTTGAGAGCGGAAGAAAATTGGGCTTTCCCAAAGAAAAGCAGCTTGCTCCCAAAGTTGCTAACAGATTGCTTCTTAATTGAACTTGGGAGGTGAATTATATGGTGAATTAGAAAAAAGAACAGCTCTGAATTTAGTGAATTGTTCCATAAAGGAAACTGTGGGATTGAATTGCAAATGCTGGATAGAAACATTTCAGCCGGGCCCATGCATCACGGGCCGCTGACCTCTGCTGTGTTTCAGTGAGAGCTTGAACAGGCCGGGAGCTCTCTTTTCAAGGCCTGGAGGGCATTCTTTCCCAGAGACCAGCTGTAAGCCTGGGTTTCTTATGCAAAGGAGACGTCTGAATAAACCTCTGTGACTAATGAAATCTACAAGGTCTTTGCATATCCTCTCACCGAAGAGGTAATTAAGCAAAGATCAAATATGGGGATATATATGTATTTTTTTCAAACTTTTTTTTTGTCTTGCAATCACACCCAAGGAAAAATACATCCCCATACCCTGAAAACTCTCCCCTCCCAGCCCTCAGTCTTTGTCTGCATCAGGCTGTTTCTCTCTTCCTTGTTCTATGGTGCCTGCAGCTGCAGTTATAGCCAGAGCCACACCTGTCGTACTCATTTGCCAGTTTTTATTGAAACGGAGAAACGCTTTTCATCGATTTCGATGTGAGACATGGCTTTTGCTAGTGTTCAAAGTGTCTGTCTCCAAGTCCATGTCTTCCGTTCCTGGTGAGCTCAGGAGGAGAGAGGTTGGGAGTAAGAAAATAGTACAAGGTGAGGCTTCCTCTTACAGGGTGCTCTGAGTGGCAAATCTAAACCTTGGCTGTACCATAGAATCACCTGGGGAACTCTTTAAACTCCCCATTCCCAGGCCATGCCCCAGACCAATTAAATAAGAACCTCCGGCGGGGGTGGGACCCAGACGCCAGTATTTTTTTAAAGGCTTCCCAGGTGATTCAAATCGCAGCCAAAGTTGAGAGCCATTGTTTGAAGAATAGTTGCCTCCTTCTCTCCATAAAAGCTGATAAGGACAATTTTTTTCCAACAGTTGAGTTAGAAATGATTGATTTCTCTTTTTAAACACTGCCTACGTGACTCGTATGTCCATCCATCCATCCATCCATCCATCCATCCATCCATCCATCCATGCATTCATTCACCCACCTACCCATCCATCCATCCCTTCATCCATCCGTTCTGTATTTTACTCAGTACCTGCCATGTGCCAGGTCTGGTGCTGGGTATTCATTGTTAGACATAACAAAATCCCTTCCTTCAAGATGTGAAAAGCTAAATCATGGGGGATTCAGCTGAGTAAATGGATCCCAGTACCTTGTGGAGAGGGTGGTGAATAAGGCCAGGGGCTGTGGGAACAGAGAGAATGACTTTTACCCCAAGAGGAGCAGGGGGGCGGATACTCAGAGGAAGTGGTGTCTACATGGAGACTTGAAGGACCAGTAGGGTTTGGCCAGATGAAGAGGTGGGTGTGGTTGAGGAAAGTGTGCAATAAGAGGAAAATAGAAAGCCAAGGCACTCTAAGTCACTTATTGCAGCTGAGCACAGAGTGGCAGTGGAGGGAGTAGGAGAGGAGGCTTGAGGTACCTTGTGGAGCAGGCTGGCAGGGCCATATCACTAAGGGTCTCATCAGTGGTGTTAGGAGGTGGAATCTATCCCAAGGGCAGGGGGGAGCCATGGAAGGGTTTTCATCAGGAGATGAAATGTGGCCAAGCCACATTAACTCCAGGTAGGTCCCCGGTAGACAGTGCTGGAAGCATGAGATTTGCTTCCTTTCTGAGATAAAAGACAGAACCTTCCATCTCTTGTTGATAAGGACAGGGGAGGGCTCTATATTCTTAACTGCCATGGCTCCAGCCTTATCTCAAGCTGAGCTAGACCCATGACTTCATATGTCTTCTTACAGACCTCCTGGATGGGCAATGCCTTGTATCCCCTGGGAATAAGCAGCCTCTACCAGGCACCTCCCTTGTTCTCTTCGTTCTTTCTGTGACTGAGGCTGAAGAGAAGGAGTACAGGCTTGGGGGTCAGACAGGACCCACCTCCAGCCATCACCTTTACTAACTCTCTCTGCTTCCTCAAGACAAGCAAGTCATTTCACCTCTTGGAGCTTTGTTTCCTAATCTGTTCATGGTCCGTTTGTTATTGGGTCTTCATGAGACTGCACATATAAAACTGAAGGTGAGGAAAAGCACTTGGCACTGTTCTTAGCACATGGTTTGCACTATAATTGGGACTTAGTAAACACTAATTCTTTCCCCCCTCCATCACTGGGGGGCACTTGGTCTCCCCACTCCTATTCACTACATATTATCCCTGTCATATACAAAACCAGTGCAGTTACAAAGCCCTTTCCTGTCCTCTGGATCCCATCTAGTTCACTCAGAATAAAAGCCAAAATCCTGAATGGCCTGCAAGGCCCCATATGAGCAGATTCTCCAGACCCTCCACTGCCTGCTGACCTCATCATCTCCTTGTCTCTTCCTCACTCATTCCATTCCAGTCGTACCCACCTCCCCCCGGCCAAGCACACTCCCACCCCAGGGCCTTTGCACTTGCTGTTCCCATAGTTTGAAATGCTTCTCTCCAGATATCCACCTACATCCTCCAGACCTAAATATCTGGTTCGCTATTTGTTTGTCATTTTTTCCCCTACCCTTCATCAGAATATAATTTCCATGAAGTCAAGGTACAGTTTCTTCTGCATCATATCCCAAGCAGCAGACACAGCGTCTGGCCTGTAGCAGGTGTTGGATAGATACTTGTTGAATGAACGAATGCCCAAACAAACCCATTACCTCATTTGGTCCTTGCAATAGTCCATTTGACAGATGAAAAAATACTAACACCCGAGTTCCCCACCACAGTTGCACAGCTGAGTGAGGCTGAGCTAGACCCAGAGCGTCGGCTCCAGCTCGCCTCCACACCACAGGTGGTACATTTGTCTGCTGCTGAGAGATTTCATACCATCAGGAATTCCCCTGACCTTTAGCCCGAGAGGAAATGATATTGCTGCAACTGGATGAATACCCAGAGGGCCAGGAGCTGGCAGCGAACACCCGGCAGCTGCAGGGAGTGTGTGAGTGGATTCCGGGTTGGCCAGGAGGCAGCGGAACGAGCAGGATGCAGGCGCGGAGCCTCCCATCTCCGCCTGGCTGTAGTGGGACCTTCTCTACAGGAGACCTGGCAGCTGCAGCCACTGCCCAGGTCATGGTCACAGAGAGGGAAAGTGATGGCCTGCATGTGAGGAGTTGGGAGCGGGACCACGTGGCTGTCTCCAGGGTCATACAGGCCTAGGGGTTGGGTTCGTGGTGCCATGTGAGCCTTGGTTGAGCAGCGTGGGAAGCCTTTATCTGTGGGGCCAGGGAAGACCACCGGGTGTCTGACCAGGAGACTGTGTCCCGAGCCCTTAGCTTCCCTGATGGGCTGGGCAACCCTGGGTTAAACATTTTGTGCCTCAGTTCTCTCCTCTGGAAAATGGGATTACACATAAAGTGTTCTGATAAGGGTTAAAGGGGAGACTGGGAAACTGACTTGTAAGCTGTAAGTTTCTAAATAAATGCAAGAAATAATATTTTTGTTTAAAAATAGATTGTCCTTTGGTTGCTTTGATGTGGTTTCGTGTGTGTAATAGTCTCTCCTGGACATAGTCTTTGTCCTCAAATCTGCTCCCTGGTGTCACTACCCACCCAGTTATTCAAATTCCAAGGGCAGGTGGCATTGGTGGCCCCTGTCTTTCCTCAGATCGAATCCACTAGCCCTACCTGCGAGCTCTGCCTATGACTGTTCCCTAACACGACAGGTCCCAGCACCTCCACTGCAGTGTCTGGTCCACACCACCACCCTGTCTCACTCGGACACTTGCAAGGCTCCTAACTGTTCACCCCGCTTCTGCTTTTGTCTGCCTGTGTCCCAGGGCAATCTTGGTAAAACACAGATAAAAACACATTCCTCTCATGCTTTAAACCCTCTGCAGGGTTCCTGTAACAAAGAGAATAAAGTCACAAAACACAGCCTGGTTGGCAAGGCCGTGTGGGCCTGCCTCCCTCTCTGGCCCTGTTCCCACTTGCCCACTGCGGCTGTCCCTCTCATGACAAGCCCAGTCCCCGTCTAGGCTCCTTCTGGATCCTTCCCCTGCGGAGGATCCTCTGGCCAGATCTCCACATGGCCAGATCATTCCTGCCTTTCAGATCTCACTGCCATCCCACCTACCTGAGGCCCCTCTCCAACCACCAGATAAGCAGCTCCTCCCATCACGTTCTATCACACATTGGTTTTGATCTTCTTCAGAGCATTTTCCAAACCTGCAATGATCTCATTCATGAATTTACTTACCTGCGGTTTATGGTCCAGCTTTCCAATTAGAATGGACACCTCTTGAGAGCAGGAACTCACCTGCCTCGTTCACTGCTGGATCCATGGTGCCTGGAATTGCACCTGGCCCATAGTAGGTCAAACAGATATTTGGTGATTGGCCACATTCCTGGTAGAGACAAATGTTAACACAGTTTATAAATGATGGCTACTAGCAAACACGTACAAGCATCACTGTCCTTCGTAAACAGAGTGTCTATGGAGTCTAATTTATAAGGTCAACACAGTAGGTTCCTACACGGAGGCTTACCCCACAGAGGAAACCCGAATACTAAGAGAGTGCACAGGGTAACAAAGGCAGCAGTCACAGGACGCATTGAGTATTCGGCAGCACTGGGCACATCTCCCTGTGTTCTGCACCAAGCGGACTCCAGGCCCAGAGAGGATCCTATTTGCATTTGGCCTTTCTTATGGAGGTGGGGGGCGCGTGAGGAAGCTGATTTTGGGGTTGCCTGGTAACTTTGTAAATTTGATTCTGGGTGCTCTTGAAATGATCCAGGAGAGTTATACTTTATATTAATTTGCGACTGATGTGTGTGGTTATTAAACAAAGCAGGTTCGTTTTTGCCCTCACATCTAGAATAGTGTGGGGCCATGTGGTAAGGGCTCAGTTGATTTGTGGAACGAAGCTTACGAATCCGTGGTGATTCTGATCCTCCCCAGGTGACCAGGTTTGCTCCCTCATCCCTTGGTGCTGATGCAGAGAAGGCTGATGTGTCCTCATGCCTCTTTCTTCTCCATTCCTCTAGGTGGGCTTGAAGAGCAGGCATCTGAGAGCAGCCCAGACACCACAGCCATGGACACTGGCACCAAGGAAGCTGGAAAGGGTAATGTGAGCCCTCACCAGGTCTTTGGGTACCTTGTTTTCTTTCAGTTGTGGAAAAATACACGTGACATAAGACTTACCATTTTAAAGCATACCCTTTAGTGGCATTAAGTACATTCACAATGCTATGTAACCATTACCCCTATTGAGTTCCAGAACTTTTTCATCACCCTCAAAGCAGACTCTGTACTCATGAAGCAGTCACTCCCATTCTCCCTTCCCTAGTCCATGGCCTTGGATAGCTCTTATGGAATCTTTTCCTATCTCACTGGCTGAGATGGACTAGAAGCACTGAAGTCTGTGGACGTGAGCGGGGCTGGCGTGCTGCTGGCGAAAGGGATGGAAGGGCGGCATTTGGTGGTCAGGAACAGCATAGCTCTCAGATAAACTCTGCTCTCTTGGCTGGACTTTTCTGCCTTGTGCATGGATCGTGAGTTGAAGCCCCTGAAGACCTGGGAGGGGCAAATAATGTGGCTTTGAGAACTGAGTGTCTGAGAGAATGAATGGGTGAGGGAGGCAAAGAAGAAAAATAAAACTGGAGTGGGGATTGTGGGGGAGGTGTAGACTAGAGACTCCATGGTCTACTAAGTGGGAAGCAGGTGAGGTGCTGGTTGGCTGTGGGCAGGTAGCCAGGAGCCTGCCCAGAAGCACTGCCACTGCCTGTCTATATGCAGATGCTCAGACCTAAGTGTGGTCTGCTGGTTGTTTAAGAGTTTCTAGCTCGGAGATCACTGGACACATCTATTGTGGAGAAGCTTCTCCTGTTCAGAAGCAGTGCTGGAGGAGAGGGGCTGCTGGACTTCCCGTCTGGCCTGCATCCTGCAGGAATCATGATTCACAGTCAGCAGTGGTATTTCTTCTACACAAACTTCACAGCAAAGCAAAAGAAAAATTTTTTTTTTTGAGGTGGAGTCTCGCTCTGTCGCCCAGGCTGGAGTGCAGTGGTGCGATCTCAGCTCACTGCAAGCTCCGCCTCCTGGGTTCACGCCATTCTCCTGCCTCAGCCTCCCGAGTAGCTGGGACTACAGGCGCCCGCCACCGTGCCCGGCTAATGTTTTGTATTTTTAGTAGAGACGGGGTTTCACCGTGTTAGCCAGGATGGTCTCGGTCTGCTGACCTCGTGATCTGCCCGCCTCGGCCTCCCAAAGTGCTGGGATTACAGGCGTGAGCCACCGCACCTGGCCAAGGAATAATTTTTAAATGCCAGAATCTTATGTCTCACGGACGCCTATGTAGGAATGAAATAGAAATCATTATTTATTTTGTGTTTCAGCTTTCATGCTATTTTACATTTTTACATATATACTTGCATATATGTAATTTTACACAAATGCATAAATGTGATAATATCATCATACTTTTAAAAGTGTTATCTTCTTTTTCTTTTCTCTTTAATGTGGCCACCTCCTTTCAGGTTCTTTTTTCCACATATCAACCCTCTACGCTTTCCCAGGTTATGCATGCTAGTGACTTTGTATACAGCCTTCATATTTTTCTCCATGCACATACATTGATATATATACAGAGATATATGTATATAAGCATACATCTAAACATAAATACAGATACAGGCTTTGTCATTGTTTTAAAACATAGAATCATATTTGATACACATTTTTTCTGCATCATGCTTTCGTCATCAATACCTCATGGGCACAACCCCTCCAAGGCACTAGTTATAACTTAAATGTATTCTTTTGAGTAGATATTACTGATATGGATGGATCATAATTTATTCAGTGTTTTCCTTATCAATTAGCATTCAGTTCACTTCAAGCTTTTGCCGTGATGAATAATGACTGCAGTAAACGTTACTGAACATATATCCGTACATATTTAGTGTGCTTGTAATAGATGTTGCTAGGTTGTGTTTCAAAAGGTGTAACAATTCACATTTCCATAGCAACTTATAAGTGTACTCCTTTCCCATATTCTTACTAGCAGTAGGGAGAACTCATTATCAGTGTTTTTAACAAGTAAGCTGTGGCTTATTGATATTTAATTTGTACTCCTCTGACTGCTGGTGCCGTTGAACATTTTTTCCTATGTTTGTCAGTGGGAATCGCCTCTTCCTGTCCTGTGCCCATTTTCCTATTGGGTTGCTGATCTTCCTCTTCAATCTGACTTCTTTTAGAGAGAGGCAGATCCTTTAGTCACCCATGTAACTAATCTGCATTTGTTTCTTAGCTATACAGCTTGTTGTTTGGGCTATGTGCAGGGCTTGCTTTCAGATCCGCGTTTTTCTGCTTTGCTTATTTAAGGATATTTTGACTTATAAGTTTTTGGGCTCCCCAGACATCTGGTACTCAATGGTCCTTCACTTTGCCACAAATGATCAGCACTTAGTGGTAAAAATGGAGCATGTGTGAATGAATCCAGCAGAGTTTGTCATCACACTGCAGTGACAAAGATGCCACACTCATTTTTCTTCCTTATTTATGTGATTTATTGTTGCATAAAGACCACACCCAAACTTAGTGACTTCAAACAATAGTTTGTTATTTTCATGATTCTGGGGGTTGACTGGGTTCAGTAGGGTGGTTCTTTGGCTGATGCCATCTGGGGTCACTCACTTGACTGAATTTATCTAGCAGGTGGACTGGGCTGGAAGGTCCAAAAAAACTTTAGCTACACCTCCAGTGCCCCAGTGTGCCTCCTTGTGGCCCTGCTCTCCATGCAGACTGTCACCATTCAGTTGTCTAATCAGAAACTTTTCATAGCATGGTGATTGGCTTCCCAGAGGGAAGGAACAGAAGTTGCCAGTCCATTTAAGGCCTGGACTCAAAACTTCAAGAATGCTACTTCTGCTACGTTCTGTTAACAAAATAAGCCAAACGACCAGACCAGATTCAAGGAGAGAGAAATAGATTCTACTCCTTCACGAGAGAAGTGGCATGACCTCACAGGGATAAGGGGACTTGGCGGCCATATTTGGAGACTATCTACCACCTTCCCCCCTTGCCTCTGCTCCCCAGCAATAGATATTGTCAGAGTTTTTGATATTTACTAGTTCGTTGGGTGTAAAATGACCCAACTATAAACTTGGACAGTCAGACACACTTGGGTTTGAATCCCAGCTCACCCACTTAGTAGCTATGACTTTGGATAAGTTATTTAACTGCTTGTATGAGGTTTAGAGGGAATTAGAAATAATATTTATGTAAAGCACATAGCCAGGTGTCTGGAACTTAAAAGAGGCTCAAGGAATGTAGCTCTTCCACCTCCACCTCCAGGAATTATATTATCCAGCATTGAAAGTGCATCATCTACCTCTGGACTGGGATTCCACAGCTGTGCAACAGCTGCATAGAAACACAATTACAGAGGACAGGAAGGAAGACGGCGGCTGTGGCCCATTAAAATTCTGCCTCTGGTGGGGTTGTGCACAGCACCCACACTGCAACAAAAAATCTTGGGCTTTTCAGGGAGGGTGATGATAGCAGTGCCCTAGTCTGCAGTTCCCCCAAATGGCCCTGGTTTGTTCGAAGCGGATAAGGAATGTGCAGGCTAGGCCAGTCCCTTCACTCTGCATTACAGCAGCAGACAAGCATGTCTTTAAGCATCCAGGGCAGTCCTGAAGAGGAAGGAAATCTCGAAGTGAGGTGAGGGCAGGCCGTTCTAACCAGTCCCTCCATCCTTCCCATCCCAACCCTCAGGATGCTGTCGGCGCCAGCGCTGGATGCCTCTTGCTTTTATTTGAATGAAAGATAAGACACGTTGTGTCAATCTCAGGTTCCCTTTAATCACAACTTGCCCCCCTTCCACCACCCCCAGGAAAAGAGACCGCCCAGGCAGGAGAAAGGATCTGAGGGAAGCGCCCAGTTTCGGCAGCAGGTTTATTTCCTGGCATTATGTGGCTCCCCTCAGCCCTGACGGTGGGGATTTGTGCCTCCAGCTTTGGGGAGGGGGAAAGGGCTGAAATGCTCACTCAACATCCCCTCCGGCAGACCCTTTGGTCAGAAGGCTCTCCCTCCTCTGGAGATGAGAGCTCAGCATGCATTTCAGGGCTGATAATGGGATTAATGAAATGGAGTGTGCAACTGCTCCATGAATGAAGCTGTGACTGTTTTGATAGAGCCTGATTTCCAGAACCATATTCATGAAAGAGAATGGACCTTTCACTTTCAGTAACATTTCCTAGGGGCTTTGTGTGAAAGCAAATAATAATGGAATCTGGTTGAACCAGAGGACAGGCATCCCACAAACTTGGGTGCAAAACAGCACTCGACGCTGGAATTCCTAACATCACTTACGTCAGTTTACTTGGGTGTAACAACTGAGCCCCACGAACTTCAGGCCTTCCTTTTTAGCCTGTCTCAAATGCAGACTTTCGTAGCCATTGTGGCAGCTCACACTGAGCCCTTACTCACCGCAGGCATTTGACATTCATTACCTGGGTCACCACCGCCCTGCAGCAGGAAGTGAGGCTCCGAAGGGGAAGTGATTTGTCCAAAGCCATGTAGGTAGCAAATGGCAGCATTTATCTTGAGCTTAAGTCCCCCTGACCCCAAACCCCTTGATCTTAACCTTTGGGCTGTATCAGTGGTTCCCAAACTTCACTGAGCTTTGTAATCACCTGGGGAGCTTTAGAAACTGCAGGTGCCTTGACTCCACTCTAAGGCCAATTGATTCTCAGTCTCAGAGCAGGGAGGCAGACACCAGAATTTTTTAAAAGCTCCCCAGTTGAATCTAATGTGCAGCCAGGTTTGAGAACCACTGTGCAGAATGGTCTAGTCTCCCCTTTACTTAGCGGCCTTCAGCCTTTCGAGATTGCTGCAGGTGAGGTGCAAATTCACCCATCACCTTTGGGGTGAGGGTTATGCAGATGGCTGGGCTGTCAGCGTGTTTACTTCCCGTGTGGGAATGACCAATTGCCTAATCTAAAAATTGCACTTCCTCACTGGAGAAGGCTGCCTCAGGCCTGGTTCTGTTTATGACATGGCTGTGCCTTCAGCTGGAAATAGAAGATTGAAAAGCAACAACCGCTTTGCTCTTTCAGAGAGGACAGGGCTCGCTCCCAGAGCCAGAGAATTTAAATGGGCTTTATCCCCCCTCAACCCTACCCCCAGCGTGTTAAATCCTGTCAGACGCCCTGAGCTCCTCTTCAAATGCAGGACTCTTGGCCATAATAAATAATTACATCCTTCTATTTGGACTCCGATTCCAGATAGTAGTAATCCAAGAAAATCCAATAATGACAGTTGCATTAAGATCCTTCTTCCAGGCTAAGCAGAACATCTGTTTAGACATATTTTTAATCGGCAAATGCTTCCTGTGTTGAGTCCTTAGCAAATTAAATTTCTCACTGGACCAAAGGGGAAGCTGTCATTCAATAACCCATTTCTGGAAATTACACCCTAGCTTCTTTCCAGGTGCACTTAAGATTTTCCCATGCTGACTTGGCTGCATAAAACAGACCCTTATAATACCAGGTCACATGTATATGCAGCACAGCTTGTCAGAGAAACACGGAGTATCTTAGTGTTATTTCTTTGAATAGAGAAGTATTTTTGCCCATTCTCCAAAGGAGAGTTGGCGACAGAGGAAAATTAAGAGACTTGTTGAAAACCATATGGGAAATGAGTAACAAACTTCCACTTGCTACATTGCTGCCTGTGATTACTTAAGACTGGATAATTCTCAGGATGTAAACATTAAGGGCTTCAGTGTTGCCAACATTTTGGAGAGGTTTCCAACACAGAGTTGTTTGGACTGTTGGGCTGTTTATTTTTAGAATAGCTCATCCCTTCTTTAATTCATACATTCAAAATATAAAAATATTGAATGCTCACCACCAGTCAGGCACCATGCAGGGTGTGGAGAATAAAGTGGAGAACAAGCTGGCAACATTTCTTGCCCTCATGGAGCTTCCAGTCTACCAGAAAAATTCACATTTGACATCTTGATGCAATTTGTAGTTTAGGGCTGGAATAGCAAATTAGAATATCTTCCGTAGAGGGCAGGTAGGTCATCTAAAAGGTGAAGTAAGCTGAATAGGACAATGTGAAGGGGGAGAGAGATTCTAGCAAACAGAACATGTGCTCTGACTATGGAGAGCAGGTGCTTCTAAACTCCAGCTGGTTGTACTATGATGGAAGATGGGCCTGCTGTTGCCAAATCTTTCAGTTTTTAAAGAAAAACTAGAAAATCTGGATTCTTATGTGAAATCCCTTGATTTTTAAAAGTTGGCTCGTACAGGGAGATTTTTAAAAAAACATAGTGTGGGCCAAAAGTGTCCAGGCCAAACAGAAACACATCTGCGGGTTGGGTTTATCCCAGCACTGCAAGTGTATGACTTCTGTTCTAGAAATTCTGGTGGTAAGATAATTATTTTCAGGTTTAACAGTGTATTACATACCAACTTTCTGGGTCTGGAAATATGACCAACTAGATGAGTAGGAACCCGTTATACAAGTAGAGGAACACTGAAAAAAATATTACCTTTTCACCACCCCAAGTGAAAAATACAGAGTTGAGTTCAAAGGAAAGAAAGGTGAATGGCCATGATCAGAAGCGAATAAGGAACATAACTCACAGAAGGAAGCCTCAGATGTTGGTGATGTTAGCAGCAGCAAATCCATACAGGTCTGCAGCAATTTGATTCTTGCCTCCTCGGAGGAAAGAATTCAGCCAAGGGGCATAAGGCAGAGAGAGAGAGAGACCCAGGCAAGTTTTAGAGCAGGAGTGAAAGTTTATTGAAAAGTTTTAGACACCTGTAATCCCAGCACTTTGGGAGGCCAAATAGGGTGGATCACTTGAGGCCAGGAGTTCAAAACCAGCCTGGCCAACATAGTGAAACCCTATCTCTACTAAAAACACAAAAATCAGCTAGGCATGGGTGCACATGTCTGTAGCCCCAGCTACTTGGGAGGCTGAGGCAGGAGAATCTCTTGAACTTGGGAGGTGGAGCTTGCAGTGAGCCGAGATCGCACCACTGCACTCCAGCCTGGGCAACAGAGTGAGACTCCGTCTCAAAAAAAAGAGACAACCCTAAAACCGAATTAAACTTACATGCAGAAATCCTTAAAAAAATTAGCAAATGAAATCCAACAATGTACAAAAAAGAATTATACAGCATAACCCAGTGGGATTTATTCCAGGTATGCAAGGCTGATTCAACATTTGAAAATCAGTCTATAGAACCCGCTAAATCAACAAGCTAGTAAAGAAGAATCCTATTATCACAGCAATTGATGAAGAAAACACATTTAACAAAATCTAACACCTATTCACGATAAAAACTCAACAAATTAGGAATAGAGAGGAATTATCTTAACTTGATACAGAGTGTCTAGAAAAAAACCTACAGCTTACATTATACTCAATGGTCGAAAGACCAAACACCTTTTCCCAAGACCAAGAACAAGGCAAGGATGTCTGCTTTCGTACTGTCATTCAGCATAGTTCTGGAAGTTCCAGACACTGCAGTAAAGCACGAAAAACAAAGAAAAGGCAAACAAGTTGGAAAGGAAAAAATAAAACTGTCCCTGTTTGTAAATGACATGTTTGTCTACATAGAAGATCCTAAGAAATCTATTAAGGAAAAAGAAAAGCCCAAAAACCTCCTAGAACCAATCAATGAGTTCAACAAAATTTCAGAAATACAAGGCCAGCACATTTCTATATTGGAAATATAAAATTCTATAATGGCTCACATTTCTATATTCTAACAATGAACATACAGAAACCAAAATTAAAAATACAATGCCATATACGCAATCACTCCAAAGAAGATGAAATACTTGGATATACAGTTAACAAAATTCGTACAGGATTTGTGTGATGAAAATTAAACAATGCTGCTGAAAAAAATCAAGACAGACCTAAATCAGTGGAGAGATATGCTGCATCCCTGGTTTGGAAGATGCATAGAGTAGAGGTGCCAAGTTCTCTCCAGATTGTTCTATAGGTTTAATGCAATTTCTATCTCAACATGGTTTTTTATTTTCATTTTTTGCAGGCATAGACAAGCTTATTCTAAAATTTATATGGAAAGACAACTAAAACAATTATGAAAAAGAAGACTGAAGGGGTGTAATCACTCTACCCCATATAAGGCTTACTCTGTAGCTACAGTAATCAAGATGGTATGGCATTGGCAGAGTGATAAACATGTAGACCAATGGAATAGAGAACCCAGAAATAGACCCAATTACTATATGAGCCAGTAATTCCCTCTTTGATATGTGTCCCAGAGAAATGAAAACTTACCTTTACACAAAAATCCGTACATGAATGTTCATAATGGCTTTATTTGTAATAGCAGGAAACAATCCAGATATCCTTCAACAGGTGAATGGGTAAACAAACTGTGGTTCATCCATACCATGGACTACTACTCAGCAATAAAAATAAACTATTCATACAGGCAACAACTTAGATGAATCTCCAGGGAATTATGCTGAGTGAGAAGAGCATAATTATTATCCCTATTATATGCTGTATGATTCTATTTATATGATATTCATCAAATGACAGAATTTTAGAAATGGAAACAGACTGGTGGTTGCCAGAATTTTGGAATGGATGGAGGAAAGGGGAAAGAGGGGTAGATATTGTTATAAAATAACAACATGGGGGATACTTATGGTGTTGAAACTGTTCAGTATCATGAATGTGGTGGTAGATACACAAAACTGTAAGTGTGATAAAATTGTCTTACACACATACACACACAAATGAGTACAAGTAATGCTGGAGATATCTGAGTGAAATCAGTGGCTTGTATCAATGCCCATATCCTAGTTGTGTTATTGTACTGTAGTTTTGCAAAATGTTACCATTAGAGGAAATGAAATATCTGAAAGGAAGGTACATGAAATCTCTGTATTATTTATTACAACTTCATGTGAATCTACAATTATCTAAATAAAAATTTCAATTTATAAAAAGCTACTTTATATACCAGAAAATATAATATTGAACCTCAATATTATGATAATTGCAAAGCTTGATGTATTGTTTGTTGTGGGAAATGCAATTAACTCAGAGAATAACACCCATTCAATGACTCACTTTAACAAAAATAATTATAGAAAAATATTGAAAATGGATAGAAAAAAGCTATATGAGGCAAACACTAACCAAAATTAAAAAATGTATAGCAGGCCAGGTGCGGTGGTGCATGCCTGTAATCCCAGCTTTCTGGGAGGTCAAGGTGGGCAGATCGCTTTAGCTCAGGAGTTTGAGACCAGTCTGGGCAACATGATGAAACCAACTCTCTACAAAAAGTATAAAAATTAGCCGGGGGTGGTGGCATATGCCTGTGGTCCCAGCTACTTGGGAGGGTGAGGGGGGAGGATGGCTTGAACCCAGGAGGCAGAGGTTGCAGTGAGCTGAGATCATGCCACTGCACTCCAGCCTGGGTGACAGAGCCAGACCCTGACTCAGAAAAAAAAAAAGGTATAGCAATATTTATATCAGACAAAACAATCATTATTATGAATGCATGTTATTATTATAAAAAGGATTATTAATGATAAAAGAAAAATTTATCTGGAATGTTTAACAATTCTAAACTTGTCTTACTTAACCAACATGGCCTTGAACAATCTAGAGCAAAAATTAAGGATAGAGAAAATGACAATTCATAGTCTTAGTTCTGGAGGTTTTCCTTAAAGCACTTTTCTTAGTAACTGATACATTAAGAAGCCAAAAATTTTTGTAAGTGGAATATTTGAACAACATATGAAACCCATCAATTAGACATCACACATTATTATAAGAAAACATGGAACATTTATAAAAATCAGTCTTGTATTAGCTTACCAAGGAAGGCCTAAATATCAAAGAATTGATACTTTAGAGCAAGGGCTAGCCATCAATGATATCAGTAGGCCAAATCCAACCTGCTGTTTTTGCAAATAAAGTTTTATTGGCACACAGCCATGTCCATTTATTGACATATTATCTGTGGCTGCTTTCACAGTACAATGGCAGAGTTGAGTAGTTGTAACAAAGAATATATGACACATAAAGCTTAAAATATTTACTATATGGCCTTTTATGGAAAAATTGCTAACCCCTACCATGAAGAATAGGTTATTAGAACACAGTGCAGTGTTAGAAATCAATAACACACACAGAGAAACAAATGTTTAGAAATTAAAACCCATACTTTGAAATAATTCAGAGGTCAAAGAAGAAAGTCTAAATGGAACTTAAAGAATGTATCAATATCTAACATTGAAAATGTACATTTCAAAATGTGAGACACAGGAAAACAAGACGTCAGAGAGAAATTTAGCCTTGAAAATGTTAATATTTATAAGAAAGATGTAAAATTAATGCACCAAGTATTCAACTCGAGAAGCTAGGAAAGGATGGCCAGTTGATTTTGGACAAGAGCACCAAGACAATTCCATGGAGAAAAACTAGTCTTTTCTACAAATGGTCCTAGGACAGTTAGATGTTTACATACTAAAGAGTGAAGTTGGAGCCCTACCTCACACCATATACAAAAATTAACTAAAAATGGATCAAAGACCTAGATATAAGAGCTAAAACTATAAAACTGTCAGAATAAAACATACGTATAAATCTTTGTGATCTTGAATTAGGCTATGGTTTCTTAGATATGACACCAAAAGCACAAGCAACAAAAGAAGATCATAGATAAATTGGACTTCATTAAAAACATTTGTGCTTCAAAGGACACTATTATAAAAGTGAAAAGACAACCTACAGAATGGAAGAAAGATTTGGAAATTATATATCTGACAAGAGCCTGGTATTTAGAATATATAAAGACTAATTATAACACAACAATAAAAGAGCCTCATGCCTGTAATCCCAGCACTTTGGGAGGCCGAGGCGGGCAGATCACGAGGTCAGGAGATCGAGACCATCCTGGCTAACATGGTGAAACCCCATCTCTACTAAAAATACAAAAAATTAGCTGGGTGTGGTGGTGGGCACCTGTAGTCCCAGCTACTCAGGAGGCTGAGGCAGGAGAATGGCATGAACCCGGGAGGCAGAGGTTGCAGTGAGCCGAGATCGTGCCACTGTACTCCAGCCTGGGCAACAGAGCAAGACTCCGTCTCAAAAAAAAAAAAAAGAAAAAAAAAAGGAAATGAATAAATAATTTGAATAGATATTTCTCTGAAGAAGATACACAAATGACCACCAAGTACGTGGAAGAGATGTTCAACATCATTAGTCATTGGGGAAATGAAAATCAAAACCAAAATGAGATTCCGCTTCACACCATTAGGATGACTATAATAAAAAAGATTGACAATCACAAGTGTTGACGAGGATGTGGAGACATTGGAACCCTGGTGTATTTCTGGTGAGAATGTAAAATGGTGCCACTGTTTTGAAAAACAGTCTGGTAGTTTCTCAAAAGGTTCAACATAGAGTTACCATATGACCCAGCAATTCCACCCCAGGCATGTACCCAAGAGAAATGAAAAAACTATGTCCACAAAAATGTGTATATGAATGTTCATAGAAGCGTTATTCCTAACAGCCAAAAAGTGGAAATAACCTAAATGTCCACCCACTGAAGAACAGATAAACAAAATGTGGTATGTGCATACAATGGAATACTACTCAGCCATAAAATGAAGAACTGATTCATACTACAACATGAGTGATCCTTGAAAACATGCCAAGTGAAAGAAGCCAGACACAAAAGGCCACATGTGGTGTGATTCCATCTCTAGGAAATGTCCAGAATAGGCAAATTCATAGAAACAAAGTTGATTACTGGTTGCCAAGGTCTCGGGAAAGGGAGAGATGGGGAGTGACTGTTAATGAGTACAAAGTTTCTCTTTGGAATGATGAAAATACTGTAGAATTAGATAATGGTGATGGTTTCACAACTTTGTGAAAATACTAAAAGCCACTGAATGGTATACTTTAAAAGGCTAAATAGGGTGTGTGAATTCTATCTCAATTTTTTTAAATAAGAGAGAAAAGAAGCTAGGAAGGAAATGTCAGGATAAAACAAGTGAAAATAGAAGGAAGTAATAAAGTAAATAACATTAATGTAATAAAGAAAAGTGAAAAGAATTGGCCAGGCACGGTGGCTTACACCTGTAATCCCAGCACTTTGGGAGGCCTAGGCGGGTGGATCACTTGAGGTCAGGAGTTCGAGACCAGCCTGGTCAACATGATGAAACCCCATCTCTAGTAAAATACAAAAATTAGCCAGGCATGATGGCTTCCGCCTGTTATACCAACTACTCGGGAGGCTGAAGCAGGAGAATCGCTTGAACCCGGGAGGTGGAAGTTGCAGTGAGCCGAGATTGCGCCACTGCAACCTGGGTGATAGAGTGAGACTCTGTCTCAATAAACAAACAAACAAACAAAAACAAAGAAAAGAGTCTGCAAAAACAAAACCTGATTTTTAGGGGAAAAAGTATAAAAACTAGAGTGAAAATGCTCCAAGTTAGAATAATGAGGGATTCTAAGCAAGCCAACTGAAAACAAAATTTTAAATTATCTGACTGGTGAATGAAATGCATGCGGATTCAGTGACTGGTGTCCATGGATTTCAGCGTTCTATTCCACCTACCTACCTCTGCCATTGTGGGAGGCCCAACGCGTGGACTCAGAACCTTCCATCGAACCTCCTTGTGTTTGCCACACTCCTGTCTTAAGGGTACAGATGCCAAGAGTTGGGGGTTTTATGAGGGTCTGCTTTTCCCACGGTTTTTCTTATAAATAATTTTTCCAGTTTCACAGACAGGTTCACTCTCCTTGTTGTACTGGCCAAATTATTTCAAAATATGCAACACTGACCATATTGGATCAAGGCAAGAGATTGACCCAGTTTGTTCCCCAAATGCTTGTGACTCTGAGCAGAAAGTGCACCCCAACCTCAGCCCCACCCAAAGAGCTGTGAGGTATCCCTGCCCATTTGATTCTGTGGCCCCATGTGACCTCTCTCAAGGCCTCAGACAAGCCAAACCCACTCCCATCATAGCCCGGTACATTTACTACATGTACTCTTACCCCATCTGGAAAACTGCCACCCAGGGCTTCCAAACCCTGAACTGATGAAATAGCCCCTTTGGAACATGTTTTAACACCCCCTTTTTGGAATTGTGGATAATACAACCTCAGCCATAATTCACAGGAGGAACCAAAGGGCAAAATCAATATTAACCTGACTGTGTTGCAGATGGCCGGGAGAATACCACACTCCTGCACAGCCCTGGGACCTTGCATGCCGCAGCCAAGACCTTCTCTCCCCGGGTCCGAAGAGCCACAACCTCAAGGACAGAGAGGATATGGCCTGGAGGAGTCATCCCCTACGTCATTGGAGGGAACTTCACTGGTCAGTAGCCACAGACAAGGTCTGCTTTGGGTCAGGGTGCTTTGTCTCCCTGGGTTGAGAGAGTCCTTCTAGGAAGGACCCGGGTGGGATGGAGCAGATGTTAGGGACCACAGCAGGCCTACAGATGATGCCCCCCTCTTGCCGGCAAGTCCTGGCCCACCAGTCCTGGGGAAATTGCAGTCTCTGTTGGAGCTATGTCCTCAAAGTTGGTTACCTTGCTCCCCGATGCTTCATGTGGGGAGTGACCTGGAAGGACCTTGACGGATAAGTGGGGTTTGCATGATGACTGTTTGAGGACAAGCCCTCCGCATAGAAGAAAGTCCCTGAGCAACTGCACATGGTTGGCTTCCCTGTCCTCTGCCTGGATGAGCGTCCTGGACTCAGAGGTCCCCTGCCACCACCTACAAGCAGTGTTCCACTCAGTGACCAAAGGGACCAGTGGACATGGCTCGACTCCCTGGGTCCAAATCTCAGCTCCAGCACTTGCCAGCAAAATGCCCTGGGGAAATTAGCCTCTCTGTGCCTCAGTTCCCTCTTCTGTAAATGGGGATGATAATATCTTCTACCCCATCTGGTTGTTTTGAGAATCAAATGGGTTACTATAGATAAAGCGCTTAGAGTGGTGCCTGGCACACAGTAATTAGTATGTATCTGATATTAATATTATCTTTAAAATATGTGAATCATCCCCAGCTTCCCATTGCCACTAGAATGAAATTCCTGACCATGGGCCTGTAATGCCCTCCCTCAAGTACCCCACTGTCCCTCTCCTGCCTGGCCTTTGACCCTCTCTACCCTTCTCCCATCCTTCATCCCTAAGCTCTGGCCTCACCAGCCATGTGCCCATCCCAAGACGTGCCCCCCTCATAGGCCCCTGAGCACTCACACTTGAACTTGCCTTCTGTCTCCCTTGGAGGCCCTTTCCCCAGGTCTTTGCATGGCTGTCTTCTTCTTATCATTTGAGTCTTATGTCAAGGGACACATCACAGGAAGGCCTTCTGCCCTCCCCCCACCAGCGCCTCCCTGTCCCCAGACCCTGCTTTATAACATTGGCAGCACTTACCGTGACCTGAACTCTTTACTTCTATTTCTGTTTCATTTATTTTTGTCTCTGTCTAAGCTCTGTGGGAGCAGCAGTCTTTTTTCTGTCTCATTTCTGCTTCCGTATCTCCAACACCTAGAGCAGGGCGCGGCACATCCTAGGCAGGTAGCAAATATGCCCACTGCGTACCTGCGGCCAATGTCAATGGAAAGCCTGAGTGACAAGCCATACCGAGAGACTTTCCTGGGCTCTCAGTGCAACTTATAAGTCCTTCCCCTCCCTGTGGCTCTGTGACCTCTACTCTGAGAGGTGGCTGATGAAGGCAGATTCCCTGAGGATTTGCCAAAGCCACTGAGAATCGCTGATGAGTAAGTTAGGGAACGGTGAAGACCTCAGCAGCAGGGCAGCGGAATTCCTGCAGTTCCCTTTCGCTCCCGCAGCATTAACCCACGGCTTCCTAGTGCCAGGTGCTTAATTAGGGATTGGTGGTAAAAAAGATGACTAAGATTTCATCCTGCCTTCAAGGAGGTCTGTTCTCACAGCAGAGAAAGGTGAGTGCCTAAAGAAAAAAAATAGAAATTATAAACCACTACAGACTTTTGTTCCTTGGTATCCTAACTGTGTTCTTTCAGATCTGGTGTGCTTTTCTGACCAAAGATTTATATTACTTTCATCAAAGTTAACTAATTTTATATATAGGAATTTTGTTGACACAAGTATTTCATGTTATTAGATAATTAGTAGGGTTGCTATTTTTGGTGAGCGATTGAGCTATAAACAATTTGAACAAAAAATGTCAAGATGTCAGAAAAAAAATGGACAGTTAAGTTATTCTATTTTTTGTTGTTGTTGTTTGTTTCTTCTTTCTTTCTTTTATTTTTTTGAGACAGGGTCTTACTCTGTTGCCCAGGCTGCAGTGCAGTGGCATGATCACGTCTCACTGCAGCCTCAACCTTCCAGGCTCAAGCGATCCTCCCACTTCAGCCTCCTGAGTAGCTGAGACTACAGGCGTGTGCCACCAAGCCCAGCTAATTTTTTCTTCTTAAGTGTTTGTAGAGACAGGGTTTCACCATGTTGCCCAGGCTGGTCTCAAACTCCTGAGCTTAAGGGATCCACCTGCCTTGGCCTTCCAAAGTGCTGGGATTACAGACATGAATCACCATGCCCAGCTGTTATTCTTTATTCTATATGAATGTTTTTGGGGACAACAATATGATACCATCCCCACATCCTGCAGACAATGATGGGAGCCTCCCCCAGTGCTGTTGTGCTAGTCCATTTGTGTTGCTCTAAAGGAATACCTGAGGCTGGGTAGTTTCTAAGGAAAAGAAGTTTGTTTTGGCTCACGGCTCTGTAGGCTGTCTGAGAAGCATGGTGGCAGCATATCTGCTCCTGGTGAGGCCTCAGGAAGCTTGCAATCATGGCGGAAGGCAACAGGAAGCCAGAACATCACATGGTGGGAGGGAGCAAGAGAGAGGTGGGGTAGGTACCACACACTTTTAAACAACCAAATCTCTCATGAACTCAGAGCGAGAGCTCATTCACCAAGGGGATGGCACTAAGCCCTTCTTGAGGGACCCATCCCCATGACCCAAACACCTCCCACCAGGCCCACCTCCAACACTGGGATTATGTTTCAAAACGAGATCTGAAGGGGACAAACATCCAAGTGATGTCAGCTGTTTTGTTTTGCTTGTAATTTTTGTTTTTGTTTTGCAATGAGGGCCCTGTAGAACTCAGACCTCCAACTCCCACCATCCTTCATACTTCCCAGACAACTATTTTTTCCTAGATCCTTCTCATTGCTTCTAGGAAAATTTAAACAGTCTTCCTTCTAGATTTTGAAAAGAACTGACTGACTATACGTAACTGTCAGCCTGGAGTTTTATTATTCAGCAAATTTCCACTCAAGGAAATACCAAGACAGGTTCAGAGAAAGTATGAAGTTCACCTATTTTCAAAGGCCTGGAAGAAAAATTAGGCTCAAGGATTCCCCACAAGACACTGAAACCCCGTGCAAAAGTACACAGATGTACATGCAAATAGAAATTTTAAAGTGCATGGGAGCACCCCCCTACAGGTCTAAAAGAAAATGAGGGGGCGAAGTGCAGTGCTGGTGAGCTGGAGTTGACTCCCCCCTACTTCAAAAGCCTGCAGTTTCCAAATCGAAAAACCTGGATAAGGTTTTGTAAAAGTTTGGAAAATACTTTCAATACAAAGGAAAATTTGGGAAGCCCAGGATATTTTGAAAATCTATTTTTACCCTCCCTTCCAATCCACAAACTCCTACTCTCTAGGTTTTGGCAGCTCAGAAAAGTTACGTTGTGTTTTTAGCAAGGGAAATCCTGATTCCTGAAAATTCCTGGAGTATTTCTATTCTGAACAAGCTTTTTTTTTTTTTGAAAATATTTAATTGACAAATAAAAATTGTATATATTCAAGGTATACAACATGAAGATTTGATATATTATGTCTCGATCACCATAATCAAATTAATTAGCACATCCATCACCACCCATGCTTACATTGGGGGCTGGTGAGGACACAAAATCTGTTCTTTTATCAAATTTCAAGTAAACAATACAGTATTATTAACAATCTTTTTTTTTAATTGTTGGAACATCCTTTGTCTTAACTCAGCATGCTTTAAAGCATCTAAGGAGGCTGGGTGCCGTGGCTCATGCATGTAATCCCAGCACTTTGGGAGGCTGAGGCTGGCGGATCACCTGA
Source organism: Homo sapiens (assembly GCF_000001405.40). Classification (NCBI taxonomy): domain Eukaryota; kingdom Metazoa; phylum Chordata; class Mammalia; order Primates; family Hominidae; genus Homo; species Homo sapiens. Next base: position 96,429,034 of record NC_000010.11, on the reverse strand, counting down.
GGTCAGGAGTCAAGACTAGCCTGACCAACATGGAGAAACCCCATCTCTACTAAAAATACAAAATTAGCCGGGCGTGGTGGCACATGCCTATAATTTCAGCTACTGGGGAGGCTGAGGCAGGAGAATCGCTTGAACCCAGGAGGCAGAAGTTGCAGTGAGCCGAGATCGCACTATTGCACTCCAGCCTGGGCAACAAAGGCAAAACTCCGTCTTGAAAGAAAAAAAAAAGCATCTAAAGAAAATATGGACCCATCATTGAAGTCGAGTGCTTGCCCTGTTGTTTCAGGGAGCCAGAGGGCCATTTTTAAGCAGGCCATGAGACACTGGGAGAAGCACACCTGTGTGACCTTCATAGAAAGGACGGATGAGGAAAGCTTTATTGTATTCAGTTACAGAACCTGTGGGTAAGTAAACGAAAGCGAGGCCACCTCTGCAGAATCAGTCGGATGGCTCATGAGTGTTGAATTTTCTCTGTAAACCTAAGTATTTCCAATGAGCTGTTATTTAGAGGAGTCCAGGGTTTGCTAGAAACTTTCTGCCCTTGGTGAAATTACAATCCAGTGGCAAAGCTGATGGGCCAAGAGGAAGATTCCAGGAGACTCCATGAAGACCAGGGGTACTGGCACTAGAAGAGCAACAGAAGGAACTGGTGGTGTGTCATGTGAAGACTTAAGGCAGTGGTTCTTAACCTCTTGGGGTTTGTGTCCCCATTTAGAATCTGATGAAGCGGTGGGCTTTCCTTCTTCAAGAATAGATGAATATGTATGTAAAATTTTGCATTTAATTTGAGGGATTCTACAGGTTTACAAACTTCCTTCAGAAAACATAATATGTAATAAAATGACTGGCTTATGACTAAAGTTATCTGTTATGTCAATAAATATGTATGATATACTTTCCTACTGAAAAGCTTCTCATGTTGGATCAAAAACCCAAACCCGGCCAGGAGCGGTGAGTCACGCCTGTAATCCCAGCAGTTTGGGAGGCTGAGGTGGGCAGATCACCTTAGGTCGGGAGTTCCAGACCAGCCTGACCAACAATGGTGAAACCCCATCTCTACTAAAAATACAAAATTAGCCAGGTGTGGTGGCACATGCCTGTAATCCCAGCTACCTGGGAGGCTGAGACAGGAGAATCGCTTGGAGCTGGGAGGCAGAGATTGCAGTGAGCCGAGATCCCGCCATTGCACTCCAGCCTGGGCAACAAGAGCAAAACTGCATCTCAGAAAGAAAACAAAACAAAACAACAACAACAAAAAAAACCAAACCCAACTACATGGTCTATACATAAGATGATTACTGAATAAAACAACCTAGAGAGGTTTAAAAGTAAAAGGAAAGAAGCCATACAGGTAAATGCTAACAAAAAGAAAGCTGGGATCACAATTTTAGTCATTGACTAGGTTTTCATTGTTTTGTTGTTTTTGTTTTTAAAGTCAGAAAATGTTAAAAGCTGAGACACTTTATAATGAGAAAGGGTATAAGGGACAGTGAGAATATAACTGTCATAAGTCTTCATGCACCAAATAGCATAGCATCAAGAGTCATAAAACAAGCCCCAGGGAATTCAAGGGGAAATTGACAGAAATGCTCAGTAGCACGAGACTTAATTCATTTCTGTCAGCCCAAGTAAGTCAGTGTCACGTTGACCAAAAAATAAGTAGAGATTCACAGAGGATTTGAAAAATACAGTTAATAGAGTTGATTCTATAGGTCTATCAGATTCTATAACCTCATAACACATTTTTTTAAATGGCCCATCTATTAAGCATTAAGAACATCTTAACAAATTCTTAAAGGCAGAAATAGCATTAAGATATTTTCTGATTGCAAAGCAGTGAAACTGGACATAACATAATAACAAAAATAGAATAAACATTAGCTGGTAAGTTAAAAGTCCCCCCATGCTTCCATTTTTATGGCTCTTAGGTCATAAAAACAGCAAGATTAAAATTGCAGAATGTCTAGGTAATGAAAGCCCTATGGTTCAAAATAAAAGAGATATAGCTAAAGCTATGTCTGGACAAAAGCCCACAGACTTAAGTATCCACATCACCCGTTGACAATAGTGACAATGAAATATTCAATTCAAAGAAGCTAGTAAAAATAAATACTTACAACCCACCACCATCACCACAACAAAATAAACCTAAGGAGAGCACAAGGAAACAGACAAGGTGAAACATTACAGAGCTAACAAATTCAAGAGTAAATTATTTGAATAAACAAACAAACAGAAAACAACAGATAAACCACTTGTTAGTTTAATTGAGACAAAATATGATTACATAGAAATACATAAGATTAGAAATGAAAATGGGAGAAATAGCCACAGATTCAGCAGAATCACAAAGGAGTAGTTTGCAAAACTCTAGGGCAAGAAGTGTGAAAATGTGGATAATGTGAAAGTCTTCAAGGTAAAAATAAAGTACTGGTACAGACCAAGAACTTTGAATGAAATTGAAGAACGGAGGGAAAAAGCCATCTCCCACAAAGCACCAGACCCAGAGTTTCACAGGTGAATTCTTTCAAAACTTCAAAAACAGATTATTCTGGTATACTTAAACTTTTTAGAGCATAGAGAAAGATGAACGCTTTCAAATTACTTTTGAGGAACTGTTATGGCATTGCTACCTTGAAATGAAAAGGATGGCACCAAATAAATAGAGAAAGAAAGGAAAACATGATAAAAAAGATAAGAAAGAAAAAATTATAGACTCATCTCACATGTGAATAGCCATGCAAAATCCTAAATAAAATGTTAGCACATAGAATTCGGCAGCAGAAGAAAAGAAGAGGAGACTGCCAAATACATTTATCTAGGGAATACAAGATTAGTTCAACATTAGGAAATCTATTCTCAAGATTGATTGGTCAAAGAAGAGAAGCTATATTCATATCTCAATAGATGCTAAAAGGCACCTGTACAATACAACATGCAGTTTTTGTTTTAAAAAAGTAACCAAGGTAGCACAGAAATAGATGTCAAGGATAGATTCTTGCATTATATATATGTAAGTATAAATATACATTTATATAAATAACTTCCAACCAAAAGCCAATATCATGTTTATCGATGATACTTCTAGAAGCATTTAATTTTAGTTAAAATCATGAACAAGTTTAAGATGTTTAGGGTTACCACAATTATTTAGCATTGTTTTGGAATTGCTAATTAATATAAATTAGACAAGAGAAAGAAAGAAAAACTGTGAATATTGGCAGGAACAAGGCAATGTTTGCACTGATGGGAGGTAAAGTGACTGTGTGCCTAGAAACCCCAGAATATCAATTGAAAAGCTGTTAGAAACACAAGGAGACTCTATTAAGTGACCACAAAATTAATTAATTAACAAGAATAGGTGACTGCTTTTCTTTATACATGAAATAGTTTGATACACTTTTATGATGGGAAAAAATCACAACTTTAATAGAAACATAATAGATACTATATCTAAGACTAAACATAAATGTGCCAGACCTATAGGAAGAAAATGCTAAAACTCCAAGGAACCTAAAAAAAAAAAGTAAAAATAGAAAGCATATTGCTTCCTGATGTAGGGATACTCAACATAGTAAAGATGTCAGAACTCCCTAAAATAAGCTGTACATTCATGCCTTTCTGATTTAAACACCAACATTTATAGATATATACGTACATGTGTATGTATGCATACATATTTTTAGAACTTGAACAAATGATACTAGAGTTTATCTGGAGGAACAACCATGTAGAAATAATGAGAGAGAGAGAGAGAGAGAGAGAGAGAGAGAGAAAACAGTAATGACAGAGGTAGCTATCTAATGGTCTAACCAAACATGCAGAATATTAAAATGCAAAAGGAAGATAATAACAAAACAGTTTGGAACTTAAGGGAAAAATAGATATATACAAAAAAGGGTCCAAAATGAATATACCTATACACAAATTTGGGTAACATTTTAAATGAGTGGGAGAAAGATCAATTAGTCAATTGGGATATTTGAATATTGGGATAATTTAGATAACTCTCTGTGAAAAAAAAAAAAGCTGGACTCCTACCTCACTTCTTATACCGATAACTATTCTAGCTAGATCAAAGATGTAAGTATTAAAGAAAAAAATGGAAGAAAGAAAGAAAAAATCGAAGAGTATAGGAAGGAAACAAGAGTAGATTTTATTTATAATCTTGAAATATGGATGACCTTTCTAAGCAGCACATAAGAAAATGAATACATTTTGTAATACTAACATTAAAAACTTTTATAATGCAAAAAAAACAAAACAATACATAAAAACAAAGTCAAATGAGAACTAACAAAGTGAGCAAAATACTTGCAACACTCTTGACTAGTTTCCCTAATTTACAAAGGGTTCTTAAATATCAATCATAAAAAAATGGACAACCCAAAAGAAAACAGGGAAAAGAGGTGATCACATAATTCACAGAAAAAAAAATGTCGCTTAAAATATGTGAAAAACTATCCAGCCTCAATGCAGTGAAATCCCATTTTTTACCTATCCAATTGGCAAAATAGTTTGATAAAACCAGTGTTGGCCAGGATGAGGGAAATAGGACTTAAACATTTGTTTAAGCTTCTGTGAGTAAACAGTAGGTGTATATATTTGTTGGGTACCCGAGATGTTTTGATACAGGCATGCAACGTGAAATAATCACATCATGGAGAATGGGGTATCCCTCCCCTCAAGCATTTATCCTTTGTCTTACAAACAATCCAGTTACACTCTTTTAGTTGTTTTTAAATGTACAATTGACTTATTATTGACTATAGTCACTCTGTTTTTTTGGTCAAATAGTATATCTTATTCATGCTTTCATTTTTTTTTCTTTACCCATTAACCATCTCCACCTTCCCCACCAGTCCCCCACTACCCTTCCAGCCTCCAGTAACCATCCTTCTAGTCTCTATCTGCATGAGTTCAATTGTTTTAATTTTTAGCTACCACAAATAAGTGAGAACATATGATGTTTGTCTTTCTGTGCCTGGCGTATTTCACTTAACATAATGATCTCCAGTTCCATTCCTGTTGTTGCAAATGACAGGATCTCATTCTTTTTTAGGCTGAATAGTACTTCATTGTGTACTTGTACATATTTTCTGTGTGTACACATTTTCTTTATCCATTCAACTGCTGATGGACACTTAGGTTGCTTCCAAATCTTAGCTATCATGAACAGTGCTGCAACAAACATGAGAGTGTGGATATCTCTTCAATAGACTGACTTCCTTTCTTTCAGGTAAAGAGAAAGGGGCTTTTAATATCTTACTAGTGAGTATATAAACAGACAACATTTTGGGAGTGCAATTTGACAGTATCTATCAAAATTTCAAATGCACATATCCTTTTACCCATGAATCCCATTGGTAGAAATTTACACTACCATTTCTTTGTTTCATTTGCTGTTGTTTTTATTTGTTTTGCTTGTCATCCTCTCCCCCGAGGCCTTGTTAAAATAGCAAAAACTGGAGTTACAGCCGAGATGTACATTAATAGAAGACTGATGAAATAAATTTTAGTATTACAAAAATGTATATAAGTATTATTTGAAAAAAATGATTGTGCCCAGAAGGGAGTCATCTCTAAGGCTCCTCTGATAATGACACCAAGTTGCATGCATTATAGACACTCATCTGCCTCCTTCCCGTGACTCTTCTCCTTTTCATTAAAAATGGCCCAGCAGGGACTCCAGCACCTTGCAGGTGGAGGGGTAGAGTATGGTATGGACTTTATGTCAGAGAGAGACCGTATCTTTTGTTGGCTTTTCAAGAAGATTCATAACCACAAAAAGCTCAAGAACCATTTTTGGAGGGAATTTCTGCATTGGGTCATTGGGTGGGAAGTTGGACAATGAGAGCACTTTCACTTCTGAAATTCTGTTTCTTTTCTTTTTTTTTTTTTTTTTTGAGACGGTGTTTCACTCTTGTTATCTAGGCTGGAGTGCAGTGGCGTGATCTTGGCTCACTGCAACCTCTGCCTCCGGGGTTCAAGCAGTTCTCCTGCCTCAACCTCCCAAGTAGCTGGGATTACAGGCACACACCATCACATCTGGCTAATTTTTATATTTTCAGTAGAGACAGGGTTTCACCATGTTGGCCAGGCAGGTCTCAAACTCCTGACCTCAGGTGATCCGCCCACCTCGGCCTCCCAAAGTTCTGGGATTACAGGCGTAAGCCACTGCACCCGGCCTGAAATTCTGTTCTTTTACATGCACACACGCACACACATACAGAGTGGGAGGGGGGACTTGCCTCTTGCTCTGAATGTCTTCTGACCTGCTGACCTGGGTATTCCTGCAATTGTCCAGCTGTTGCTCCTATGTTGGGCGCCGAGGAGGAGGCCCACAGGCCATATCCATTGGGAAGAACTGTGACAAGTTTGGCATTGTGGCTCACGAGCTGGGCCATGTGGTTGGGTTTTGGCATGAACACACCCGGCCAGACAGAGACCAACATGTCACCATCATCAGGGAAAACATCCAGCCAGGTAAGGAGGCCTGTGTGGAGTCTGGAAGGCACCGGTCGAGAAGGTGGCAACCTCAGGGACAGGAGGGAGGGAAGGAGGGGACTTGCTGGGAGCTGAGCAATGCTAACTGCTGAATATGGAGCAATGACTCTGTTGTACAGGCCCGTCTCACCAGTCTGACCACTGTCCATCTGTGGCTTCCTGGGAGGTCATCTGCCATAGCTTGTAGGTTGGAGCAGAAGCAAAATGATTTTCCATGTTTTAAAGGACATTGAAATCTAACTCCATTTCCTGAAAGGAACACAGTCGACCAGAACACTGTTACAGCATCAGAGCTGATAAGCCAAAAAAAAAAAAAAAAGAGTTCTCCTGGCTGCTTTTATGAGTTATTTTTGCTGACTTAGGCAACATATTTTCTGAAACTGAAATACAATTAGGACATGAACACATGTAAAAACAGTGTTTCTGCCTAGAAACATTCTGCCCCAAGGCAGATAAAGTGTCTAGATTAAAAAAAAATACTCTCTTATGTCAAATAATTTTATATGGAAGTTAATATTGAGCATGAAAAGTAGCTAGTTGAAGAATATGATTGCCTTACAAATGCTTTAGAGAATCTGAATTGTGAGCTATTTAGGATTGAACTTAACTCTCTGATTCATTTTCTTTTGTTTCTTCAAATTGCAAGATCAGGTTTTTGTTTGTTTGTTTTGTTTTTTTTGTTTGTTTTTTGAGACAGAGTCTCACTCTTGCTGCCCAGGCTGGAGTGCAGTGGCGTGATCTTGGCTCACTGCAACCTCCGCCTCCTGGGTTCAAGGGATTCTCCTGCCTCAGCCTCCTAAGTAGCTGGGATTACAGGCACCCACCACCACGCCCAGCTAATTTTTGTACTTTTTTTTTTTTTTTGAGACAGAGTCTTGCTCTGTCACCCAGGCTGGAGTGCAGTGGTGCGATCTTGGCTCACTGCAAGCTCCGTCTCCCGGGTTCACACCATTCTCCTGCCTCAGCCTCCCAAGTAGCAGGGACTACAGGCACCCGCCACCATGCCCGGCTAATTTTTGTATTTTTAGTAGAGACGGTGTTTCGCCATGTTGGCCAGGCTGGTCTCGAACTCCTGACCTCAGGCGATCCACCCGCCTTGGCCTCCCAAAGTGCTGGAATTACAGGTGTGAGCCATGGCACCTGGCCCAGAGTTTTTTATTTTTATTTTTTATTTTTTGCGGGGGCAAGCAAGTTGATAACTAATCTGTCTGCAAACTTACTTTAAGAGGTTTGAGTGGCATTTGGGGATAGGTCTTGGGTGGTGGGGTTGGGAGAACACAGGGCTTGCTGGAGGTTTCAAATTTCTAATTATTAAAAACAACAAGAACCACTACAAGCCCTGTTATTTGACTGATTGGGCCAAGAGAGCCCTGGGAAGTTGTTATGGGCCCTCCTTCTCCTTCCTCTGCCTCCTTTCAGGTGCCTGACTTGGTTTTCAAAGGGCTTAACACAGTGTTGTGTCACAGGTCAGGAGTATAATTTCTTAAAAATGGAAGCTGGGGAAGTGAGCTCTCTGGGAGAGACATACGACTTTGACAGCATCATGCACTACGCCCGGAACACCTTCTCAAGGTCGGAATCTATGCTTATGCCTCGTCTGTGTTTTACTGTGCCTGCGGCAGGCTTGGGTTGGATTCCTGGAGGTCTGCGGAGAGTGGGTCTCTGCATGCTTCTAGCACGGCTGGCCTGTCTGTCCTTGAAATACAGTGGCCTCTGCGCTGCAGTGAAATATAATCTAATCAGGTTCCCGTTAATAAGATTGAATCCCATTGTGAAGCTAGCATTCCATCATGCCCTAATGTCACAAGCAGCAAACTGGAAAAGGGAAATTATCGAGAGGTTGGCTGGGATAATAACTTAGAGGCTCTGTGTCAAATTTCCAGTGGGTGGGGGGAGTCTTTTGTAGAAGCATGGTGGTGCTCACCAATTCTCCTAGCAGAGGTTTGGTTTATTGGAAACTAGGCTGTGTCAAGGCTGGGAGGGCTGTAAATCATCGATTCATTTTAGAGGTGAAGACAATGAGGCTCCAGCCAGCTCTCAGATGGACAGGTAGCTGAGGACTGGAGTGAGAGCAAGGATCCAGGTTCCCACCTGCAGGTCACAGATGATGGAAGCCGCTGTATTCAAGTAGGGCTGGGCCGTTTATTTATGGCTGGCATGGGCAGGGTCTGTTCTGATGAGCTGTTCTGATGTGCTGCGCCTAGCAGACATTAAAGATTTTCAGTATTTTCCCTGCTTCTAGACCCTGTAAGTGCTTTGTGTGCAGAAGTTTTTCCCTACTTGTCCCAGTTTTGTAGTTCTTTCTAGCGTTGAGTTAAAGGAGTCACAGAGAACAAATATTTTCTCTCTTGGTACTTTCTCTTCAGTCTCCTGTTAAAACCAGCTGTTTGCTTGTTTATTTATTTAGTCTTCCCCCAAAAGGATCTGTGGTGACTTCCAATATACACATGAGATAAAAATGATAAATAATAGGTGAGAAAACTGGGGGAAAGGAGAAGGAAAAATATGGCTAGAAAGCTAAGTTGAGGCCCAGAATAAGTTTAGTGCTCAGAGTTATATGCTGTGAGGTCATGTACACTTGGTTAGAGTTGGCAGCAAATCCTGCCCTGTGCTTCCTAGCAGTCACAGCAAAGAGGGAAATAATCCATTCCATGAGTCTCCATGTCCATAAAGATGAAAGGAATTCATTTGCTCAGAAAACATATGGCTCTTGGGAGTGAAAGGGACACTGTTTGCCAGGGGCTCCTTGGTTCTTGGGTAAGGCTGCCAAAAGCATCCTGTTGATGAGTTTGTTGATAGGACTATGGGAGAAATCCTCTAAATCTCAGCATCCCAAGTTCTCAGGGGGTACTGCTCCTCTGGCCACACAGCTGCTTAAGTCATGATCTCTATCCTGCACCTAGACATGAGCTATCATGGGTGGAGTTGTGTTAAAGCTGGCATCTTCGACAGCACTTGGGAGTAGCGTGAAATTGAGCCTTCCTGGCCTCTTTGACCTTCTCCTGGCTCTTTTCCAAAGATAGTAAAAGAAACATGGTGTGATGAAGAGACCACTGAACTGAGAGGCAGAAGCCGGGTTCTAGTCATAGTTCTCCTGTGACCCCTTGCCTTTGAGGGAGGCAGACAGTAATTAGGGGCAGCTGTGTGATGGTTAAATCTCCACCTCCACAGGCCTTGGTTTCCTTGTGAGAGGGTTGGACTAGATGTTCTCTGAGCCCCTTCCAGCTCTAACCTTTCAAGTTGCAATTTCTCAATCCGATGCAGATGGGTGAGGGGTTGACAGATTATGATCTCATTCACTGCCATACAGGAAATCTGAAGCTGGAAGGGCCTCCTCTTCCAGATTAGGAAACTGAGACATTGAGGGATCCACCCTGAGGCTGTGTGCAGGGAATCTCAGGACGCCAGTGCAGTGTGCAAATATCCAAGGGGGAGGCAATGCTTGGGTCTTGGGGTGGGCTGATTCACCTGTTTGGGAAATGGTGCAGGGAATAGCCAAAGGCCCACCCCATCATCCAGGAGTTACAGGCTGCTACTAGAGACCAAGTATCAATTTTGTCAGGGAATCTATGTCAAGTTGGCCCAAGGGAGAAGCTTTTTCCTTGGGTCTTGTTTCTGTAGCTGCCATAACTCTTCATATTGCTTTTTAATTTATCTATTAATAATTATTAATTTATATATTCATATTAATTTATATATTCAATTTATATATTCATATAATTTATATATTCAAATGAAATCAATATTCATTTAATTTAGCTATTAATAATTATTATTTTATAAATTCATATATTAATTTATATATTTATATATACATATATATTCATATATATATTCATATACATTCATATGTATCTGTTGTATTCCCTTCTCTGGCAGTAGACTGAGATCCTTGAGGACAGAGACTATCTCATTCTCTTCTAGTCCCCAGCACCCAACATAGTGCCTGGCACCTAGTAGGTATTCAATAGACATTTGCTAAATGAATAAATTAATGAATGAGTTCAAAGGGGCCAGGAGGACCTGCAATGTTGGGGAATAGGTGAGGGTAGAAATTTCCATTATGCTCATTACAGTTCTTTCCATGTGCTCACCAATGCGATGGCTACTTTAGTAAGGTGAATCTGTAAGTCTGTACCATGTAGGGCATTTGTGTGCTGTAGGGACTGCACTGCCTTCTCACCGCCTGCTCCGTGCCAGGCACTGCACAAGCTCTGGAGCCAGAGGCCAGGACAGGATGCAGGCAGAGGATCTTCCAGCACCAGCGTTTCTTCTTGTCTTTCTTTTTGAAATATATATATGTATTTTTTTTTCTAGGATTGCTAGCTCATAATACCATGCCTTTTGTCCCTCAGGGGATAACCATTTCTAATGCTATTGTCAATGTGAACCATCAGCCCAGACCAGTGGAAATCCATGGGCCAAACCCATGAAATAAAAATTCCTCATCAAAATTCCCCAGAATCTCTAGGAGGGAGATCAGCAGGGGCAGCACACAGGAGGATGGGCAGCTAGGAGCAGAGCAGCTCGCCGAGGGCAGGCAGCCCCTCCTGCTAGTGTTACATTAGCTACTGCTGCAGAGCAATTGACCCCCAAGCTTAGTGACTTAAAACAGCAGCTTATTATTTTTGATGATACTGTGGGTTAGTTAGTCAGGCTTGTTCTTCTCTGGTCTTTCCTGGGATCACTCACAGCAACAGTCATCTGACAGATTGATTGGGCTGGGGAGTCCAGAATGACCAGTCACACGCCTGGCACTTGGTGCTGCCTGTTCATGCCCCTCTGTTCTCTCTGGGAGCCCCTTGGTTCTCCTTCATGTGGCGTCTCATCCTCCAGTAGGCTAGACCAGGCTTTACACTGCATGGGGACTCACAGTTCCAAGAGAGCAAGCGGGGAAGCTGCAAGCCTCTTAAGGCCCCAGCTCTGGAACTTGCATGACATCACTTCTGCCACATTCTGTTGGTCAAAGCAAGCCACAAGGCCAGCCCCAAACTCAAGCAAGTGGAGAAATAGACTCCACCTCTTACTGGGAGGTATGGAAGCTTCACATTGCAGTAGGATTTGGCTATTAGGAGGAGTGACTTTTTATTTTAACAATCTGCCACTGCTGCCTTGTCACCTCTGCCCCAGAGTTCAGAATGGTTTCAGCAAATCTGTTTTGTTGCAGGTGGATGACTGCATTGTCCTTTCTGCCAACTTTTTACCTGGATTTTCGGAAAACAATTTTGTTCACTGGGTTTTTACTGGGAGCTTTTCTATGAGCATTTTGTCAATAGTTTCCCCGCTCCCAACTCCATGTCATTACTTCTGGTCACAAAGACCCTAAAGCTGGCCTGTACCTCATGTTGGATTCTGTAAAAGGGCAGAATAGAGCCCATGGAACATATGCTGATCTGGGGAGGTGGGCAAATGCTATACCCTGCTGATGGGAAACTCAATCCTTGTGTCTCTTTACGATTGAGCTGTCTCCTTCCAACTTCATTCTCTCTAGTTTATTGCAGTTCTTCTCCCCTCCCCCTTGGTTGGACCCAGGCTGTGGGGAGCGGTCTCTTTGGAGGTTTTGCTGGGCAAAGATCCAGGAGATGAGGAGACAGTTCTCTTGTACAGGGGCCTCTTTGTTTCAGAACTCAGAACTGACAGTTTTATTCCCTGAGGCATCTGCTGAACTCTGTCTTAGTTTAGCAGAATGTCAATGCTAAGAGTTGTCCTACATGAAAGAGGGAAGGAACGTCACCGCTGTGGTTTACACAGGGGACGGCTCTTGTAGTAAACAGCTGGAAGCTCTTGCTGGCAGCTTAGGATACGCAAGGGAGGACGTCCAGCACCAAAGAGCGGTCTGAGTGTGAGCCAATGTTGTTCCTGATGTTTTGGTTTTTGAAGTCTGCAATGTTCTTAGCTCTATAATTTAATGTATCATAAGGCCTACTGTTCCTTGGGCAGCAGGAAACACTGGCTGGAAGGAGGAGGATTCCCAGAGGTGAGCTCCTGGCCTGCCTCTCCATGACTACCTCTGTGCCCTGGGAAAGTCACTTAAGCTCTGCAGGCTCAGTCTTCTCCCCTGTAGAGTGAGAGCTCTTGTGATAATGGCACCTGACTCCTAGGGTGTTATGAAGATGAAATGAGTTGGTGCAAGGAAAGTGCCCAGTGCAGGGCCTGGCACATCGGAAAGTCCTATGAATGATGAGTAAGTGCAAGAACATGGCCTCTATGCCCCAGGCCCGCTGGCAAAGTCATCTACGTGATGTGGCCAGGTAGCGTGGGGTGCTTATAGACTGTGTGATCCTTATGCTTGTGCTGCAGAATTCCTTTCTGCAAGGGAACCAAGAAAATAATTACAAAAGGACACACCTTTCGTTAGGGCAGAAGTGCCTGTTTTTGGAGTAGCTAATGATTGAATTTAGGATTTTCTGCAGAGTCATCACTTGTGGTTTAAAATGTGGTAAAGTCAGTGAGGGAGGCCAAGGATTCCACTAAAGTTTCTCTGCAGGAGTCCAGACTCAAAAATGAGGCTATGGGAGCTAGAGAAAGACAGGTCAAGGGTTACATGTTGGGTACAGAGATGCTGAACAGGAAATCAGCAGATGATCTATACTCCCACAGGCTAAGGTTGGAAAGTGAGCTTGAAATCTGATTTAGAAAAAAAAAGTCTGCACAAAAACAAAAAGATAACAAAGTGATGTAACCAGGAAGAACCAGGGGTAATAGGTATTTTCTAATGTAGTGCAGAATTTAGGGAAATAGAAACAGTGCTTGAGAGAGACAGAGAGAGAGAGAGAGAGAGAGAGAGACAGAGAGAGACAGAGAGAGAGAGCATGCACAGCTAATAGCTAGGTGACATATGTACATTTTCACTTCCATTTTGGATGTAAATAACTATTTTGCAAAGTTTTTAAAAGACAGTGCTTTATCCTGATTGCATATTTAATTCAAGAAGCATTTTTTGAGGTCTGCTGTGCTGTAGTTTCTAAGGACAGAGATAAAACACCCAGTCTCCCTGCTTGAGGAACTTACTTTTAGCAAAGAAGACAAATACCATCACTCCTTAAGAAAAACAATACAGTATGATAAGAAGAGACTACACAAATGATTAAGACCCAGAGCAGGGAATGATAAACTCCAGATGGGAGGAGTAGAAAAGGCTTGGGGAAGACTTTTAATAGAGAAAGACATCTGATGGGGTTTTGGAGAATGAATAGGAGTTTGCAAACAGACAAAAAAACAGAGGGCATGGGCAGCCTAGGGAGCGGATAGCATGTGCAAGGGCATATTTGAGGCCTACAAGGAGCTCAGTGTTGCTTAAAATAATGACATATGCTTTATTCTTGTTAAGTATTCTTTTGGTTATGGGATTAAAGAGTCAGGCTGGAGAGGAAGGCAGAAGTCAGTGAGCAAACAGCCTAGAGATCCAAGTGGTGACTGGAAGTTGGTGAAGCGTTCTAAGCAAAAAAGGCACGTGCCTCCCCTTGCATTCTGGGATGATTCCATTGCAGCATTGTGGCCAAGGGGAGCAGTAGAGTAGAAGTGGCTGAGTCTACAGGGAGGGAGGCCAGTTAAGAAGCTACTGGAAAGAGTTCAAGAATGGGGTGTTGATCACTTGAGCTATGGCAATGGTCTGGGAACAAGGAGGAGGGTATGGGTTCAAGGGGTGCAAAAAAGGTAGAGTGGACAGGACCTGGCTCCTGGTTTGGTAGGAGAGTATGAGGGAGAGGGAGGAGCTGAGAATGCCCTCAGATTCAGGCTCAGGAGACAAGGATCATGGAGTGAGCAGGAGAAGGATGGAATTGTGATAAATTTGGTTTTGAGCACGTTGGATATAAGAGGCCCATAGGACAGCCCAGGGGAGGTGTTACGAGGCATCTGGGGCTCAGCAGAGGATCCTGGGCTGGAAACAGAGGATTAGCTGTGAGGCTGCAGATGATGGTTAAAAGCCGTAGGAGCAGATGGAATATGGAGAGAGAGGACAGAGGGAGAGGGCAGAAACCCAAGGGGCATCACTGAAGGGGAAGCAGAAGTGGTTCTTGTCTCACTGCTCAGAGAGAGCCATGGCCTGGACCCAGGGAGAAGACAGTGAGGAGGGAGGAGGGCATCGGAGGTCAGTGCTGGAGAGAGGGCAGACGGAGATTGGAAGCTGTCTACTGGCAGATGAGTGGTGACCGTTGCTGATGGGGTCAGATCACAGGTGGATTGAGAAGTGAATCAGAGGTGAGCAGTTGGGGAATGGAGACAATACTTTATAGAAACTTGGTTAAGAAGGGAAGGAAAAAAACAAGGTGGTGACTGGAGGAGATGCTGATTCAAGGAGAGGCCTAACATCCAGGAGAGGCCCCAGATAGAGGGTCTGGAAGCAGAAGAGGAGGCTCAGAGCTGGCAGCAGACAAGGCAGCAGGCGGGATGTAAACCATGCCCACAACAGGGCCAGCGCTCAGCTGGCAACCTGATTTCCACTTGTCTAGTTTAGAAATGAAGCTGTCATTTTAGATTTCAGTCAAATAGGAGTAGAATAAGATGTTAGAGATAGAAGGGGCTGCCATGACCATCTCAACAAATTTCTTATTGTTTAGTGGGGTAAACTGAGACTTAGAGAGGCTCAGAGAGGGGAAGGGTCTTGTCCAAGCACACACAGGCCTAGTGTAGAAATCTCTAGTCCAGGGCTTTTTTCACTACTTCTTGTTCTCTGCATTTATCTCATTTTCCATCTGATTTCCCTCTTACCAGCAGGGCCTCCAAACTGGGACCACCAATTCATCAACCTGCACTTGCTGACCAGCCCCTGAGAGTCTCACATTGGACCAGTTCCCAAGCTCTCCCTGGGGTGGCTCCAGGACTTAACTACACACAGTACTTCCCAATGCACAGCTGCAGGGGGCGCCATTCACACCGTGGTCTCTCCGGGGTCTGGACCTGTCAGGGCTTCATGAAAATGCTCAGGACACATCCCTAAGGAAGCCCCTGGGCTACCGCACTAGGGCATATTTTTACACTTGGCAGAGTCATCTTCCCACTGGAAAGCGAGTAGGCAGCTGATGAGATGGAATGTGAAAATGCTAGCATGAGCGAAGGAAACCTCTTCAGTCATGCCAGCCTGGGAGAGGCTGGCCAGGGGGCAGGAATGTTGATGGGGTTATGGGCAAGGGAATGAAGCCTAGAAATCCCAGCACAGACAGCCTGATGGCCTTGACTTTTCTTTTTCTGTCTTTTTTCCTTCCTGTAGAGGAGTTTTCTTAGACACCATCCTTCCCCGTCAAGATGACAATGGCGTCAGGCCAACCATTGGCCAGCGCGTGCGGCTCAGTCAGGGAGACATAGCTCAAGCCCGGAAGCTGTACAAATGCCCAGGTAACTATGAGCCGTGGGGACTGCCAGCACCTCCCTAGCATCTCCAAAGCACAGTCCCTATGCTGGGAAAACAACTTGGGGGACCTAAAGGGACTATTCCTTGGCAGCTTTAATTTCTGGTGTCCTTCTGGTAGGAGGTGCTAGGCAGTATAGAAAGGTGAAATGGTGACATGGTGGCAGGCAGTGAAGAGAATAATAGGTCTTAGAGTCCATTGGCAATTTCATGAGAGGCTTCAGACTTCTCTGGCAAAGCCTTTGTGTCCAGAAGGGGAAGAAGGCATAACAGAACAACAGTAAATAGGGGTGTAATGCAGTGTGTGCCCCATAACAGTAAGAGCACCTCTCCTTTCTCTGGGACTAGGGGATGTGGGTTTGGGAAAACAAGAACCAAGCTGGATTTTGCAGGAAGACAAAGAGTGAGGGAGAATGCTTTTGGGAGGATGGAAGTCAGTTTCCCAAATGCTACAAGGTGGAGGGAGTCTCAGTGCTATTAATGAGCTTGTTGCTTTGGTCTTGGGGCTTTCCTGGCCATCCTAGGTGCTGGTCAGTGGCCAGGAGTCTGCCATTGAAGATGGGACAATACTGGGATTGGAGCAAATGCCTGTTCCCTGGCCCGTTTGGAAGTGTTCCTTCCCCTTGGATTTGTCCCGTTTGTCTTCCATCCCCTTGGCTTCAGCATCATCATCATACACACACCGTCTGAGCTCTTCTAGACCCCTTTCAGCTCTTGAGCCTCAATGTAAAGCACTGGTTAGGGCAGCTGAGTTTTTAGTACTGATGGATCAGAATCCATTTCAGTGGTTTTAGGAGGATAGAAGGAAGTTCCATTACCAATAGCCTTTCCCAGACTTCCAAACCAGACACAGAGTTTGATCATGGGATGAAGTATTTGAAGTGAGGACCGTCTTAGAAAATCTGGGCTGTCACATTACCTTACTAAGCAGGACCCGAGGGATGCAAAGGGCTGCGTGGGGCTTGCTTCCTCAAGAAACTTTAGAAAATATGTCCGTCCAGCTATTAGTCATCTGGGGGCGTGTTAGGGCTGAAATACAGGACACACATATCATATAACCTTGCTGAATTGAACGGGAAACCTTATAGCATACCCTGGGAAATGCCATCATATTTATTCAGTTATAACATTTATGCTGCTCACTTCCCAAAAGGATTCAAAGCAAAATACTGTGGAGCCACATAGTAATGTATCTGTTCTTGCAGAATGTTGATGATTATTCTAAAATAATTTCCATGGAACCCTTGGGGGTGTTGACTGCCAGGCATAATCCTCATGATGCCTGGCAGTTGTTCAGTAATGTGATATTGAAGCCCCGACATCCAGGATTTCCTGAGGCCGATAATGGGCAGTTCTCCACATATCCCTTCCTGCAGCTCCAAAAAATGTGGAGCTTCCAGTAGTTCCGAGCAGTAACTGAAAGCTCAGTCAGTCGCCATGCAGAGGTTGAACTGCATGTAAGGAAAAGATGCCTAAGGATGCTGGATCTCCACATGTTAGGGTTGGCCACATAAGAGGAGGGGCTCTCAGCAAACCAGTGTCTTTGTCTTTGGAGTCTGAATCCCCAGGCATTAGAGAAATACAAAACCTGTAGTTTCCAAGGATTCATACAGGTACCCTTCATTTGTGAGGACAAATTAGGGGAAATACTTTTCACATACATAAAGACTAGGTTCTAGACTCATAACCAACCCTCAAACATTCAAGGGCAGAATAGCCTGCTATAGAAGATTCCAGCTCCCTGTGCCTCTGCATTTTTTTGTTTTCTTGACTGCTTTATAGTTCTTTCAGAAGTGAGTAGCAGAAAAGGAAGAGGAAAGATTTAAACTAACAGCTGAAATAAGTTTCAAAGCATTTTTTTCTTTTTGTCTTACCTACTTCCACTTTTTTTTTTTTTTTTTTTTTTTTTTTTTTTTTTTTTGAGACAGAGTCTCACTCTGTCACCCAGACTGGAGACTGGAGTGCAGTAGTGCAATCTTGGCTCACTGCACTCTCCACCTCCCAGCCTCCCAGGCTCAAGCGATTCTTCTGCCTCAGCCTCCCAAGTAGCTGGGATTACAGGTGCACGCCACTACCACCCAGCTAATTTTTGTATTTTTAGTAGAGATGGGGTTTCCCCATGTTGGCCAGGCTGGTCTCGAACTCCTGACCTCAAATGACCCACCCGCCTTGGCCTCCCAAAGTGCTGAGATTACAGGCGTGAGCCACCACGCCTGGCCTCTACTTGCATTTTCATGTTCTCTCTGCCACCGATATTATTATTAGCAATAATAATGGCATTATATATGAAGCACTCACTACGTGCCAAGCACTGAGCTGATCCATTTCATGTAATGCACACGATTTCACTAACCCTCTCAGGTAGGTCCTGCCCATCTTACAGATAAGAAAACTAAGGTCCAGCAAGTCTAGGAAACTTGCCCAAGCCACACAGCTGGCCAGAGAGCTAAGATTCATGACCTCTAGGCCATGCTCAGTCCTGAGAGCCTCAGAAGAAATTCCTGGGCGTTCCTTTTTGACTCCTAGGTCCTACTTGTGCTTTTGTTAGCCAGAAAACATCAATCTGCTTGCTACACTTCTCACCAACCTGTTCCGAGGGCTTTGGCTGGCAAAGGGGTATGTTTGCTCCGCTGCCCCGTGCGGGAGCTGCTTGGGCGGGGAGAGGTGCATATGCCACATCACAGTTGTGATTTTGCTTGTGCAGCGTGTGGGGAGACCCTGCAGGACACAACGGGAAACTTTTCTGCACCTGGTTTCCCAAATGGGTACCCATCTTACTCCCACTGCGTCTGGAGGATCTCGGTCACCCCAGGGGAAAAGGTAGGTGGGAAGCCCCCTTGGCAAATGGGACGGCACTCCTTGAGTTGGGTGAGGTGGGAGGAGTTCTTATTGTTAATAGTAAAAATAACAGCTGTTCGGTTATAAGCACCCACTGTATGCCAGGCATGGTGCTGTTTGCTGTACGTTCATTATTTCTGGACTTCTCAACCAGTCTCACCCACACAAATGAAGGCTGGCATGTACTAAATATCTGCTGAGTTATAAATCAAGCTCACAGTTCCTTCCAACCTTAACAAATACACTATTATAATATCCTAGAATTTAGAATTCTGTGACACCTCGGATTGCTGCTCTGGAAGATGGTGACACGGGGAGCCAGCCCACAGCTGGCTATTCTTCCCCCCAGCCTCCGTCTCAGCATTTGGGGCTTAAAGAACATCCCTGTTGACACCCCAGCCCACTTCCCTAAGCATCTTACACTCCTCTTTTGCAAACAGCCACTCCTTGGCTGCCCCTCCAGCGGGATGGACTGGCCAGGCATGCAGTCTATACTCAAGAAGATGGATCCAGGGCAGAGGCCCTTGCATGTCCTGGCAATGGGCTCAGAGCTGTGTGGACAGGGAATTCCTGGATTCCTGGAGTGTGGCGTAGGACCTGGGCAAGCTCTGGGTGGACACATCCCTTTAGTCTTGAAGATTCCGTGACCCCCTAGAGCTGAGCCCAGGGCAAGGATCTCTTTCACTCTGGTCCAAGGGTGGTATGTTTTCAACCCTACTGCAGGGCACGTACTGTTATATCCATTATCTGGATAAGGAATTTGAGGCTTGAACATTAAGGAAAGTGCCAAAAGTCAAGGTAAGATATAGAACTAGAAACTGAGAACTGAGGTTTTGCTCTCCAAAGCTTATCTTTTTGCTACATGTCTCTACAAATCTGAGTGTTCTTCAAGTTGCCTCAGACTAGATGCAACTATCTTAGAGAAACCCTGTTCCCTAGGTCTAGGTTAGGGGATACCCCCAGTGTCCCCAGAGCTCTCTATAATTATACCTGTTATAGCATGTCTCACGGTATAGTCACTACTGGTTTATTTGACCCCCTTCTAAATCTTAAGCTCATTAAGGTTGGAGATCATTCAGCCCCAGGGCCCCAGCACTCCACACAGTCTGTGGCACAGAATGGTCACCTGACAAGTATTTGTTGAATGGATATGTGGATGGATGAGGGGCTGAGTGAAAAACCTGCAGCTAGGGGTGGCAGTGGGGTGTGATGGAATTTTTCAGGCACCTGTAGCCAACCTTCAGGTATTTCTAATTTATAACTTTTTAAAATGTCCATCTAAATGTCAAGTTAAGCATAGTGTGCTAACTAGAGACAAATGACTAGGAACCATTGTGAGCATTTTCTGTAGACTGGATACTATCCTTAGCATATCATGTGGATCATCTAATTTAGTCCTCTCATCAACTTTGTGAAATAGGTGCTGTTGCCATACTTATTTACAGGTAAGGAATTGGACTTGCCCAAGGCTTCTAAGTTTGTTGCAGAGTTGGGATTTGAACCCAGGCAATTGGACTCTGACAGCCTGAATGCTTGACTGTCATCTTATATTATTACACAAAGGGGCCAGGCTAGTAGATAGACATTTTAACGTGCATTTATATACATACATGAATGCACATGTGTGGGCACACATGTATACATCCTTCCTTTGGCTCTAAGCATTTAAGACATTAAGTATGGCTGTCATCTTGTATCTGAGATCCCAGACCTGTCTGCCTTGGGTAGATGTGAAATCCATGTGCCTGCTGGAGGCTAACAGGAGGGAGGCAGAAAGGGGGAAGAGGAAGAGGTCTGGTAATTTCTAAATTATTGAATTGCTCTGCACAGCAGAGGGTGTGTGATATGTTTGAACTGTGTAAACTTCATCAAGCCTTAATTATTAGTGCTAACTGGGGACAGAGAGAATATACATCATTGAAATTTCTGCACCAATTATTTCCATTTCTGCTTCACCCAGCTTTCCCCAGAGCTGCAAGTAATTAGCAAACTTGATTGATTCGAGTATCACCTCTTGTTCACCACCTCTTTCCCCTATGGTCTTTATGGTTCACTAATGTACTTAAAATAATTAGCCTGAATAATTATCCCATTCATTCAGATCATGAATGTGTTACCAAGGAAGTTGTACTAACATTTCCTTTCTGTAATTTTAAAAAAGCAAAGGCTAAAGAATTATTGTGCAACCAGCTTACAGGTGTTACTAAGCTCTACCACCTGAATATGAGCACGGTGTGGGATAGGACAGAAATCTAAGGCACACCCCTGTCTTAAGACTGTTTATTTTGGGTCCCCCTCCCCCCACTCCCAGGGAATCTGATTTAATGGAAGGAAGGGTGTTTGCTTGGTATGAGCTTTTTCAAAGCTTCAAAGTTGATTTTAATGTGCAAGTAGGGTCGAAAAACACAGTCTAGTTTGAAAGAGGAGTGACAGCGTGCGCACACACATGCACACACACGCACACACGTGTGCGCACACACATGCATGCACATGCTCACACATGCATGCACCCACGCGTGCGCGCACACACACTCAATGACAGAAGGTGAGCTGACCTGTTTTTTCCTGGCACTGACTTCGTTTCCTAGGAGATCGCAGGGCTTTGTGGAAGATGTGATTTGTCCTGAGACGAAACATTGGGTGGGATGGGCCCAAGGGAAGGGATGGGCACTCAACACTAATCAAGATGGGCAGCTTGCGAGGTGTGGTTAGTGTTAGTTGTGGTATGCTAAGTGTACACTCAATGTGGACTACCTGGTATTTTAAGTTGCTATTTATCGAGTGCCTATGGTGTGCCAGGCATAGCAATATACACTCTATATATGGTTTCTCGCACAGTCCCCTCAATAGCACAGTGATGTGTGTATTGTGTTACAGATGAGGAAACTAGAGGGCAAGTATTTCCCCAAGACTCCAGAGCTAGTAGATGGAGCTGAGAAGCAAATCCAGATCTAGGTAGATCTAAAGACACCGGCTCTAGAATCATTATAAGACAGAGGGTGGGGCGTTCCAAAGAGGCAAAGATCAATCGTGTTCATCAGGGCAATCAGACACAGGCTCGAGGAGGGGGACACTTGAGCAGGCCTGGGAAGGGTTTCTCTGACATGGGACTGTCAGGGAACACTGGGAAACAGGTTGCACAGGACAGGCTCTGGGGGTGTGGAAAGTAAGCAGAATTTAATTCATGAGATGGGGGCACAGAGAGCCACTGAGGTTTCCTGAGGGGTTTGGTCAACATGATATATGGGTGGAAGATTGGGAGGGGTCTGGTAAACATGAGATATGAGTGGAATATTGATCTAGAAGCCCCAGTGTGTAGAAAAAATGGGGCCACAGCAGGGAGGAGTCCAGGAATCGTGTGGGAGCAATCCAGGAGGGGGTGAGGCAGGAGGAGCGAGATGGGGTTAGAGGGGAGGGATGCGGATATCTTAAAAAGAGCTGCAGCATGGATGCTGAACAGATATGGGGGATCAACAGTAAGGATGAAGGAAAGATAATACCAAAGCTTGGCTCCTTGACCATCGGGGCAATGGCATCTCCTACAGTGGAGGAGGCTGGAAAGGAAATGCTTTGTTTGGAGGTGCTCTCACCTAGTAGGGAGCGGGAAGGGCAGAGGAGCAAGAGCAGTGGGGAGAAGATAGGCCAGTGTGGTGAAAACCAGAAAGGATAAGCTCTGGGCAGAGGGGTCATGGGGCACAAGGCCAAATAACAGTCCTTTAGATTTGGTGGGGAGGGAATGGGAACCTTTGAGGAAGCCTTCCAGCCTAAGGGTTTACTTAGAGCTAGAGGGCCCCTGGGGCTGTTTGAATATAAAGAAGTGGCTAGTGGAGGGGCAGTGAGTGGAGATGCTGGAGAGAGAGGAACTGCTGAGAGCAAAGTCCTCCGGGGTTGGAAAACGAATAGAGTCAGGGGTGCAGGGGCTGGGTCAGGGCTGGAGATGAGGAAGAGTGGAGACGTGATGGAGCAGGTGTGTGGGGCATGAGGAAAGGTGAGCCTGGGCCAGACAAGCCACTGCACCTCAGGACAGTGGGAGGAGCCACAGGCACCTGGTTTAGTGGAACTTGCGTGGGGGTGAAAGGCCAGGGGAAATCTGAACTCTGCTCTGGGCCATCTGCCAGGGGAGCCCCGAGCTGGTGGGCTGCAGGGGGACCAGAGCCAGTTCACAGGTACAGCACCTGTGTGCTGAGGCCCAGCCCCTGGGACCACCCAGCCCTCCCCTTCCCCCTACTAAGTAGTCACCTATTTGGCCATGGGAGCATCCACTACCTGACCTCAGGGATGTCCAGACAGGGCTGCCAAGATGCTCCTCATGACAATCCCTCTCTTTTCAGTGTTTATACCATAGTGTTCTCATTGGCTTGGCCCATCTGCCTTTCCCCCCTTCTCTGGGCTCCCCAAGGGCAAAGGACCCTGTCTTACTGATCTTTCTATCTCAATTGGCCAGCACAGGCTGACACTCAGAAGGTGGTCAACAAACAATGGTGGAGTGAATGAAAGAATGGACTAACTGTAGGAAGGTCATTAGACACACCACACCTCAGGAGAGTGAGGTCATGGCTGAGGGGAGGTTGATCGCAGAGATGTTCAGATGCACTCGGGCTAACCCCAGACCCTTTGGAATGATTGATGATGTTATAAGATCTTCTTGTATCTCTGAACTTCGCTGACCCCTTACCTCCTTCCAAATCCTCCGTCTCCATGCGCCCTGGCCAGTCTTTTTAATGCATCTCGCTTTCTGTAAACCACCTAGTGACTTCAAAAGCTCAAGTGATTCCCCAGACAGAACCGAAGGACCCATCTCCTTCTGTTTACTCCCCATCCTGCTTAAGGTTTATTATTTAATGTCCTTAGGTTTCCTGTGAGCATGCTTTTGAGACAACACTCCTACCGTGGTCTGAAAGTTCTGCATGCTAAAGGGTAACGTGAGAACACCAGTATGCAAGATATATCTTCCCAAACTCCTCAGGCTTTGCTGCCAAAACTCACTTTATGGTAATTCTTTACAGATCGTATTAAACTTCACATCCATGGATTTGTTTAAAAGCCGACTGTGCTGGTATGATTACGTGGAGGTCCGGGATGGTTACTGGAGAAAAGCCCCCCTTTTGGGTAAGTTGACTTTAGACACCGTTAAGAGAGGAGTGATGGGATGTTCCCCGGGATGCTGTTAATGTCTGGAAGGTCCACCTTGACAGCGGTCACAGGAAACTCTCAAGGGCCTCTGTCATTGTAAAACTCTGAGCACTCCATTTGGCCACACATGTTAAAAGCTTTTAAAACTGCGAATACCCTTTGACCCAGCAATTCCACTTTTTGGAATTCATCCTAGGGAACTAATTAAGGAAGTGTGCAAAGCTCTAGCTACAGGGATGTTCACTGAAGCAGGAAAAATTGCAAGCAATTTAAATGTTCAACAGTAGGGTTTGGCTGAATAAATTATGATCCATCTTTTTAATGGAAAACTTCCCAGCCATTAAAAATGAAGTTGTAGTTGACTACTGATATGGAAAGGTGTTCATGGTACACTGTTACACACAAAAAAGTATGTGACAAAAATAGAATAAGCAGTAGGATTCCATTTTGATTAAAAAATACATTTATGCATTTTATATATATATATATAATGCAGGCATTGCAAATGTAGATGGCTTCAAGGATAACATGTAAATGAAGGAGATGGGATTTGTGTAATAAAATAAGGAGTGGTGGGGGGAGTGTGGTGAACTGAACACCAAATATCGTGTCCAAAATTATTCAAACCAAAATGACTTAAAACATGTGTACAGGCTGAATTAACTAGAAGACACCACTTTGTGATCTGCAATATAAATCTCAAGTAAAATTATAAATATACATAAATAACACACTGGTTATTTCAGGGTGATAGAGTATTTTTTAAATGTATTCTGTTGTTCTTGGTTTAGCTATATTTTCCAGTTTTTCTATGATGAGCGTGTATTGTTTTGGTGAGATGAACAGGGCATGAACTCACCCATGGAAAGTTAGCTTAGAGCTTTGAGTGAGACACAGTGGGCAGGTGGTGTAACAAGAAAGCTTAGTTCACCCCAGAGATGAAGGGGTGGCCTGCCCCTCCACACCTGTGGGTATTTCTAGTCAGGTGGGATGAGAGACTGAGAAAAGAAATAAGACACAGAGACAAAGTATAGAGAAACAACAGTGGGCCCAGGGGACCGGCACTCAGCACACCAAGGACCTGCATCGGCACCGGTCTCTGAGTTCACTCAGTTTTTATTGATTATTATTTTCATTATTTCAGCAAAAAGGAATGTAGTAGGAGAGCAGGGTGATAATAAGGAGAAGGTCAGCAACAAACATGTGAGCAAAAGAATCTATGTCATAATTAAGTTCAAGGGAAGGTACTATGCCTGGATGTGCACGTAGGCCAGATTTATGTTTCTCTCCACCCAAATATCTCAGTGGAGTAAAGAATAACAAGGCAGCATTGCTGCAAACATATCTTGCCTCCCACCACAGGGCAGTTTTTCTCCTATCTCAGAATTGAACAAATGTACAATCGGGTTTTATACCGAGACATTCAGTTCCCAGGGGCAGGCAGGGGACAGTGGTCTTCCTCTATCTCAACTGCAAGAGGCTTTCCTCTTTTACTAATCCACCTCAGCACAGACCCTTTACGGGTGTCGGGCTGGGGGACGGTCAGGTCTTTCTCATCCCACGAGGCCATATTTCAGACTATCACATGGGGAGACAATACCCCGCTTTCAAGGGCAGAGGTGCACTGTGCCCTTGGTTTATTGAGACTAGAGAATGGCGATGACTTTTACCAAGTATACTGCTTGTAAACATTTTGTTAACAAGGCATGTCCTGCGCAGCCCTAGATCCCTTAAACCTCGATTTCATACAACACATGTTTTTGTGAGCTCCAGGTTGGGTCAAAGTAGCTGGGGCAAAGTGTCTGGGGCAAAGCTACAAATTAACAACATCTCAGCAAAGCAATTGTTTAAAGTACAGGTCTTTTCCAAAATGGAGTCTCTTATGTCTTCCCTTTCTACATAGACACAGTAACAGTCTGATCTCTCTTTCTTTTCCCTACATCTCTCGTGGATGACAGGGGAGGTTAGCCTTGCCTAGAGGACCAGTGGCTGCAGTGTCTCGGGAGTAGACACTAGGACTCATTCAGCCCAGGAATGGCAGCCGTGGTGGAGCTGGTGAGACAGGCAGAAGTGACCAGGAGCCAGATGGGAGGGTCTCAGCTGAGAGTGTATTGTCCTCACTCGTAGAGGGGTCTGTAGGGTGGGCTCTGGCTTGGACAAGTCTAAGCGCTCAGTGAGGACTTTGTCCTTGGCACATATTCATGTGAGCAGAAAGCCCAACTTGTTATGCTGCAACTGACGAGCCTGAGAGTGAGCTGGTATCGGGTGGTTGGCCAAGATGGAGATAGGAAAGAAGGGAGAGGGCTAAACTGTGGGGTGTCACTGCTAGACCGAGCCCTGACTTCATGCCAGATTCTGGGGAGCCAAGGCTGAGGTAGGTCAGAAGAGGCTGGACAGAGGGGTTGGCTGGACTCAAGGTAGCCTGGCAGACATTAATCTTTCGTATGACTGAGGGGTCCCAGGCTGCCGGCATTAGAAGAAGTCAGTCAGGTAGTCAGCTGTCCAGGTAGACAAGCGAAGAAAGTGATCCCCAGGCCAAGTACGGACAGGAGCACGTCTACTGCAGGACCAGTGGAGTCCGCCCCACAGTGGCAGGGCGGAGGATGCCTGCCTGGATTTCTGTTTCCTGCCTACTATGAGCAGGCATGGCGCTCTCTAGCAGCCAGAAGGAGGGTCTGGCTTTACAGGTAGCACTGTTTGCTTGTGGCAAAAGACAGAGGGCTGGATTCCCAGTAGCAGAGGTTCCCAAACCTGGCTGGACATCAGAACCTCCTGGGAAGATTTCTATGAATACAGATTCCTGGGAGACCGTGAATTGGAATCCCCACAAATTGGGTCAGAGAATGATCCTATTTACCTTTATATAAAAGGGCATGTGCCCAAATCTAGTACCACAAATGTAGAAAGGACCACAAATATGCCCATCTAACTGCTGAAGGTGATTACCTCTGAGGAAGGAAGCGCGGAGGTGGTGGGCAGCTTCAAATTTTGTTTTGTATACTTCTCCATTGTTTGAATCTTTTGTAAGAACACATTCAGGTATCATTCTATAATGAAATAATAAAAAGAGCTATGTGGGAGGAGTTTCGTGAGAACATCGGATCACAGACCCTGCAACCTGGCAGAGACATTACAGTCACTTAATCCCACACTTTTATGAGAAAACCAAGCTCCCCAAGTGTGGACTAACTCAAAGTCCACACAGTTAGTGGCTGAGATCAGACCAGAATTCTGATGTCCTGGTGAAGGGGAGAGGTGACTGCTGAACCCAAGGGGTGCCAGATAAAATACATTATTTGTTGTTTATCCGAAATTCAAATGTACTGGGCTTCCTTGAGTTTTGTTTGCTAAATCTGGCAACTCTCTACCCCCACCTCCCAGGAATGGGATAGATTTAAAGGCTTAAGAGGAGGAAGCTGTCTGTTACTGAAGTTCCCCAGAGAGGGCCAAGGCACGTTCCTGAGAATGGGCACAGGCAGAGAGATTTCCAGGAGTTCCTTTTTCTTGAATTTGAAACAAGATTTTCTCATTATAGATCCTGGTATTTGTGGCTACATTTCATTAATGAATTGGGACTTTTGCCATTTGTTGGTGGTGGTGATGGTTTTTGTTTTGTTTTGTTTTTTGTTTTGAGGTTTTTTTTTTTTGGCTCATATTTTACCCACTTTAACTGTGTGTGTGCGTGTGTGTGTGTGTGTGTGTGTAGAGTGCCAGCGCCTGTAACCGTCATTCTTCATTTGCAGTTCTCCTTTGCCAACTATTTGGCCTGCTCTGATGTTTCCAAATGCAGTTGTTAGTGAACTTTTGTGTTTGGAACAAGTGCATTGTGTCGGCCGAGCTGGTCCCTGGGAGGGGTCAGTGCCATGAAATCTGCTGGGAGGAGGCAGGTCAATGCCCCTTTGGCAGGAGGGAGAGCGGATTAGGGTGGATTGTGAAAGTACGCATCTTGCTCTGAAAACTGTGCATCGCATTTTTTCCCAGGGCAGTGTGTGAAAATCCAGGCATAATGGACGCATAACTTTTTATGAATGAACCCTTTATGACTCCCCATGGAGCCCACTTGTAGTGTCCTCATCTGCATTTCCTCTTCTTGATATCCTTATTAAACTCCTCCTCTAAATCCAGGAACCGGATTTCAGTGCAGGAATCTGACACCTTTTCTCTAGTCCAGTTTCTCTCCAGCCTGCTTAGTCTCCTTGGAAGGAGGCTATTTTTCGACACCCAGGTTTTCACCTAGTGATTAAAGGGAAAAGTCAATTGAGAACATTTCATGGCTGGTTAAAGATATCAAATTGGTTTGTCAGTTTTGGGGGTCACTTATGATATTGCACCTAAAGAGGGGAGGAAGTTGGCTGCAGAGAGAGCTCATCCAGTGATCTTAAATTCTGTCCTGTAAATTGGATTCCCTCCCTTATTTCTGTTAGAGGAATTACTCTAACAATGCACTTTTGTATGCAGAACTGTCTTTGGGCATTCTGTATCACCACAATGCACACAAAAGCCCTTTTTCCCTCTTTCCCTGAAATAGGGAGAGGGAAGTTCAGAAAGGCCAGGCTGGCCGATCAGTGTCGTGTGGCCCGGCTACTCAGGCTCCCTAGCCAGGGGCAGCCTCCCAAATGAGCAGAAATGATGCAGTGAGTCAAACAGCCAAGACTGGCATTTCCACAGAATTGCTTTATGGTTTGAGGCTTTGATCTTCATTCCTACTTGTCTGTTTCCAAACTGGGAAATGGGGATGACATCTACATTACTAGAGAGTAGATTTGATGTCTATCTATCCAAAATTGTACAATGTTCAGAACTGTGCCTCAGTCAGTGAAGGTTTTGTTTTTTTTTTTTTTTTTTTTTTTGATGGTAGTAGTGGTGATGATGAAGAAAGTGATACTGATGATGAAGGTCTCAGACTGCTCTGGTTCAAATCCTGCTCTTACTTACAGCTTTGAGAGTTAAATTCTCTGACTCTCAGTTTTCTCGTCTGTGAAGTGGGATTAATAATAGTACCTAATTCAGAGAGTATTGGGATGAAATGAGATAATCCATGTAAAGTGCTTAGGACAGTGTCTGGCATAGACATAGTCAATAAAAAAGGGGCTTTTATTAGAACCATTATGGTGAAGATGAGAACACTGAGACATCAGTTAAGGGACAAAGTAGAGGATTCTAGTTAAGAGTGACAAAGTGATTTGGGGAGAGTGCTTAGGAATAATTTGTAATTTGTTCTACGAAGTCTAGTTTTGCCAAGGCAGTAAAATATACCTCAGGCTGCAATTCCTGCCTCCTGCCGAGTACTCAGCAGAGACAGGCTGTCTAATGGCCCTTGGGTGGTGCGTGGTTCATCTCATCTGCTTAGGTCCTTAGGAGACGAGGCAGTGAAAGTCTCCCTCTCTTTTGGAAACAAGCCTCAGTGGCTGTGACAGCTGGGTTTTAAAAGGAGAAACTTGGATTTGAAACTTGGGCTAGGCTAAGAAGGAATTCCTTTTGTGAACCGGCACTGTCTAATTGCTCCGTGTCCTCATTGGTAAGCAGTACTTCCCCAGGCTTGCCTGTCATTTTCCAAAAATCACTTGACACTAATTGGCCGTGCCAGAGAAACCATTACTGAAAATTTAAAGGCTTCTGGTGGATTTTTTCTTGCCAAATTCTTGGCAGGAGTTTCATCTCATCTCACTTAATATTAATCTCCCCAATTCCAAAAGGCTACAGGTGGTCAGAATTGGAAGGAAGCAGAGGAGATTAACAGCCTTTACCCCCATGTTTCCCCAAACCATGTACAACACAGCTGGCCCTTAGGAGATGCCTACAGTGGCCTTTACTCCTCCCCTAACCTCACCTGCTCATAGCCTCACGTGGTTTGTCCACTGCCTAACATAGCACTGGCAGTAAGAGTACCCGTGACATATCTGTGAATTGGACTTTAAAAAAATATTCAGATATAATTTCTGGACCATACAATTCACCATTTAAAGTATACCAGTCAATGGTTTTTAGCATGCTCAGAGTTGTGTCACCACAATCAATTTTAGAATATTTTCATCACAGCCAGGCGCGGTGGCTCATGCCTGTAAACCCAGCACTTTGGGAAGCTGAGGCGGGCAGATCATGAGGTCAGGAGATTGAGACCATCCTGGCTAACACGGTGAAACCCCATCTCTACTAAAAATATAAAAAATTAGCTGGGCATGGTGGCACGTGCCTGTAGTCCCAGCTACTTGGGAGGGTGAGGCAGGAGAATCCCTTGAACCTGGGAGGCAGAGGCTGCAGTGAGCTGAGATCACGCCATTGTGTTCCAGCCTGGGTGACAGAGCAAGACTCTGTCTCAAAAAAAAAAAAAAAAAAAAAGAATATTTTCATCACTCCAAAAGAAGACCCATATTCATTAGCAGCCACTTCCCATTCCCCATTGCCCCCCAAAGCTAAATACATTCTCCAAGTGACTCATGCAATAGGTGCTTGGTAGAACCATGGTCTTCCAGTCCAAATAGACCGTGGCTGGCCTGTGTTCTGAACCATTCAGTAAAGATGAACCCATCTCCCACCTCGCCCTGGGCTGCCATCCTGACGTGGCAGTAGGGATTAGATGGCCAAGAATGACCAGGTACTGGGAAGACCAGGCCTCTGTGGAGGCTCCAGATTTCAGACCATGCACCCAAGTGTCTAAGAAAATACAAATGTATTAATTTTTTTTCTCGATAACAAAAGTTTGTCTATGATGATCCCCCTTTCCATCAGGTAGTAGGGACTTGATTTTGGTCAATTTGTGTTTTCAGTTTTGGTCAATTTGTATGTCCTGGTTGGGGGCATAGTTTATGCCAAGGCATGGTGGTGGCGGGGGGCATCTATCCTGCCACCCTGACTGGCATTGCTGGGATGTTCTCATCCCTAACCAATGAGTCCTCTATCCAGATACAGGCTACTGGGCTTCCTCCTTTTATCAACCCTAGGCCAGTTCAGAATGGTGCAGGTCTACATTCCCCTAGAAGCTTGGGAGACATTCTATGGCTCCCCTAATCCTCTCAGCTGTGGGAAAGTCACTTCCATCCCCCTCTTGGGCCTGGAATCATGTTGCTGCCATCCTGCCACACTTTGCCTGAAGAGCTCTGCATGCCTGTCTCAGGGCCAAATGTCTGGACAATCACATAGACACTTCTATGCTGACCTTGGCGGGTGGGCACAACAGGGGAATCCAGGGTCTTGCTGCCACTCTGGACTCTGCCCAAGGACTGAGGACACAGTTTTCTGCTTCTCTTAGATTCTTAAACCTACCTGGGATCTCTTTCTCAAGGTGAGATGGGGAATGGGTCCTTTTAGGGGCTCCCTGCTGCTCTCCCGCTAGTCCTGTCACTCCTCCATCCTAGGAACCCTCCTACGGCTACCAGGATGGGGAAAATATGGTGCATCCTTCCAAATCTTTGCTATTGCAACTAGGCTTGTGAAATGTAAACGCCAAGATGGTTTTATTTCTTTGCTGTGTTTTCCCTGGCATCCCTTCCCAAGTCAAGGAAAGCAGATGTCTAATGCCCCCAAAAGGGAAGGGTATACATGCAACAGGAAACACCAGGAAAGGAAATCTGCTCTATTCTCTCACCATTCTTCCCCTGCCTCACCTTCAGAGCCTCAGCAACACCCCTCGGCAGGGGAGAGGCTGCCTGGGCTCTTCTCTGGATACTTTGATGGGAATTTGGAATTCTCCTGAAGTCAGCCTGAAAAAGAATTAAGTCACACATTATTGTGTGACTCTTCCAATCCCATCTTTTGATCCTGTGTGTGCTACAGGATAAGTTGTCCCAGCCAGGGTTATTGCTCACTTCAAACCACGTGTGAAGAACCTCAGCTTCCTCCTAGCCTGAAGCCAGTGCCTTCTTGCTGTCCCCAGGGCTCCTAACTGCTTCTTTTTCCACTTTCCAGGCAGGTTTTGTGGCGATAAGATCCCGGAGCCCCTCGTCTCCACGGACAGCCGGCTCTGGGTGGAGTTCCGCAGCAGCAGCAACATCTTGGGCAAGGGCTTCTTTGCAGCGTACGAAGGTTTGTGCGAGGTGAAAGCAGCTGCTCGG
Organism: Homo sapiens; assembly: GCF_000001405.40. Taxonomy (NCBI): domain Eukaryota; kingdom Metazoa; phylum Chordata; class Mammalia; order Primates; family Hominidae; genus Homo; species Homo sapiens. The sequence continues at coordinate 96,397,156 of NC_000010.11, read as the reverse complement.
TGGCCCCTCATAAGCTCTGTCCTTCCCAGGCAGCCCACTGTCCCTCTCCCAGCCCAGACACTCCAGGCCAGAGCCACAGGGGTGGGGGCAGCCACCACAGGGGGCAAGCTGAGGATTCCACAGCCCCTCCTGCAACATTCTGGAAGCAGAGGCCAGCTGTGCCCACTTCAGAAGTAGTGCCATCCTTCTGACGCCATCCCACTCAACCCTCATTCCAGGCCAGCTGAGGAGTCGGCTTCCCCCATACAGGACGGTATTGGGGGGATCTAGAACCCTGTGGAAATGATAGCAGCCTCTGAATTGCTGTGTGAGCCTAAGCAAAGAATCTGACCTCTCTAGGCCTCTGTTTGTTTCCTTTGTGAAAAGAAGACTTTGGGCAACATCAAGGAATTTCCAACTGCGTTTCTTAGAAGGGCCTCTGAGGCTACCCTGGTGGCTGAGTAGAGGGAACCAATAGGTCTGGGCTCTAGGCAGCTGCCACCAGGTGATGGTGCTTCTATTTCTTCTATGTCTTGAGCTTCTCTGGCTCATTCCCCACCCCACCGTACCCTCTACCAAAAAAAAAAAAAAAAAAAGAAAGGGGAAAACTACCAGAAAATTACCAAGGGTCCTTTGGCCTTACATTACCAAGGGTCCTTCGGCCTTAAATTATTACAATTTTAGAGAGGCCAAAGTTTTGTCTTTGTAAAATAAGTAATGTGCATGTGTGCGCATGTGTGCACGTGTGCGCGCACGGGTCCTTTCCTACCAGCGGTCCTGTACTCTCTACCTTGAATCACCTGGGGAACTTCACGGCTACGCAGCGCTCCCCAACACCCACTGGAATCAGAACCTCTGGGGAGTGTGGCCCCAGCTTCCACAGTTTGCAAACTCCCTCAGGCGATTTTGATGCACAGCGAAGTTAGAGAACCACTGCTTTATGTGGTTTTTTCTTTATATGAAAAAAATTCAGAGTTAAAGACAAATGCAATCGTGCCTTTCTGGAGGCGCGGTGTTTGTGGGCTGGAGATGAAAATGTTGGTGAGCGGAGCCACCTAGTGGTGGCAAGCGCTGTTCCCCCCGCCTCCCCAACCTTCCTTCCTAAGTAAGATCTGACCAGGGCCCCCGTCTTCCTCTCCTGATGTCTCTTTCTAAAGCTACCTGCGGGGGAGACATGAACAAAGATGCCGGTCAGATTCAATCTCCCAACTATCCGGATGACTACAGACCTTCCAAGGAATGTGTCTGGAGGATTACGGTTTCAGAGGGGTTTCACGTGGGACTTACCTTCCAAGCTTTTGAGGTGAGTGCTGCTCAGACCGGCTTCCCAAGGAAACGGCAACTTTTGCTAGACATCCTCCACTCTGTAAAGATGGGTTTTCATTTTTGGCTAAAAACAGGAACCTAAGAGGCTATTCTCAAGCCCATAGTGAATTGTGCCCGGACATCTGACATCAACATCTATGCAGGCTTTGAAATGGGGTTTGACACCTTTCTGAGGGCAGTAAGAGAGGTTGAGAATAATAATCAAAGTGAAAATTCAGGATGGGATCCAGGGAAGTTTGGTAGAATTGTTCTTCTCTATTTATCCTCTTAGACTCTTCTCAGTTTGATTCACCCTTGACTTCTGCAAGTAAGGAGTGAACTAGGAAGCAGCATGGAGAGACCTGGGACACACTTGGGTCCTTTGGCCTCTTGGTTAGATTTTGAGAGTGATATTTGGGTTCTCTTCTTAAATCAAAAACCTTAAAGCAGAACCATCTGCCATCCACCTTGCCTCTGTTTCTTCCTTTAGATTGAAAGGCACGACAGCTGTGCATATGACTACCTGGAAGTCCGGGATGGCCCCACGGAAGAGAGTGCCCTGATCGGCCACTTTTGTGGCTATGAGAAGCCGGAGGATGTGAAATCGAGCTCCAACAGACTGTGGATGAAGTTTGTGTCCGATGGCTCTATCAATAAAGCGGGCTTTGCAGCCAATTTTTTCAAGGGTATGAATTAGCAGTTTGTTTCCACTTTTAGGCACAAGAAGAAATATTGCTCCCCCTGGCCTAAGACACACAAAACCATATGGAAGCTTACCACCAAACAAGGCTCCCTGCAGAGAAAAGGCAGCGATGCATTTCAGAGCTGGGTGTGAGCCCCCAGCAGAGTTCCCAACTGATCAGGAGCAGGCTCAGCCTTGGCTTCCACACGATAGAAAGTTCTGTACTTGGAAATTAGATCTAATAAGTTTACAAGGGCAAACTACACGGTAGTGAAACTGAGCATGGAATAACAGCAAATATTTGGATAGCAGCTATCATTAATTGATCACCTACTGTGTACCAAGAACTGTGTAAGGTACTTGACTTACATAATGTCATTTAATTCCCCAAATAACCCTGTGAGTTAGATTTGGATCAGGGCTGGGCAGGGCTTCTCAGGATCATGCAGGTAGTTAAGTGGCAGATCGGGGATCTAATTCAGTCGGCCTAATTCCTAAGCTCAAACTCTTTCTACAACATTGCTACTATTCCTTGATGTGGGCCAGAGAGGCAACCCAGGTGTTCAGCTCCTGGAACATCAGTGCCCCTAGACTACATGCTTACCCCCACATGATCGGGGTTGGGAGGAGAATAAGGGGTGGCACTCTGGGAACAAATTTCCGTGTTGCCCTGGGGACCTGCTGCTCTGTAGGGTCCTGATGGAACCAGGCCCAGAATGGCATGGGCAGACCGAGCTTTCCTGGCCCCAGAAGAGCCAGCTTCCAACCCTCCTTTGAACGGGCAGGTCCTCCTTCTCTGCTGTCAGGCCCCTGAAAGCCCTGAAGACCACACCCTAAGAGGGAAGCATGGCTGCTCCCCACTGCATTGGGCCTGGGCGCCCAGGAGCACAGCAGCAGCCCTTGAGTAGAGACATTCAGTCCTCTGCTGCTGTGGCCCCTTAATCAGTGACCCCACTTCCCCAGCCCCCCTACAACTTGTGCTTGCCCAGAGCCTGCTTTCTCCTCTTCCCTCCTCTCCTAGGACTCCTGGCTGAGCCAGCACAGAAATCCCAGTCCCTCCCTTGCTTCCATTCTCCTCTTCTGCCCCATCTTAGACCTTCTCCCAGGTTCTACGTGAACAGCCTGGGTGTCAAAAGAACCCACTTCTGCACTGTCACCCAGAGCAGGCAGCCATTCGTCCTTACTGAAGCTTCAGTTTTCCTCTCTGTAAAATAGGAAGAAGGACATCTGCCCATTGTACCTAAGCAATTGTTGTGAAGCCCCAAAGAAAGGACGGCTGTGGAGGCACTTAAAAGCTGGCAGGTGACAAACAAGGGGTGGGGCTGTTATTTTTTCCTATTTTGAGGTATCGGGGAAGAGCAAAACCCAAACAGCAGCAGAGGAGAATCATGATGGCGCTGAAGGATTGGAGACAAAACTGAGTTGCTTCTTTCTCAAGCCAAAAAAAAAAAGAAAAAAAAGAAAAAAAAAGCCAGGCCATAGCACTTGTATTTTGAAAGCAGGTCAGCTTCTGATTGCACAGGGAAGATATGACAGCCTTAGTTGAGATGCCTGGAAATTCACAGCCCCAATCCCACCCTGGCCCAGCCTGCACATGCCTGGTGTCTCCCAGCCTGGGGTGGCCCCTGTCTGACTTGGCAGCAGTGACACCGGCTGGGTGGCCTCAAGCAAGTTGCATGATTTCTCCAGTTGCACAGCTTCTGTTGCACAAGCTCCAGTCTCTCTACCTGGAGAGACAATGCTGCCAGGTGATTGCAAGGCTGTCATCAGGAGAAAATGGAATAGTGCAAGTCAATACACCGAGTGTAGTGTTTAGTCCCGTTCATTGTCTTTGCTAGGGAAGGAATCTTTGAAGTGGTTATTCTTTCTGGAAAAACCGATGCGACAATTTCTTCTGGCTATTGTGATGGACTGGTTTCCTATTCCTGCTGTAGCAATTTACCACAGGCTTGGTGGCTTAAAACAATGCACACTTATTATCCTACAGTTGTGGAGGTCAGAAGTCTAACATGGGTCTCACTGGGATAAAATCAAGGGGATGGCAGGGCTGCATTCCTTCTTGAGGTTCTAAGGGAGAATCTATTTCTTTGCCTTTTCCAGCTTCTAGGAGCTGCCTGAATTCCTTGGCTCATGGTCCCCTTCCATGGTCAAAGCCAGTAATGGCCAGTGTGTCATTCTCATGCCACATTCTCTCTGCTGCATCACAGACCTCTGCTCCGGTCAGCACATCTCCTCCTTCTGACCCTAACTTCCTTCCACCTCTTTGCCTTACACGGACCTGGTGTTGACATTGAGCCCACCCAGATAATCCAGGAGAATCTCCTCATCTCCAAGATCCTTCATTTAACCACACCTGCAGAGTCCTTCTTTCACCTAATTAAGATCCTTAATTTAACCACACTTGCAGAATCTTACATTAAGGTAACAGATTCACAGATTGTAGAGGCCAAGCTGTAGACAGCTTTGGAAGGCCTTATTCTGCCTACCACATGTCATGAATGATTATGAGGTTGTCATTCTAATTCTGTTTATTCCAGTCCCCTTGGCCTTCTCCTCCCCTGACTTCCACCCCAGGTTCTGTAAGCTGGGTGCTGGGGCTCCATTCCAGGGGGATAACTGGTAACCACTGACCATCCACACCTTACTGCTGGTGCTGCTGGTGATCAGCAATGCACAATTTTGAGAGTACCAGCTAAAGCTGGAGATTAGGCTTGTCAGGTTTAGGAAATTAAAAAAAAAAAAACAGGATGCCTAGTTACATTTGAACTTTAGATACAGAATGATTTTTTTTTAGTATGTGTCCCAAATATCACATACTGTGCTGAGAAGTGTTTGATGGTTTATCTGAAAGTCAAATTTAACTGGACCTCCTGATTTTTTTATGGAAAACTTACTGGAGATGCCAGTCAGGACAATGGAAGGTATTTCTCTGATGCTAAACTGGTTTGTAAGAGACCGAGGAAGTGCCTGGACCTGCTCAAGTAACCATGATAGCTGGCTCCATTTGCTGGTTAGAAGACGCCACCTTCTCCCTCCTCCCCATCTAGCGTGCATTCAACATTCATCAGTCTATGTGTTGGTGCTGGGGCTGGAGACGCCGAGGAAAGCACACAATGATTGTCCTCAAGTGCTCATGGTGGTGAAGGAGATTAGCAGCAAATGCGCGATGACATTGCTGTGTGGGTGTGGACCTTGGTGGAGGCTGTGAGACTCAGTCTGCGACGGGGCCCAGGTTACCCAGTGTCCTACTTGGAGGGCATTTCAATTTGCAAACATCTTTTCAGATGCCTGTCAAAGTGTGGACTAAGGCCCACCCAAAGTAACTTAGTGCACAGACCCAGCTTGACTTTTTTATGGTTAAAACAACTGCAGAGAACAACATTTAGAAAAGAAGAAATATACAACATTGACCTTGACCATGAATCTTAAAGTAGGAATCAGGATTAACAGAAACCTCATCTAGACCTATTAAATCAGGGAAAGGACATCTACTGAATGCTGGCCACGTGCCAGGATCTAGGTTATCTCACTTTTCTTCATTACAATCCCCTGGTAGGAATTATTATTGCCCCCGTTTTCCAGTTGAGGAAGCTGAATTCCTAACATGGCTGGGCTGGAACTAGAACCTGGATCTGTAGGATTCCACAATCCGCTCTGTTTCCACTAAGGAGACCTGAAAGCCACAGGGAAGGAACGTGAAGGGGGTGGAATTTTTCCTTAGTGTTTGTGATTTGATTCTGACACTGGTCACCTTTCTACCTTCCCGATACCACAGAGGTATAGGCAAAAGGGCTCTGGACGTGGCAAGTGGAGTTTGAGGTGCTGGTCCCATGTTCCCTACTAGCTATTCGCTCTCTTGCAGATCAGCTTTCCTTCCTACGACCGGCCCATACCTGCTTTGCTCCTCACTGTGGTCCCAGTGCTTGGCACACAGTAGGCTCAGTAAATACCTAGTGAGCAATGAAAGAATGGATAGATCAATGAATGAATGGGGCTCAGTTTCCCTGCTGGTGGAGTGGGCATCCTGCTGCCTGCTCTGCCTCCCTTGCAAGACTCTCTGGAAGAAGAGTGGGTGAGCGACCACAGCCTCGTGCAACACTGTCCAACAGAAATGGGATGTGAGGCACAACCAGAAGCCACATAGGTGACCTTGAATTTGCTGGCAGCTGCCTTACAAAAAAGGAGAAACCAGTGACATTGATTTCAATGATATTTTTATTTATTGTACAAAATAATATCATTTTAATATGTAATCAATATACACAATATTAGTGAGAGATCTTATGTTTTTCACACTAAGTCTTGGAAATCCAGCATGTGTTTTATACTCATGGCACATCGCCACTTGGACCAACTGCGTTTCAGGTGCTCAGTAGCCACATGTGGCTGGGGGCTGCCGTATCAGACAGCGCAGGTCAGGAGACTGTACCCAGCCAGCTTCCCCAGCCCAGCCTTTTCCCAACAAGGCCATCATTCAGATGCTCTGTGAACACAACGTACCTAGCACGTGTGTCAGAACTTCTCCAGTGAAAGAAGCTGGAAGAGGAGCTCAAAGGCCCAGCAGAAGAGCTGGAGCAAGCCAAAGAAGCTCTTGCCTTGGTGCCAATTGGCAGGTGCTCTGCCCAGGGCCCAGCTGGCGCCTGATCCTGGCCAGGGTGCCAGTTGGCCTCTGTACCTGATTCTGGTGCCAGATGGCAGCCTTCTCAGAGCATACTGGCTGGCAGCAAGCAGAGAACCTTAACAATTCTGGTTACTTTGGGAGAAGGCAGCAGCACTCAAGGGCTGGCAGGGCCATTTTGGTCCTATGCCCCCCACATAAAGAATTAAAGATTTCCCACCTTGATCCCTCCATCCCCCTATCCCAGTGCTGATAGGTCACCATGAAGGGCTTGGTAGGGGGACTGGCTTCCCTCAAGGGATTTCTTCAAAAGCCTAAGAATATGCCCTGCCTTCCCTTTCCTTAACTTTCTCTGAACAATTTTTGGGATCCTGCCTGAGCCGTCTCATCATCTAACTACTTCCTTCTTTCGCTAATTCCACCTGGACCATGAGAAGACTCCAGAGCTCCTGCTATGCTAAGCTGAATGCTGCTTCCAGTCTCTTCTACTGCCACGCTCTCCCAGATTTTTCTGGGAGGCTTGGCCTTGGCCTTGGCCTCTGCAGCCCAGAGCAAGCACGAGCCAGTGGGCTTGGAGCAGGTGCTGCTTTACCACAGTGGGAGGCCCCATGCACCTCTGTGCCATCTAGCCAAGCTGAAGCAGGGCTGTAACTGGCCAAACATCTCACGGCTCTTGCTAGAGAGAGCTCAGGTGTAAAAGCATGCCTTTCATCTACCTCCCAAGGCCGAGCACCTTACCTTCTAGTCTCTGGAGGAATTATATTTTCTTTGCTTTTGCCCTAGGTCCATCCACCGGGCTCTCTCCCTTCACCTGGCTAAGATGGTGCCAAGAGACTTGCTCCTCTGTGCACCTCTTTCTTGCCTGTGTGTCCTGCCTACAGCCACAGCATCTTCTGGTATCAGAGTCTCCTGCAGACCCCAGCCTTGGTCCTTTGTCTATCTGTCTCTCCCAATGGGCTCTTTCCTTGGTTTCCTTCTGCCTCTTCCCTAGGTCCCCCAGCCAGTGTCTTGAGTTCTTCTGCTGTGCTGCCCTCCTGCCCGTCCATCTTCCTCCACTGGCCCATCCTTGAAGCATTTTCCTTCTTTCTGTTCTTGCCTTGTCTCCCTTCCCTCCTCAGGCCTGCACTGCTCCACTCCCACCTGGTCCAGGTATGCCCAGGGAACCTTATCTTTTCACTGCCCCATCATTGTGCCTCTCTACTCACTGGAAATTTGAAAGCAACTCTGCTGCTGTCTATCATGATGGCTTCTGTGTGCCGATGGTCTGTATGCCGGGTACTTCACATGCATCGTTTTCAGTCGTCACAACCCTAAAAGTAAATATTATCATTCTCACTTTAAAGCAGGAGGGAGGCTCAGTGAGGCTAAATCACAAGCAGTCACCCAATTTATTGGAGGAAGATCGGCTGGAGGATCCACCCCAGGTCTGACTCACTTTAAAGCCTGGACTCTTTCCGCTACTTTTTATCAACTATTTTCTTCTTTCTATGCTTTTTAGCAAATGTCTAAGAAAATACTTTCAATTTGGTAAGGTGATAAAAAAAGTAACTGCACACTTGTTACTATTTTAGCATACTTATTACTTACATTTATTTGAGGCGATGGGCAACTTCAGCTCCCTGCCTGGATTGTCTCTCTAAACGCAATCTCCCCTAATAAGCAATTAATTTATATAAGTTTTTATTGAGCCCAAGAGTACATCACCATTAGAGTTACCCAAGTTCACTGTCCCCTATGTGAAATGATGGGATATTTACAAACCCTCCTTTACCGAGTGAAATGCAACCAGGTTGATGAGGAGTCTGTGCATCACAGACAAGGACGACTGGAAGGAAAGGGGTATATTTGAGTTGGAAAAGGGCAGGGTAGAGGGAAGCTGGATGATTGGAGGGTTTGTGTTTTCTGAGGACCAGTGGACTGGAAGTTGTAAGGAGTCAGACTTTTGACCCAATAAATACCTTTGAAAAGTAGTGAGAGTCCTGTCTCTGGGAGTTTTCAAGTAGGGTCTGAAGAGCCATCTCTCCAGAACGTTACTGAAAGGATTCCTGCCTGAGAGGGCATGACTGGGTAACTTTCCAGGTCTTTACCAACTCATAGATGTTCTTAATTTCTTTTAGTTTGTGTGTAAAGAGTTATTTCAAGATTTGGTGAACAACTTTTTTTGTTGTTGTTGAGACAGAGTCTTGCTCCGTTGCCCAGGCTGGAGTGCAGTGGCGCAATCTCAGCTCACTGCAACCTCCACCTCCCAGGTGCAAGCGATTCTCCTGCCTCAGCTTCCCGAGTAGCTGGGATTACAGGCATGCACCACCACTCCCGGCTAATTTTGTATTTTTAGTAGAGACGGGGTTTCACCATGTTGCCCAGGCTGGTCTCAAACTTGTGACCTTGTGATCCACCCGCCTCAGCCTCCCAAAGTGCTGTGATTACAGGCGTGAGCCACCGTGCCTGGCCAACAACTTTATACTTACTGTGTTCCTACCTTCCGTGGTGCTGTGGACCTGAACTCTCCTTCCCGCTTCTCCCCATATCCTTTCTTCTTCCTAGGTTCAACTTTTTTGAAAAAGATGTCTCAGTGTTCAGTTGTCCCTTCACTAGACTCCTTTCTCGCTCTGGTAGGCCACATCCCACATGCTCTCTTTCAGGGCTAGATGTACTATGGCTGGCAACAGATAATCATATTTTTCCTTTTATTTCTAACATGTGTTTTGGTTTTTCTTTTTTTCAGTGGCGCTTGGGTTAATGTGTCTGGGGAGTGTCTCTAATGACTTCCAGGTTCTTCCTCTGAGCAGCACCGATGGCATGCTATGTGCTGTTATTTAGTCGCCCCAAACGCATCACTAGGCCCTTGGTGCTGAATCCCATCCAACGCCCCTGCTAACTCAGCCTCATTATGGCCTCTTCCTGCAGGTTTTCCTGGGAGCATTTGCTAACCTAAGAGCCCGTGTTTTCTGTAACCTTGAATATCTCCCTGTGCATACCTCTCTTAAGAGTATTTCTAAAACTCCTAAATAACAGATTCTGTCTCTAATGTCTAGAGAATACTGACACATCTTCATCTAGCAATGTTTTCTTTGTCTTCACCCTTTATTTAATATCTCTGAGAAGTTGCATATTTATGGGGGCAGGGGAAGTCCTCAATTCCATGGTTTTAAAATGGATGAAGTCTTTGGTATGGAATGTTTTGAGATTTTTTGAAGTCTCAAATGACCGATGACCAAACACCTCAAAGAATTCACTTCTCCAGGCCTGGCCTTCTCTTGGCAGAGCCTACCCCAGCTAACAAGGTGTTCCTGCTCGTGTTGTCAGTGTCCTGCCTTCACTGTAGCTGCTGCCTGGTTTTCAGAGGTGGACATGGCACTCTTTGGGAGGTGGTCACCAGGAGTGGCTCCTGTTTATTAGAGGACACTTGCTGGTGACACTGGGATATGCAAGGGTTGGGAACAGCCAGGAGGCTTCCTGACAATGTAACCGGGGTCACCTTCCTTCCCCACCAGAGGTGGATGAGTGTTCCTGGCCAGATCACGGCGGGTGCGAGCATCGCTGTGTGAACACGCTGGGCAGCTACAAGTGTGCCTGTGACCCTGGCTACGAGCTGGCCGCCGATAAGAAGATGTGTGAAGGTTGGTGTGGGACCTGCCAAGCTAGAATGAGAGGGTATATGGGACAAGTCTTTGGGGAAGTGGGGCAGAGATGGGGCAACCAGCTGGCTGTGTAGGAACGATGGGCAATGGGCAGACATGGTGGAAGACCCACCTACTTCCTAGAAGGAGAAACAGCCTGACAGCTGTCACAAATGTCAGAAAACTGCCCAAATTACATAGACTCTGCCCTAGAGACTGAAATCAAGGCCATGGTTTTTCTTCTATGATTGTGTGAAATTGACATGATTATTAAAGTAGGAAACAAAAGCAAAGAAAAACTGTGAGCACTCCAGTGACTCAACCGATAGCACTTTTCATCCATCCTATTTCTACCTGGCTTGTGTTCCATCTTCCTTGTCCACGTGCATGAATCCGCTTGTTCATGCAAGCTTGGTATGGTGAGTAGCTTGCTGCAAACATTTCTAATTCTCCTTTGGCCCAAGCCATAGGGAGCCCCCAGCTCTGCCACTGGGTGAAAGGAAAGCACAAATGCATTCATTGTTTTTAAAAGCAGTAAAGATTTATCCCCAATTTTGTTCCTTCAAATATTCAGTTGAAACCATTAGTTTTGAACAAAGGACACTGAATTAATCAGTTCAAATTGTCTAACATTTTAAAATTATTACAGAACAGCAAGGCTCTATTGCTCCTGGTGGGAAATCACAGTCACCTGGAGCCAAAGCCAAATGAATCCTGTTTCTGTTTCCCCCGTGCAGTGGCCTGTGGCGGTTTCATTACCAAGCTGAATGGAACCATCACCAGCCCTGGGTGGCCGAAGGAGTATCCCACAAACAAAAACTGTGTCTGGCAGGTGGTGGCCCCCGCTCAGTACCGGATCTCCCTTCAGTTTGAAGTGTTTGAACTGGAAGGCAATGACGTATGTCTCCATGCTCTAATTGATTGGGGACTGTATTGAGGGGTGACTCAGAGCTGGAAACCAGTGAGGGGCTGGGAGGGCAGGGAGATGGCTTGTGTTGACTGAAGCTTTGGACAGTCTTAGGACCTGCGCTAGCAGAATCTGGGGGAATGTTTTCTCCAGCAGTTTCAGCCGCACGCCCTCTGCAGATAGAGCACCTCCGGCCCTCTTGTCGCTGATACATCCAAGGAGAATCAGGACAAGAGTGGAAGAGGCAGATATTGGGGGTGGGAGGTGTCAGGACTGGGCTGTGAGTCTGGGGAGCTGGTGTGCAGCTGAGGCGAATAAAGGGGGTGAGAATCAGCTAGGGACAAGGATGCTACAGACAGCCTGTTTCCTCTTTCGGGCAGTGATCATGGATGATCAAGTCAGTTGAGGTCCAGGCAGCACCCTACAGCTGGAGTGCTAGTCAGGCATGCCTACGTCTGCACCTTAGGCTGGAAGGACACCCTGGGGCACACAAGCCATTCCTGAGACTCCCCTCCCCACCCCAGCTGAGCTGGGGGTCTCACCTTGAGAATAGTACTGGTGTAGCTCTCACCTGATCAGGCCTTTGGGGTACTGGAAGGAGACCTCAATGCTGATGACCCCAATGCATGGAGGCCATGGCGCCCATGAGGGTGTCACCCCAAAGTGAATATTGTGCAGAAAAAAATAATCCTTGAAAGCAATTGATAAGACCCCTTAGCAGTGAAGTTCTTTTTGAGAAAAATCATTGCTACAGCAAGGAACATGAATTCTAGTCCTAGCTCCACCACTGCTGAGCTATGTGACTTCAGACAAATGTCTTTCCCCCTCTGAGCTTGTTTCCCTGCCTGAAAATGGAGTCAGATTCTGTCGGTGGTTTGCAGGATTTTCCTCCTCCTCTTCCTCTTGCTTCTCCCTCATCCTCTTCTCCTTATTTTTCTTCTCCTTCTAGCAGTGGGGCCCTTTCTTCAAGTAAAATTTCATGTGGAAGCCTAATATATAAAATAAATTAAAGCAAGGCTACAATTACGGGGATGCAGGTTTGGGAGCCCTGTGCTCTTGTGCCAGGCGATGGCACCCCCACAGAGCCTCAGTGGGAGAGCCAGGGGTCCCCCTGTGCCCTCTGGAGCTCATTCAAATAACCGGCGTAGCAAGAGTCAAGGGACCCTCCCCCGCCACACACGGTAGGGTGAGGCGCTCAGGAAGCAGGTGCAGCAGTGTGCTGGGGGTCTGGGGTGGGGACAGGGACTCTGGGAAGCTCCCCATCATGCTCCCTTGCAGGTCTGTAAGTACGACTTTGTAGAGGTGCGCAGCGGCCTGTCCCCCGACGCCAAGCTGCACGGCAGGTTCTGCGGCTCTGAGACGCCGGAGGTCATCACCTCGCAGAGCAACAACATGCGCGTGGAGTTCAAGTCCGACAACACCGTCTCCAAGCGCGGCTTCAGGGCCCACTTCTTCTCAGGTATGCGGGTTCAGAGGTGAGGCTGATGCAGCGCGAGTGAGGCGGCTTTGCAGACTCCAGGCTCTGGGGTCCCTGGCCCCCTCCTCTCTCTCTTTGCTTGCTCCTGCATCCCTCCAGGTATGGCTGCCTTGGAGGGGGCGTGCCAGATCCAGGGCTTTTATATATCTATTGGTGGCTGTGTTAGTTTCCTAGGGCTGCCATAACAAATTACCACAAACTGGTTGGTTTAACACAACAGAATCTTATTCTTACAGTTCTGGGGGCCAGAATTCCAAAATCCAGGTGTTCGCAGGGCCATGCTGCCTCGGAAAGTTCTAGGGTAGAATCCCTCCCTGCCTCTTCCTAGCCTGTGGTGGCTCCCAGCAGTCCTTGGCATTCCTTGCCTTGTAGCTGCATCATCCTGATCTCTGTCTCCATCTTCACATGCCCTTCCTTCTTCTCTGGGTCTCTGTGTCCCCTCCTTTTCCTAGAAGGACTCCAGTCATTGGATTTAGGGTTGATCCTAAATCCAAGATGATTTCATCTCAAGATTCTTAACTAATAGTTCTGCAGAGACACTATTTCCAAGTAAGATCACATTCTAAGGTTCCACATTGTATTAGTCTGTTTTCACAACATACCTGAGACTGAGTAATTGATAAAGAAAAAGAGGTTTAGGCCGGGCGTGGTGGCTCATGCCTGTAATCCCAGCACTTTGGGAGGCCGAGGCGGGCAGATCACTAGGTCAGGAGTTCTAGACCAGCCTGGCCAACATGGTGAAACGCCGTCTCTACTAAAAATACAAAAAAAAAAAAAAAAATTAGCCGGGCGTGGTGGTGTGTGCCTGTAATCCCAGCTACTCGTGAGGCTGAAGCAGGAGAATCGCTTGAACACAGGAGGTGGAGGTTGCAGTGAGCCAAGATGGTGCCATGGCATTCCAGCCTGGGTGACAGAGCAAGACTCCATCTCGGGGCAAAAAATAAAAAATAAAAAATGAAGAAAAAGAGGTTTAATGGACTTACAGTTTCACATGGCTGGGGAGGCCTCACAATCATGGCAGAAGGCAAAGGCATGTCTTACATGGCTGCAGACAATACAGAATGAGAGCCAAGTGAAGGGGGAAACCCCTTATAAAATCATCAGATCTCGTGAGACTTATTCACCACCACAAGAACAGTATGGGGGAAACCGCCTCCATGATTCAATTCTCTCCCACCGGGTTCCTCCCACAACACGTGGGAATTATGGGAGCTACAATTCAAGATGAGATTTGGGTAGGGACACTGCCAAACCATATCACACATGAACAGGAATTTTGGGAAGACACTACTAAACCCACTACAGCAGCACATTGGACCCTACTTCTCAAACTGAAGGCCATGAACCCTCAGGGCCAGTACAGCAGCTGTAGAAAAAGCCCATTCTCCTTAGCGTGGCATGTGGTGCTGGACACTGCCTTGGCCCACCTGTTCTGCCAGCCACATTCCCTCTGCAGGTGCCCTGTGCTCTGATCACGAATAATCCCCCCACTGTTCCCCCACACCATCACCTTCTACTCCTAAACCCCCATCCCATTCTGTCTTCATACCCTCTGCCTGTGGCGTTCCCTCTCCCTGGAATATCCTTCTTCCCTCCCTCCTTAGGAAACTCCTACTTCAACCTGAAGACCCACAATGCCACTTTCTGTAACATTCTCTGGCTTCGTCTTATTCCTCTATCTTAGTCCATTTTGTCTGGCTTCGTCTTATTCCTCTATCTTAGTCCATTTTGTGCTGCTATGACAGAGTACCACAGACTAGGTAATTTATAGTGAACAGAAATGTATTTGGCTTATGAATCTGGAGGCTGGGAAGTCCAAAATCAAGGGGGAACATCTGGCAAATGCCTTCTTGCTGTGTCATAACAAGGTGAAAGGCACCACATGGGTGAGAAAGAGCGGCAAGGGGGTCAAACTCATCCTTTGTCAGGACGCCACTCCTGCAATAATGAGCTCTCATGACCTAATCACATTTAAGGGCCTCATCTCTCAACACTGTTGCATTGGGGATTAAGTTTATAACACATGAACTTTGGGGGACCCATTCAAACCGTAGCACCCTCTTAGCACATTGATTGTTCTTTTACCAGTGTTCCCATAGCACTCTCTCCTTCCCTTCCATTAGGGCTCTTGTCACCAGGGGCCAGCTCCATGGGCCTGTGGCCTGTGCAATAGCACAGAGCCTGTTCTCGGAAGGGCCCACACTAATTTAAGGTTCTGTTGTCATCATCTTGAAATTCATGGCCGGGCATGGTGGCTCATGCCTGTAATTCCAGCACTTTGGGAGGCCAAGGCGGGTGGATCACGAGGTCAAGAGATCGAGACCATCCTGCCCAACGTGGTGAAACCCCGTCTCTACTAAAAATGCAAAAAATAAGCTGGGCGCGCTGGCGCATGTGTAGTCCCAGCTACTCGGGAGGCTGAGGCAGGAGAATCGCTTGAGCCAGGGAGGCAGAGGTTGGGTGACAGAGCAAGATGCCGTCTCAAAAAAAAAAAGAAAGAAATTCATAATAGTGTTTCAACAAAGTGCAAATCTTGCACTGAGCCTTGCAAACTGTGTAGCAGGTCCTGCATGTCACGTCATATTAGAGGGTGAACTGTTTACAAGCAGGAACTGTACTTTGGTTATCTTTATAGTCTTAATGCTTGGCATAGAAATGACCCAATTATTTGTTGATTTTATAGATACCCAGAGTTCCATCTCCATGCATTTTTTTTTTGGCAGTCTCTCACTGAGCAAGTCATGTTTTTTGTTTTGAGTGTCTGCTGTGGGCACAGTACACTACTAGGCTCAGAGCTGCTGCCAGGGAAATGACCCCAACCCTGGACAAGCTTACATGCCAGCTAGGGAGCCAGGAATACACACCCTGCTAAGTCCCAGCCTGGAGCACTGTGGGGTGGGCTGGTGCAACAAGGGCTAATGTTTGAAGAAGAGAAGCCCATGGTTGCCTGGAGCAGTGGGTGAAGACTTTTTGCAGGATTTGGGGTGGTCTAAGCCAGGTTTTAAAGGATGGAAGACATGGAGGTGGAGATAGGATGATTAGAGAGAAAGTAATCAGGGTCCCCAGTAGGGGAGGCAGTGTGAGCACAGGTTAAGTTCTCAACAGAGCACAGAGACAGAGATGAGATGGGCCTGCATGGAGCCCTGACCCATGCTGGGAAGCCAAGGGCACGAGATGGGCCAAGTTGGAGAAGGCCAGGTCATGAGGGACCTTAAACGCTGGGCTGAAGAGTAGGGACCCGATGAAACAGGAAGGGGGACTGTTTGCAGGTTCTTGAGCAGGGGAAGCCTAAACTTGTCATCTGACCAAGCCATGCCAGGCAGTGTAGAGCTGGGAGGGCCAGGCGGCTGGAGGACCAGGGCAGCAGGGCAGGGGGCAGGAGCCACCTCAGAGGAGGATGTAGCAGAGCCTCACAGGCAGGGCAGCTCCACATTTGCAATAGGAAACTAGAGCACAGGGAAGAGGATCAGAGCAGGGGTGAGGACCTGTGAGTCATCTGCAGAAGGACTTGGAGGAAGGAAGGGAGAGAGGTGGGTCAGTGCTGGGTGTTGGGCGGCTTCATCTCTTCTGCATTCTTTTTTTTTTTTTTTGGAGACAGAGTGTCGCTCTTGTTGCCCAGGCTGGAGTGCAATGGCGCAATCTCCGCTCACCGCAATCTCCGCCTCCTGGCTTCAAGCGATTCTCCTGCCTCAGCCTCCTGAGGAGCTGGGATTACAGGTGCTTGCCACCATGCCTGGCTAATTTGTGTCTCGAACTCCGGACCTCAGGTGATCCACCCGCCTCGGCCTCCCAAAGTGCTGGGATTACAGACATGAGCCACCACGCCTGGCCTCTCTTCTGCATTCTTTTTTTTTTTTTTTTTTTTTTTTTTTTTTTGAGATAGAGTCTCGCTCTGTCGCCCAGGCTGGAGTGCAGTGGTGCAATCTCCGCTCACTGCAAGCTCCGCCTCCTGGGTTCATGCCATTCTCCTGCCTCAGCCTCCCGAGTAG
This sequence comes from Homo sapiens, assembly GCF_000001405.40. NCBI lineage: Eukaryota > Metazoa > Chordata > Mammalia > Primates > Hominidae > Homo > Homo sapiens. Next base: position 96,380,579 of record NC_000010.11, on the reverse strand, counting down.
CTGGGACTACAGGCGCCCGCCACCACGCCCGGCTAATTATTATTATTATTATTTTTTGTATTTTTAGTAGAGACAGGGTTTCACCGTGTTAGCCAGGATGGTCTCAATCTCCTGATCTCGTGATCCGCCTGCCTTGGCCTCCCAAAGCAAAGGGTCTTTCTTACAAGGGCTCTTAGTTGTCCTGATAACATAAGCAGGTGAAATACATTGTTCAAGGAGACATTAACAATGGTGAACAAGAGCATATAGAGAGGGGAGGAAGACAGGGCTGACCCCTAAAGTCATTCTGGTGATGGCAGGGAAGCAGGGGAGGGAGGCTGATCTTTGGTAAATGCAGGAACAAGTTGGCTTAGGATAGGGCTGCATACAAGGACCACAAGTTTAACAAGGGCCAGCACTTGAGTTCTCACATAATAATTATACAGCTAACACTGTGGGCTGGATGCTGCTCTAATTAATTTACCCCTCCCAACAACCTGTGAAATGAGGATACCATTACTGTCTCCATTTTACAAGTGAGGCAACTGAGGCACAGAGGGCAGGAACTGCCCATGGCCACAAGGGCTGGAAGTGGTGCGGTAGGGCTGGCCCTCTGCTGTGTGTCCCCAACACTCAGCTGCTCCACGTGCAGAGGGCGGGGTGGAGTCGCGGCACTTGAGCCCAGGCCACAGAGGATGCTTGCTCACTGAGTGACCTTGATCACATTAGCCATTCTCAGCGTCAGTTTCCTTACTTGTTTTTGTTTTGTTTTGTTTTTGAGATGGAGTTTCACTCTTGTTGCCCAGGCTGGAGTGCACTGGCGCGATCTCTGCTCACTGCAACCTCTGCCTCCCAGGTTCAAGCAATTCTCCTGCCTCAGCCTCCCGCGTAGCTGGGATTACAGGCATGCACCACCACGCCTGGCTAATTTTTGTATTTTTAGTAGAGGCAGGGTTTCTCCATTTTGGCCAGGCTGGTCTCGAACTCCCAACCTCAGGTGATCCACCCACCTCGGCCTCCCAAAGTGCTGGGATTACAGGCATGAGCCACCATGCCTGGCCAGTTTCCTTACTTGTAAAGACTGACAGATAGACAGCTCCCTGCTAAGGTTGGATGAGAATTAACTTAGATAATGCATACAGTGTTTGGGGCAGTGCCTGTTGCATAGTAAACACTCAGTAAGTGGGAATTACTGTTATTATTGTTACTATTGTGATTAATACAAGCCTGTCCTTTAGGGAGCTCCTTGTTTTGAGCAGGGAGCAGGGGCAGAGAACATACATAAAGTACTTGGAGAATTCAACACATACCAGGGCCAAGTACATACCCAAGAAACCTGAGGTGAAGATGCTTCCCACTTCACTCCTCCAGTGAGGGAACAATCAGAGGGGGAAGGGGAGCAATCAGAGAGGCTTCCCAGAGGAGGCCACTTTTAAGTGGGATTCTGAGCCCTGAGGGACATTTGCAAGTTGGCGGTTCCTCTTAGAAGAGTTCATTGATCTCCCCAGATAAGGACGAGTGTGCCAAGGACAACGGCGGGTGTCAGCATGAGTGCGTCAACACCTTCGGGAGCTACCTGTGCAGGTGCAGAAACGGCTACTGGCTCCACGAGAATGGGCATGACTGCAAAGAGGGTGAGGCTGGACCTCCAGTTGTTGGGGGGGCGGGCTGCCCTTCGCCGCACCCCATGCCCCTGTGTGCATGTGCATGAGTAAGGAGGTGCGGCGAGGACCTCTTCCACCTTCTGAGCTGAGGCCCAGCAACTGCTGTCCTTGCGGGAGAGTTTTCCCCAGGGCATCTCGCTCCTTCAGGAGGCACCTGGGGGCCTCAGGTGCTCTAGGCTGTTATTTTTGTAAGTGATTAAGCCTGCAGGCTCTGGAATCCAATTACCTAGGTCTAAATCCTGGCTCTGCCGTTCCCTAGCTGTGTGACCTTGGGCAAGCTATTTAACCTCTCTGAGCCTCAGTTTTTTCTTTAGTTAAAAGGGTCTAAACATACCTCCTTCTTAAAGTTTTTGTGAGGATTAAAAGAATGCCTAGAAAGTATTTCAGACTCTCTGACACATGTTATGTCCTCAAATGTCAATAAAGATCAGCCATTTATGTCTTTGTCATATATTAATTACCATATGCAGGTCCCATTGGAAAATAGGATTTGGGGAAAGCTTTGCTCCATTCTCCATTACACTGTGGGGAATTCTTCAGGGCCAGGTGGCTTTTACTGTCCAGTCATCCTGGAAAAAGCCTTCCTTCTGTTCTTACCCTGCCCAGTGAAGGGATTTCGAACATTTATGACAAACACACAGGCTTCCAGGCCTTGGCTCCAGCCACGAAACCCTGCAAAGGAAGTCAAGGGTGGAGGAAGATGTGGAAGACACACACCCTGATCTCTGGAATAAACAGTCTGGATTTAGGAGATTTGGCTGGGTGCCGCAGAGTCTGGTCAGGATCTGCCTAGAATGTTAAAGGAGGCGCTGACACATCTTCAGGAGGAGGTGGCCACCCTCCAAGCCCAGCCCTAGGGCATGGTCACAGGTGGCGGAGGGGCTGGGTGGGAGGCTGCTGGAAGAACTGAGCTGGGAAGGAACAGTCAAGCCCCTGTGAGATGGGCCCGGGCCAGGACCAGGCTTGCCTCCTGCAGTGTGGGAGAGGACAGGAGTGACGTCAACTCTCCCAAGATCCCACCCCTGAATAGTGGCTGCATTCATGTGGGTTGACCCCAACAGCAGGGGGTGTCAGAGCAACATCTCAGGAGCTGAGCAAATGTCCCAGGAGCTGAGCCACTGCCCCTTTGAGCACCTGTTCTCTGCGTTGGCTGCAGAGCAGATGTAGCACTGAGCAGAGGCAAATCTCTTTGGAACATCCTCGAAGCTGTTTCCTCCCCTTCCTGCCCCCGGCCCTCCTCACCTGCCTCTCCAGCTTCTTCAGTGTGGAGCCTCCGTGTTTGTGATACAGTCCACCGTGCTTTCTAAGCAGTGGTAGACTGGCCTCAAAGCCAGGCAGGCCAAGTTCGAGTCCCAGCTCTGCCCCCTATCAGCAAGGCACTGACCCTCTCCAAACCTATTTTCTTATTTGGGAAGTGAGAAGGACTAAAAGAGAGGATGCATGGAAAATGCTGACCACAGTGCCCACCACAGAAGAGAAATGGCAGCTATTGGCCAAGATGCCAGGCATTGAACAAGTTGTGGGACCACTCTTGGCAAATAGCACTGTAACCAGGACAAACTTGGTAGACTCCAAATAAAGCCACTTTGAAAAACTAAAAGAAGCTTATGGATGGATGATGAAGGAGGCCTCTGTTAGCCAAGATGCACTGAGCACTTACCATGGGCTGGCATGCCCTAAGCCTTTCCCATGCATTATCTCATTCGATCACATATCACCCTGACTAGAGTGGCACCCTTTTACAAATAAGGACACCGAAGCTTACATAAGAGCCCCAAGTCCCACAGATTGTAGGTGGCAGAACCAGGACATGGGCCGAGGCCCACCTGACCCCACTGCCAGTGCTTTTAACATATTTGCAAGGATAACTGCAATGTGGATAGGAATAGAAAGATAGCCTGGCCCCCGAGCCACAGTCAGGAAGGCAGAAAAGCCAGTGCAAGTAAACCAGCACATCCCTGAGCCAGGAGATACCTGATTCAGGATACCCCACCCCCATATTTGATAAAGACCCTGAGACAATTAGGAGAGAGGGGAGGAGACCCCCCTAGAATCCTTCTTGTGCTGCCCACAGTGAATGACTTCTCTCTTTGTATGTGTCCCCCTGCCACCCCCAGCTGGCTGTGCACACAAGATCAGCAGTGTGGAGGGGACCCTGGCGAGCCCCAACTGGCCTGACAAATACCCCAGCCGGAGGGAGTGTACCTGGAACATCTCTTCGACTGCAGGCCACAGAGTGAAACTCGTGAGTCATTTTTGTAGTTTATTGAGAATGTGGACTTGAGTATCAGGCAGATGTGCGTTTGAGTCTCTGCTCTGCCACTTCCCAGCTCTGTAACTTGGAAGTTACTCAACATTTCCAGGTCTCAGTTTCATTATCTGGAAAACATGGATACTAATGAAGCCTACTTCATCGGGCTGTTGTGCAGATTAAAAGAGACAACGCACAAAAGCTCTATAGGTCACACCTGGGCACAGTGGGACCCGCAGGAGGCGGCATCCACCACCCACATCTGCAGTGCTGTTTGAGATTCACTTGTTTCCAGTTTTAATTTTTTACAAGACAATACAGTCTCATGATTAAAAATGAGATGAATCAGTACAGGAGGTTGGAAATAGAAATCAAAAGACCCCAGAGCCCCCATTTCCACTCTAGAAATGACCACTCTAAACACATTCTTATGGATCCTTCTAGAAATTTTCTGTGCACAATCATGACTGTCAGTGCACAGGGAAATATATATGTTTTTGTTACTCAAATTCCTCTAATAAAATCCCATTCGTATTTTTTCTACAACTTACTTTTTTTTCCCATTAGTAATAGGAGACTAAGTTCTTTATGCAAATTCCCTCTTGAATTAAAAATTTTCCCCAAGCCTTTATTTGAAGTCTTTTTCACGTATATGATGTGTGGTTTGCACAGTTATTTCAAAGGAGAGTTGAATCTCCTAGGAGTCTCATTTCTCAACCCCCAGGGACTCCCACACTTTGGAGAATAAAGAACCCCTTTTGCCAGCTGGAGAATGTATTGTACTTCAGGCAGATGGACATTTTTTAAATGGGTTTTTCTGACTGTAGAGGTAAGTAGGATTGACCCTATGAACTGTGGACGATAACTCAGGGAGAATGGAAGAGAACAGAGAGGGAAAAGTCCATGATCAATGGACTATGGCGCAGGGACTTGCAGGTTGTTTATTGGTGAGAGCCATGAGTGAGGAGCAGAAGAGGCGAATGGGCCCCCAGGGCGTCGAGGGGTGAAGACAGGGCCTCTGACCACAGGGTGCTCCCAGCGGGCAGTTCACATGCTGGGCTGCCCGTGGGGAAACTGCTGCTCTGCTAAGAGCTGGTATCCCGGGTCAGCCTTGAATCTGGGTGAGGATGAACTGAAGAGAGCCTTAGGGAAAGGCACTGCTTCTCCAAGACCGCCATCTGCTGGGAAATGTTCGCAATGGCAACATAGAGCCCCGAGGACCTCGGGGGAGGCGCCTTCTGGCGTTGGGAGCGCGCAAACGCACAACGGGAAGCGTTTGCCCGAGGCTCACAGACTCACGTGGTAGTTTCCAAAAGGCGTTCCCTTGGGAAACGGATGGTGGCTATATTGATTGCGCGCTTTTCGCTACCATAGAATGTGAGTTGAATACTTCTCAAGGAAGCTGGTGGTGTTCACTGCATGTGGGTGGCGACAGGGCGCCCCATGGACCTCCTGGGAGCTCCCTGCCTGCTGAGCCTAAGGCTCCCTTCCACTGCATGGCCGTCCCGGTGCCACTGCTCCCCTGTCCCGTGTCTCTACCCACCACCTTGGCCCAGTGCTCCCTATGTCACTGGCGGGAGAGCTTTGCCCAAGTACGTTAGTGTGTGGGAGTCATTCTTCTGAAAGCCTGCATTGCCGTGCTGGTCCCTTCCCCCTCCCAACCTCCATCTCTGCGCTGCCAGGCCAGCCCCGCTCTTTTGAATTGACACCCCCCCCCCCCCCCCGCAACTAATGTCCTGTCTCCCTGCTCTGTCATTTGGTCCAAGTCTTCATCTAACACCGTCCCCGCTCACCTTATCCCATCTCCCTTGACGCTGGGGCTCCCATCAGTCGGCCACCTACCCAGCATCTGAGAAGCCTGCATTCAGGGCTGAAAAGCCTGGAATGGTGCGGCGCCCCTGGCGAGCGTTAGGGGACAGTCCTTAGGGGGAACAGGGAGAGGTGAGGCAGCATAACCTGATGACTGATAGCAGTGGGGGTTGGAGAAGGCTAGCTGGGGTCAAGTTCAGCTTCATCTGTCTCCAGCTGTGTGAGCTGGGGCAGGCCAGCCAGCTTCTCTAAAACTCATTTTCCCCATCTGCATGTTGGAAATAATAACAGCTCTTCCTTCACAGCATCACCAGAAGTAAGAGAGAAAATGCGCATAAATGCTTGGCATGGAATAAACACTCGGCGAGAGTCAGCCACCATGAGGGTGCTGCCTGGAGCAGCGTGCACCTCATACAACCTCACCAGCGTCATTTGTACTAAAGGGTCGTGCAGCAGAGTGCACAGGTCAACAGCAGGGTCTCTGATGCCAGAGCACCAGATCATGGCCCAACTCTCAGTATGTGACCTTGGGCAAGTCATCTGACAGCGATGAGCCTCATTTTCCTCACCTGTAAAGCGGGGATTAGACACATCACAGGGGTGTAAAGATTAAATGAGGCGATACTTGTAAAGCATTTAAAACAGCTGCCGACAGAGTGGGCACTCAGCCCTTGCTGGCTCTTAGCCCTAAGTGAGAGAGAAGCTGTGTGATGGGATGGAAGGAAGACAGATTTGGGCTGTGTAAAGCCTGGCTCTGTCGCTTAATAGCTGTCAAAATGTCAAGCATTTAATCTCTGAACCCCTGCTCTCTCATCTGCAGTGTGGTCATTGTAGCAATAGCTCATGTAACTACTTCATAGGGCCACTTGCTGGACCAAAAGCAAGGCGGAGGTTGAGACCCTCTCTACAGATGTCCTCAAGCATCATCACGGCCACACACCCCCTGCACAGCCAGCTGGACGTCTCCCTGCACTGCCTCGCCCCTTCCTGTCCCAGAACTGGAAAGGAGGCCCCCACCCCAGCTGAACGCCAGGCCCTTGCCTTACTTTCTGCTCTTCTGTCCCCAGACCTTTAATGAGTTTGAGATCGAGCAGCACCAGGAATGTGCCTATGACCACCTGGAAATGTATGACGGGCCGGACAGCCTGGCCCCCATTCTGGGCCGTTTCTGCGGCAGCAAGAAACCAGACCCCACGGTGGCTTCCGGCAGCAGTATGTTTCTCAGGTTTTATTCGGATGCCTCAGTGCAGAGGAAAGGCTTCCAGGCAGTGCACAGCACAGGTACCTGGGGTGGGACACTGGCTTCCACCTGATGAGCACTTGGACAGGAGACAGAGAAATGGTGAAGGCACGACAAGGACTGCCTTTTATTCTGACTGGGGGAGGGCGAGGGGAGGAAGGTGCGTGATAAAATGTCCTATTAAAATGAAGCATCAAGCTGGGCGTGGTGGCTCATGCCTGTAATCCCAGCACTTTGGGAGGCCGAGGCAGGCGGATCATCTGAGGTCAGGAGTTCGAGACCAGCCTGGGCAACATGGTGAAACCCCGTCTCTACTAAAAATACAAAATTAGCTGGGCATGGTGGTTGGTGCCTGTAATTCCAGCTACTCAGGAGGCTGAGGCAGGAGAATTGCTTGAACCTGGAGGCAGAGATTGCAGTGAGCCAAGATCGTGCCATTGCACTCTAGCCTGGACGATAGAGTGAGACTTTGTCTCTAAAAAAATAAAAAAAATAAAATGAAGCATCAGCAACCAAAGGGAAAAGGGCCGTCTTCTTTCAATGTCCTTAATTGACGCAATTTGAAATGGACAACCCTTTGTTAGTGCCCCATTTTTTCCTCCCTCCTTCTTTCCTTCCTTTCTTCCTCTCTTTTAAAAATATATTTTGGCCGGGCACGGTGGCTCACACCTGTAATCCCAGAACTTTGGGAGGCTGAGTGGGGAGGATTGCTTGAGCCCAGGAGTTCAAGACCTGCCAGGGCAAGATGGTGAGACCACCCCCCGATCTCTACAAAATAAAAACTAGAAAACATAGCGAGGCGTGGTGGTCCCAGCTACCCTGGAGGCCGAAGCAGGAGAATTGCTGGAGCCCAGGAGTTCAAAGCTTCAGTGAGCTCTGATCACGCCACTGCACTCCGGCCCAGGTATTTTGCTGGTCTATGAAGTCCAGAAGTTGGGTAACTGAGTGGTGAAAACAGCCCTTTTATCCCTGTAAGGACCAGTTCTGGAAAGTGAAAAATGTTTCTGTTCCCCGTGATTTTTTCTTCCATTCAAAATGTAAATAGCACTATTAGGTCCTTTGGTGGGAAATGTACGTGCTTATAACTTATATTATCTACTTCGTTAAGTAGAAGAATGTCAGGAAGAAATTTGGCTCTGCTCTTTAGCCATTAAAATGTTGCCACCTGGGACTAGTGCCCACAGAAGCAAATCTGACCCTTTGATCCTGATGTACAATTGTGTCCTTTGTCAGAGCTGGTGACCACCCAAAGCCCACTCTGCTTCTGTAATGCTGAGTCTGAGCTCACGATCATGGGACCCTGTGATCCTTTTAACAGCCTCTACCTCCAGTTTTTTTTCAGTACCGGAAAATATAAATTAGGTCAAACAAAATGGCGACCAGCATCCTGAGGCAGTTCAGCCTCCTCTTGCACAGCAGAAAACGCTGCATGGTTTGTGGAACCCTGTCAAACTCCCTGAGGAGTTCTAGCTCCCTACAGGGAAGTTTAAAAGCCCTCTTGTCCCTGCAGATAGAGACCAGCAGGAACACAGGTGCTTCAGGGTCCCGGCAGGAAGTGGGGGCACATTCAGAGTCATTATTTGAGAGAAGTTAATAAAGGGACAAGTTACAAAGGGGTGGGAGAGTATGGGACACTGTAGGACAATGAAGCCACCAGAGCTAGGAACTGCAACTCCAGGCCCAGAGGATGAGAGGAGGGAGCAGTTCCTGGAAGCTGGAGACAGAGAGGACTGCATGCAGAGACCCTCTGGCTGCAGCTGTGACCTAAGTGGAAGAAAAGCTGTGGCAATCAGGGGACTAAATACCCTGGCTTCTCTCGCCTCCCTCCCTCTGATCTGCTGGTGCTCCCCATGGCTGAACCTGCAGCAGAAGGCACGGGGTCATCGATGTAGGCCAGGGGTCTGTCTCACGGGGCCCAGGCAGGTGGGGAGGGTGGGGGCGTCCGGCCGGATGGAGGGGAGGCGTCCCACCCTGCTCTGTGCTCATTTCATGACCACCCAGCTCTCAGGAATTTGAAATTTCCCAAAGACAGGTTAGACCTGTAAGACATTCTAAGCCAGAGCCAACACAGGACTCAGAATGGTCAGTCAGACAGGACCGGGGCCAGGCAGGGCGTGGAGCTCCAGCGGGGCCTAGGAGTGTTAGGAGCCAGGTGGCCCAGAATCTACAACAGCGTTTGCCTGGGCCCCTCGGGGGGCATGGAGCACACTGGGGAGGGGCTGTGCAAGAATTTGCTTCCAGAATTTCTGGTGCTTGCTAATCTAGACCAGTCTTATCTATCTATTTTATTTATTTATTTACTTTTTTTTTTTTTTTGATACGGAGTTTTGCTCTGTGGCCCAGGCTGGAGTGCCGTGGCACAATCTCAGTTCACTGCAACCTCCGCCTCCCAGGTTCAAGAGATGCTCCTGCCTCAGCCTCCCGAGTAGCTAGGATTACAGGCGCCCACCACCACACCTAGCTAATTTTGTATTTTCAGTAGAGACAGGGTTTCACCATGTTGGCCAGGCTGGTCGCAAACTCCTGACCTCAAGTGATCCACCCGTCTCGGCCTCCCAAAATGTTGGGATTACAGGCATGAGCCACTGCGCCCGGCCAATATCCATTTTATTTTATGTGGGCTTAAGTGTCCAAGACACAAGGTACTATATATGGGACCAGGGCCAACCAGAGTTACTGTCCTTGTATAATGAAAAAACCCAGAAACAAAGGCTACAGAATACCAGCCCAGAGCCTGAGGTGCAGCTCACCTGTGACACCCACAGGGACCTCAAAGTTGGCCTATAGTCAATGCCCTCAAATGCAAAAACCAGTCATTTAGGGTCTGAGGTTTCCAGGGTTGAGAGCTTACCCGCGATTCCGATGTGCTTTTATCGCCCTCTGTCGGCAGAAATGACAAATTGCAGTCAGTCGGTGGGGCGAGTGGGAGCCCTTCTCAGATGCATCCAACACTTCCAGGGAATAAAGTGGCAAATAGATCCACCCATATCCCAGCGACCAGTGAGGCGAACCGTCCATTGGCTCCATGTCTCCATAACCGGAAAAAACAAAAAGCAGCCAACTCTTTTCAATGGCATGCTCACGTATTCTCAAGCTGGGAACAGGGGACCTTGGCTTGTGAGGGCCACTTTGCACCCCCGAGGGAGCCCTGACCTGGGAGCCAGGGGCCTCTGTGTACTCCTCCATCAAATGGGGTGACGAGACTACCTGGCCTCTCCTGCCAGGCACGCACCAGGCTCTGTAGAGAAAGCCGAGCAGACGCAGGCGGGAGGCACGAGGGTGTCTTGTGCTGAGGGGACATCTCACTTCTCTCTGCTCCAGAGTGCGGGGGCAGGCTGAAGGCTGAAGTGCAGACCAAAGAGCTCTATTCCCACGCCCAGTTTGGGGACAACAACTACCCGAGCGAGGCCCGCTGTGACTGGGTGATCGTGGCAGAGGACGGCTACGGCGTGGAGCTGACATTCCGGACCTTTGAGGTTGAGGAGGAGGCCGACTGCGGCTACGACTACATGGAAGCCTACGACGGCTACGACAGCTCAGCGCCCAGGCTCGGCCGCTTCTGTGGCTCTGGGGTAAGTCCCGGAGACGCTGGGGCCGGGGCAGAGTGTGATGATTCACAGCAGGAGTTGTGGAGTCAGACACGCCCGGCTTTCAGTCCCGGCCACCTACTCCACTTAGGAGCAACGGCGAGGAGGCACGTTCTGCAGAAGCGGAGTGGGAAGCAGGAGAACCGTCAGGAGAGGAGGTTGGGAGGCAGCCAGGGACCAGTCCTTGAAGGCCCCTTACTGAGGCCAGCCATGGAAGAGCACTTTTCCTTTTGGGACTTTCACCTATTTTTGCAAAGGCTTTCCCTCTCCCCTCCTTTTTTTTTTTTTTCTTTTTTTTCCCCCGAGACGGAGTCTTGCTCTGTCGCCCAGGCTGGATCTCGGCTCACTGCAACCTCTGCCTCCTGAGTTCATGCGATTCTCCTGCCTCAGCCTCCCAAGTAGCTGGGATTACAGACATGCGCCACCACACCCACCTAATTTTTGTATTTTCAGTAGAGACGGGGTTTCACCATGTTGGTCAGGCTGGTCTTGAACTCCTGACCTCAAGTGATCCACCTGCCTCGTCCTTCCAAAGTGCTGGGACTACAGGCGTGAGCCACCATGCGCAGCCACTCTCCTCCATTTTTATTTGGCCTTCAGGCTTTAAAAATATTTAATTATGCTTTTATATATTTCTTATATTCACATTTCTCTCCTCAAGCAAAACCAAATGCTCTGAAAATTACAAGTCACTTACTATACACACAATAGTTGTGCTCAAGGTCATTATCAATGTTCTCATTATTGATTTCTTTAGTGGGCCTATTGTGTTTGCTGTTTCTCCAGCACCTGACACTGGGCTTGGCATATAGTTGGTGCTTGGTGGGAGTTTGCGCATTGGCCAGTACAGTGTCCCAGTCACTCCCCTGGCTGCACCGCACTGGACACTGCCCATACTGGGCACCAGCCCCCTCCTTTCTGTTGCCTGGAGGCCCGGTCGCTCAAGCTTCTTTGCTATTGGCTGGACTTATAGCACATCATTTTTGAGTCACCAGTGGTCCTTGTGCTAAACGGAAACTCAAATTGGCATTTATATTTCTTTGAATAATTCCCTTCATCTTCTTTCACCCTCTAAAAAAGGAAGAATGACAAAGTGGCACTTAACCAATGCACTGCCTTTGATAAAATCTTTCAAACTATGAGGTCTGTGGAAAGGAACCCCTTGGAGGGGTTAACTGAGCAGTTAACTGTGGGGGAAGCCCACTTTGGCTCCACTAGAACCTCGCAGGCAACAGCCTTGGAACGTGGCTCCCATTCACAGACCACCTGGCAAAACCTTTCTGACCAATATAGTGGCTCCATCCCATTTTTTTGTCCTTGGATGAGACAGAGGCCTGAACCATGGTCTTTGTTTCAGGTCTCCTGGGAGACACATCATAATGGTGACCCTGGAGCTCGGTGATTCATGGTGCATCCTTTACTGTCAGAAGGACCTAAGCTTGGGTCCCGCCTACCTGCGAGAACTTGAGTCTCAGTTTCCTGAAGTGAAAAATGGGGATAGTACCTGCCTTATAAGGTTGCTGTAAAGTTTACATAAGATCTGGAATTGCCTAGTGCAGCACCTGACCCACCTGCATACTTAATAAATAATAGATTCTATATGAGCTATGCACCTAGGATCATCTTTGGAAGAGCAGGGCCTGCAAAGCTCCCTGGAGCAGAATTTGCAATGTTTTCTTTTGAAAAGGAGCTTGTTTGGATGCCCTTCAGAGTCTCTGGTACCAGAGACACATCCTGTGTCCTTGCATAAGATCCTGTCCCATCCTCCTCATTTTCAACTCCAATCACAGCTAAAGTCCTTCTCGTTTCCCTTTCTCCTTTCCTCAGCCATTAGAAGAAATCTACTCTGCAGGTGATTCCCTGATGATTCGATTCCGCACAGATGACACCATCAACAAGAAAGGCTTTCATGCCCGATACACCAGCACCAAGTTCCAGGATGCCCTGCACATGAAGAAATAGTGCTGATGTTCTTGAAAGACAGAAACTGAGAATTTTTTTTGTTTTGTTTTGTTTTTAACAACAATAGCACCTTGAAAATCTGCCCTAAAACAGTGTACAGTATTTTTCTCAAACAAAAACTCAGAATCCAGCCTTAGAGGTATATATTTGAATGAAAGTCTTGTAAGTTTGGCCAACAAGGTGGAGAGAAAAATGTTCTTTTGCTTCTGTCTGCAATGTTATCATTCATGAACTGTTAAAGTGTTAAAGATTAGGATTGAAGTCACTGACCATTCCGGCTATGCTTCTTCATACCATTCTCCTTGTCCCTTGCTCCTATGTGGCAAAAGGTCAGCCTTGGGGTTGGCCGTTCCTCTAATCTGGACTTGCTTGCAAAGGTGCCAGGCTGTCTTCTGTCCATGTTGGGCATAAGGGATGAAAACTTGGCCGAGACTAATGTGTGGCCCACAGCTTTGGCTGGAATCATTTTCTTTCTCTCTGCCAGGGACATGTCAACCAAGAAACCTGAAAATATGGATGGATGTCAGGACTAAAAAAAGGCATCACAGTGAGCAGTGAGCACAGAGGGAGTTTCGAGTATAAGAATCATTGTCATGAAGTTAGGAGACCACAAAGCCATTTCTCAGAGTCATTCACTCTCCTTGTCCCTTTGGTTTCCCCCCCTCCCTAATTGCAGTGGGGGCTAAGGCATCCATTATGAATACAGCAGAACATTTGCTGGCGAGAGTCCTGTCTGCTGAGAAGACAATATTGTGGCTCGTCCTGATATTTTTTTCATTCATTGACTTTGAGAAGACTCCACCTGTGCTTGGAATTCCATGGGCTTCAAAGAACATTTCTTCTTTTAGCTTTGGAGGCACTTGCCGTGGCACACCTGGACTCCTTGACATCCAATTCAAACTGCATTTGCAAAATGTGCAAAGACCTCTTATGAGGGACCAATTCAGGTCCCTTATGGGGTGAACACTGTTGAAGACTGGTTAATTATAAGTTATGTAAGAATCATCGCCTTGTGGAACAAGTCAATCAGTGACTAGCTTCCTGTAGCCAATCAGGTTAAAGAGTGCGTTGGTAACTTTGCTCTGATTAACTAGTATTCAATCACCAACTTGCAAACAGAATTCATAACACTTGGCACTTGTTCTAGAGAAGTGTAGAGGATGATGTTTACATAATTTTAGCACCTCAAGGTATAATTTAAACAGTGAGGTAGTTTTGAATGGCATTTCATTAAGGCATCTATGGGCATTATGAGCTAAAAGCTGTGGTATGTTAGCTTTAAAAGAGTATTTATGTTGGAATAATTTTTAAATAATGTTTACATAACTGTAAGTCCTGTTTGGTTGTTGTTGGACGCAGGGCGGCACATGAGTGTTTTTGGTTAGAGCCAAGATAGCTCCCATGCACCGGAATTCCTTTGGGATGAATCAGCATCATTTTAAACAAAGTATATGTAAAAGGTGAAAGGTTATATTTTTTACAGATCAGAATGTGGCACCAGAGGACTGTGTCTCATTAAAGTGATTGCTGGGAGCAAAAACTAGAATGATACAAAGAAAGGTCAGAGAAATGCATGGGAATATTTTTTCCTTAAAACAGAAAAAAATTAAAGTATTATTAATAATATATGTCTGTATATATGTATGTATGTAAAAGATCAGCTGTCAAAGCCTTAATCAATGCAGTGTGGAAAATGCCAACCCCTGGTCCTCGCTTTACTGTGGGCCCTGCAGGACTGGCTCTCCATTTCCTGCCTCTCCTTTCACCAAGCTCTGTTTTGGCCTTTCTCGGCCCTGGACTGAGGCTCAGCCTACACGCTCATATTGTGCATATGGCAGACCCTGCCCAGCGTGCGCTTTGATACAGCAAATGGAGCAGCTGACCTCATGGCTCCAATCCCACCTGCCTGTTAGGGTAGATTCCATTTATCTGATTTTTGTATTTTCTGAGGTTTTATTTGGTCTCATCTTGTCTATGAGAGTTGAAACTGGAACTGGGAAACCTAAGATGGGTGTTATGGTTCTTTCTCCAAGGAAATAAAAATTCTGCAGTTTTAACCTTTAGAAGTCTAAGCAAGATTAACAAATTTCATAGAAAAGTGGGAGGGAGTCAGAAACAGAGTTGGTGCTGCTCAGCAGGACGGTGAAACAATGATACTTCTTTTTATCTCTTTAGTATGAACATTTTCAAAAACACACAGCTTCAACAATTGTCACCATATGGCCAATTTGCAACAATGGGACTCTTATGAAAAACCTTTATTTAGGCCTTCTGTGTGACGTATCCACAGAAAAGAGAAGCTCTGATTCAGCTGGGGCTAGCTGGGCCGCTCCTCTGGAAGCCCACACTTGTGGGGACTTAGGCATGACACAGGTTCTTGCAAAGAAACTAGAGGCTGGCTTCACTAGAGAGAGTCCATTCAGCAGAAAGTCCCAGGCCTCTGCCTTGGTGCTTCCAATTATCAGTGACCTGCCTGCAAGCATCCCCAGAAGCAAACAGCAGAGGTAGAAGATATCACTGCAGCCTGCTTTGTGCTTTAATTGGGTACCAAGCTTTGGGGATGACAGTGAGTTGCAAGAATAGTTTTAGTTCAGAGAATTGTCTTAGGACAACAGGCTAATGAAGGATTTGGGGTCTGGGTTTTTAGCCTGGCTCCGTTCTGGTGTAACCCGGTCTAGCAAAAGCTAAGCCTGGATTGCAGGGCAGGAAAAAATCTGGAATTAACTTTAGCCAGTGGAATTTCTTCAAACAGAGAAAGAGAGGCTGTTCATTGATCCACTATTCCCTCTATTTTCCTCTAAGGTAAATATTTAGAGGTATTTACCTGTAAGGTGAAGTTTCCTTTTTATTTCTACTTTACAATTTCTCTCTAAAGCAAGCTTGTCCAACCCTTGGCCCAGGACGGCTTTGAATATGGCCCGACACAAATTCGTAAACTTTTTAAAAAACATTGTAAGATTCTTTCTGTGATTTTTTTTTTTCTCGTCAGCTATCGTTAGTGTATTTTATGTGTGGCCCAAGATAATTCTTCTTCCAATGTGGCCCAGGGAAGCCAAAAGATGGGACACCCCTGCTGTAAAGTTTCATATCACTCATGAATTGCTCAGCTGATTTAAATAATTTGTAAAATCCTGCTAACTAGCAAATTCACATTGAGATTTTCTATTGATTGGGTCCCTTTGATAGCTTTCAGATTGGTATTGTTAGCGTTCCATTTGTGAACAAATGTTCCCTTGGCTTTAGCAGATGTTTTTAAAGTTTCTTTTGTAGACCGAACTTCTGAAGAGTAATACCAAATGCCTAAAATTTTATTTTTAAAAAGGAAAATTGTTTAAAGTATTATATGTAAACATATGGGTATTTTTTATTTTGTGTAATTTTACATTTCATGAAATGATGTCAGTTTCAAAGAGAAAGTGGAGAGGACCTAACATATGTCTCTACCTAGAACGGATGGTTTCATTAAAGAATGTGGATTTATTGATGTGTCTTGGGTTTGTATTGCTAATTCAGACCAGATGGGTCCTTTTAGTGCTAATTTTCTCCAATATCACAAGAGCTTGGGAGAGAGTACTAAAAGGGGGCCCTTCTCTACAGCCTTCCACTCTCTGGTTAGTATCCAAGTACTCCAGAACAGAGTTCACTAATGGACCCAGAAAGTCATGAGCAAAGCTAAAGATGGCTTTCAAATTTGTTCCCTTTCTTACACCAAAACAAGCTGAAAATCTTACAACCTAATTGTGAAGATGTCTGCTGCCGAAACCATCCAGATGTGGTAGACATCTTCCATTTGCCCCTCAGCTCCCATCGCCACCCTCCTCTATCTGGACATTTGTCTGAGGACTACATCTGACACCCGAGACTGAAGGTTATGGCTCCCAGTAGGTGAACACTACTGGGAGTGTTCCAGGCCTCCCCACTGGGGGCCCTGGAAGTTCCTCCTTCCACTTTCCACTTCAGGCTTAGGGGTGGTAATGACACCCTGCTTGTCTAACCTTGGGGTACTGCACTTCCCTCAAGGGAAACCTTTATAGGTAGTCATTTTAATAAACACTTTTCAAATGTAGTAATGAGTGTACATTACTTGTCTCCTGCAGGGAACCTGACTGATACAGGGTTATTTCTAACACAAAGACAGGGACTCCATCTGATAAGGGACACCCTCTTCAGGTTGATTAGATGAAGAGGCTTTGGGGTATGTTTGGAGTTTTGTGGGTTATATTACAGAACGGTAATTATACAACTGTGTTTTTAGAAGCACTCAGATTGCTCTCAGTGCAAAATCCTTTAACACATGCAGTTGTTTTGTGCTATACATAGTCTCAAGATTTTGACTTTTCTGCCCATTTGCAGTCACCAATTACATAGAGTTGATAGATAAATAATTGATAGATGATAAATAGATGATATAGGTAGATAGGTAGATAGATAGATGATAGAAAAAGAGAGAAAAAGAAAGAAAGAGAAAAAGAGACAAAGAAAAAGAAAGAATGAAAGAAGAAAGAACAAAAAAGGAGAAAGAAAGGAAGAAAGAAAGAAAGGAAAGAAAGAGAAGAAAGACAGAAAGAAAGACAGACAGAAAGAAAGAAAGCAGGCTATAGATCTTCAGCAAGGTTTATCTTCTATAGCTAACGGTGAGTCCCAGTGGTGCAAGGGCATGAATGCTGGTATATCAGTCAGCATGGGCTAGCTTATGCTGCAACAACTATCCCCCAAATCTCAGGGGCTTTATATAAGATTTATTTCTTGTCCACACTACACATTCATTTCTGGTCATCTGGAAACTCTTCCATATCATCCTCAGTCAGGACCAGGCTGATGAAGCAGCAGCATCAGAACATTGCTGGGTTTTATAATACAGGGAAAGAAAGGGTGGCACATGACACACTGGCTCTTAAAACTACCTGGAAATGATATATTACTTCTACTCATTTCATTGATCACAGCAAGTCACATGGATGTCCTTAACTTCATGACAAGAACAAGGCAAACTAGCAACATTGGTGGGCAGCAGTAATGACTCTCACATGTGACATTTGTAGATAGGAAAATGACTATAATTCTTCTGTTTGTTCTAAAATTTCACTTTATCCCTACCTTATTATTAACATTTTAGATAAAGATTTCTAAAAATTAGAACAAGGCCACTGCAACAATGTTTGTATACCCACAAAATTCATGTATTGAAATCCCAGCCCCTCATGTAATAGTATTGAGAGGCGGGGGCTTTGGGACGTAATTAGGTTATGAGGCTCCAGAGAGATCCCTCAGCCTCCACGTGAGGACACAGAGAGAGGACAGCTGCCTAGGAACCAGGAAGCAGGCCCTCACCAGACACTGAATCTCCTGGCACCTTGATCTTGGACTTCCCAGCCCCCAGAACTGTGATAAATAACTTTCTGTTGCTTATAAGCCACTCAGTCTGTGGTGCTCTGTTTTAGCGTCCCAAATGGACTAAGACAGCCACCTGTCATTTAGAATGGTCCAGTTTTTTAAGCTGACCGGTTGTTACAGGGAAGACCATCCATGTGATTGGGCTTGTACAAATTTAAATGGTGACAAAATATAAATGATCCGAGATTCTCAGAGTTGGTGGCCCCAATCTTTCACCCACTAAGGGCATTCCATCTATGGTTTCTAAGGAGATGATTCTCAGGCCCGACTTCCAAAGAAGGAGAGCTTACTCACTTCATCCATTCCTTCTCCTTTAGGTAACAATGCCAAATTCATTTTGCAGAACCACCTCTTCTTCCATTGGAGGGACCCTCACTGGGGGGACTGTTAGCCAGGTGGTACATCATCCTTGGCCATATGAACCAAGCCAGACCAACCAAATCCTCTTCCTGGGACTGGAGTCCTGATCAGAGAGGCAAAAGGGCTGAGATATTTTGGAGCTCAGTTTCCCTGGAAGGACACCTCTGAAAGACCGTCTGGGAGTTGCTGCTGCTGAAGGTTTGGGAGCAACCTCACTCTGTCCTTCCAGAGCCTGGTTCTCTAGCCCTCTGTCCTTTCTGAGAGCTCCACTATACTCAGTCAGTAAGTTCTCCTTTTCTGTATTGTATTGTATTGTATTGTATTGTATTGTATTGTATTGTATTGTATTGTATTGTACTGTACTGTACTGTACTGTACTGTACTGTATTGTATTGTATTGTATTGTATTGTATTGTATTGTATTTTGAGATGGAGTCTTGCTCTGTCGCCCAGGCTGGAGTGCAATGGCATGATCTTGGCTCACTGCAACCTCCGCCTCCCAGGTTCAAGCGATTCTCCTGCCTCAGCCTCCCGAGTAGCTGGGATTACAGGCATGTGCCACCATGCCCAGATAATTTTTGTATTTTTAGTAGAGATGGGGTTTCGCCATGTTGGCCAGGCTGTTCTCGAACTCCTGACCTCAGGTGATCCACCCGCCTAGGCCTCTCAAAGTGTTGGGATTACAGGCGTGAGCCACTGTGCCCGGCCAAATTTTCCTTTTCAAAAAATTAAGCAGAGTCTGGTTTTGATGCTTGTGACTGGGCAGTCATGACTGATGGACACTTAGGCAGGGGTACCAATTGCCTGAAGATGTCAACAATTCTTCTAAAGAGATAATGTGTCCATCAGAAGGCAGAGTTATGGATCAGTGGATGCACAGCAAACAAAAGTGCCAAAAAGGACCTCAGTGGCCCTCCCCATCCACAAACAGCCTTGCCAGAGAGTGCTGGGGCCATAAACTGGAATTCTATGGTCCAGGTTGATTCTACGCCAGTCAAGGAAAATTAAAAGCATCATTTGTACGAGCTGTGCTGATTCAAGTAGTCTAATTGCATAAATTGTATCATCCCTGCTTTGTAGATTAAAAGACTCAGACTGGAAGAAGTTATTTCACTTGCCTAAGACCATGCAGCTTCCAGTAGGGCAGCTGTGGCTCTAAACAGAGGTCTCTCTAGACCATGTTGTCACCAGTAGGTTCAGTTTAGGCTGTCACTGTGGAGTCTTGGAAACTGGAAGCCCACAAGGCAGAGGCCTCATTGGTCTTGTTTAGGATAGCATCAGTGTCGGCCATGTTGCAGGTGGCTGATTACCACAGTCTAAGAACTGATTAGAACAGCAGCTGTCACCCCTGACTGCTCGTTAGCGTCCCCTGGGGATGCCCCTGCCTCACTCTGATCAATCAAGTCAGAGTCTCTGGGGGCAGGTTCTAGGCATCAAGAGTTTTTATAACCAGCCCCCTACCACTCCCTAGGTAATTCAGGTATGCAACCAGGATGGAAAAACCACCTGATTAAAGGCAATCTGGTCTCCACTGTGCCACTAAACTGCTCTTGTCAAGGCCACCAGCAACCCCGATACTGGGAATCAGAAGGCTCTTCTGACCTCTTCGGAGGCTACCTCTCAGCAGCAGTTGATACAATTAACCAACATCTACTCCCCTTCTTGAATCAAATTTCTTTCCTGTGACCCCCGAACTTATCTGATTTTCCTGCCTCACTCAACTCTCCTTGCTAGTGACACCCCCTCTTCCAGGCTGCTAAATGTCTGTGAACCCCTGGCAGCTGTCCTGGCCCTCTGCCCTGTCTACCTGCTCATGCACACCGGGGGCTTTAAAACCATCCACAGGCCGGCCACTCCCAAACGGATGTCTTCAGCCCCAGATCCCCTTTATCCAGTCGCCTACTTGGCACCCACACTTGGACAGCCCCTAGGCTACTCAGGTGTAAGGGCAATCTGTTTCTCCAGTATTACCTGCCTAAGCTAATAGCATCTCCATTTTTGTTAGTCAAGCCTCAAACCCAGGAGTTGGCTTTATTCTTCTCTTTCCCTCACCTCGCCCTTCCCCGCCCCATATTTTTTTCATCATTTAATCCCAGTGGCTCCACCTCCACAGTAGAGAGCACAATCATTCACTGCTGTCTTCCTACAGCAGCCACCTTCATCGCTCACCTGGACTCCACTAGCCAGCCACCTGCTTCCACTCTCTTCCCCTGTAATCTTGGCTCCACAGAGAAGCCCTAGCAATCCTCGTCACCAGCAATTACATCATGCATCTCTCCCACTGAAAAACCCTTGGAAAAGGTTTCATCTAAGGATGAAAATCTTACCATGCCCTCCCATGTCACATCAAAAGGGCTCAAACTCACTCCGTCCTTAGCCCCTTCCCGGGTGACTCCCTGGTTTATGTTGTTCCAGCCAACCGGCCTCCTGCCTGCTCTGGGAGTGCACCAAGCTTACAGGGCTTAGCATTTGCTGTGGCTTCTGCCTGGGACTCTCCTCCCTCAACCCTTCACATGTCTGCCCTCTTCTCATCTTTCACGCACAGCTTCAGTGCCATCTCCCAGAGTCATCTAAACAACGGCCTCCTCTGTCACTTGAGTCGCTCTCTCCTTACACTCCTATCTGCTCCTCTCACAGTGGTTTTCATTTCAATGGCCAAATTATTGGTTTAATTCTGTTGTTTTATTAGCAACTCATTCACCATTTTAAAGAGGCAAATCCCTAACAGGGAAATTGTAAGTTATAAAGCAGCCCAAGTCCATGGCTTCCTCCAGGTCTAGAGAGCTTCCCACCCAAAATACAAAAACAGAGAGGGGGTGAGGCTGAACTCACACCAGGCAGCTCATTGGCCACTGAGTGCAGCACCTTGCAGCAGCTGGAGCCCCCAGCAGTGTGACTCCTGCAACAGAATGGGCCCCCACCCCTCCTCCAGACATCCCGAATGTCCATGCTGTTGTCCATGTAACACAATGACTCCATCATTATCAGTAACATGGTTAATGTGGACTCCCGTCAGCTGGGGATGGAGTGGCCAGCCTCAGCCTCATGTAACCCATTGTTTCCAAAGGGCTGCAGGCTGCAGAAGCCCCCAAGCTCTCAGGCCAGCTGTGGCTTCTTTGCTGAGATGGAGGTATAGCCAAGAAAGCAGCCTGAAAAGTAAGGACAGAAAATCAAGGCAAAGAGGGTGGGTGAACCAGGCCATACACGTCGGCCATGCAGCAGCAGCCCATCTTTCCCGAGGGATGGACTGAGGGCTTGGCTACTCCCCTGACCATAAATGGCTTGGCCAGGGTTCTCTTGGAGCCACCTCTCAGCCTGCCTCTGCAGCTTTGTCAGTTAACTGTTCCTACAAATGAAAGACACAAGCCAATAAAGCCAGTGAGAAAGGAGCTTACCAAAGGCAGTGTACGAAGAAGGTTCCTGGGAGACTGTCAGAAATGGTGAGTGAAAGCTGGCATCTCTTCTCAATCGAACTTTCATTTCTTACTATAAAAAACCTCCAAATTCAATTAAATGTACAATGAAGTAAAGGGACTTTATTTTAAATTATTTTCCTATATGCAAAATACCAATAATTTTTTAAACTTCTCACCTAATATTTGCTGATCTTGTCTTTCATTTTGGTATTAAGGTTTGTTTTTAAAACCCCACATACAAGAGTACAGAGTAGATGTTTCACCTATGTTCCCTTTCTAGTTGAAGCAATGGATCTAATCAACGATTTTATCTGTCTTACTTGTTTAATCTGGCTTTTTGTTCCATCATCAGCAACATGGATGGTCATCATTGATCAGAAATTTTCCATCTTTCTTGTTTACTTGTGATAAATATTTTGTTGTGACTCAATCAAATGAAGTTTGCTAAGTTAGAAGAGAAAACAAGAGGGTTCTGTGATTTACTAAAGAATTATGGAAACAGCCTAGGTGTCCATCAGTGGATGAATGGATAAAGGGACTGTGGTTTATATGTATATATACAACTGAATATTAGCTTTAGAATAGGAGGAGACCCTGCCATTTGCCATGTTTGTCCTATTTGGACCTGGAGAACATTATGCTAAGTGAAATAAGCCAGACACAAAAAGAAGAATATTGTGTAATCTCACTTTCTTGTGGAATTTTTTTTTTTTTTTTTTTTTTTTTTTTTTACAAAAAGCATTGTTAAAAGGAGTAGAGCTCAGTCTGTGGAGTTAGGGAGATCTGTGATCTAACCTGATCTCTACCACTTAAAAGCTGGTGAGCAAAAACCTATCTTGGTCTCAGTTTCCACAGGTATAATATAGGAATAATAGTGCTCCCTTCATGGGGAGGTTGTGAGTATGGGGTCTTATACCCAGCACACCTTCAACAGCAGTAAGTTTTTATCCTGTCTCTTCCTCCTTCCTCTCACAAACTGCAAACTTATAATGAAGGACGTTCAGCCACTGAGATCCCAAAATGCCTTCAGAATCATTGTGTAGATACTGCATAGTGCTCAGACTAGCAGTAAGCAATAATTGCATTGTATCCAATTCTAGTACTTTGACTATCACTAACTCATGCTTGCAATTCCATTCCACAAGAACTTTCCTATCCTTAGCTCTGTGCTGGCCAGGCCATAAAGAATATGCTACCACGTGATCCCTAAAACACAGAGGGTGTTTTACAGTTTGGGAGAAAGGAGCTGCCACAGATGACATTACGGTATTCCCTTGTGAAGTGGGCAAGGCAAGTTAATAGTATCCCATTTTGAGAATGGGAAAACTGAGCCTTGGAGAATAGATTTGTTGTGAGAAAATGGAGACCAGAGGGTTTGAGTGACTTATCCAAGACTACACAGCTCCTAAGTGGCTAAGTGTGGGCTCGAATTTAGATCAGGTGGCTCCAAGCTCAGGGTTGCATCATCCCACTCAGCTGTGTCTCTGAAGGGCACTGCATCAGATTCTTCTCCACCCTAATTTGTGCGATGTTTTTCTCTCCATGAGAGCACTGTACTGTGTTTCTACAAAATATGAGTGTCTTTCTGAAATTGGCCAAAATCTCCGTCATCCGAATGTTGATAAACAACACATGCAATGGCCCACTTGTTGCTGCACCCCCTCTTCTACTGTCCTCCCAAAGGAAGCTTTGTCTTAGGGCTGCTGACATCAGTCCTCAGTGCCCACTGATGAGATAAAGCTCTGGGCAGCTGCATTCAGTGCAGCGACCATCCAGTGTCCTTGCAGCACGTGTTGGTCTGGTGCTAGCGTGAAGAGCAGTGGTTAGGTCCCTTGAGCAAGAGGACCCTGACCTAAGAGGCCCAGACGTCCCTGTGTTCCACCGTCATCCCAGAAGCAGAGGTGCACAGTGCTGTCAGCCTGGGTGCTCTGATTCATCCACAGAGACTACTGGAGTTGCTTGGAAGCCTTGCAGAGTGGTGGAAAGAGGTTGTCACCGGGACACTCAGGTTCTGGTGACAGCTAAGTAGTTGTTTGGACTTGGGAAACCTGTTCAAATTCTTGAGGCTTGGTTATTCTCTATAAAATGCGGGTGTCCTATTGCCAAGAGGGGGAGAAGTGAGCAGAGGCACCACTGAAGCGTGCTAGTTGAGCAGGGCCACGTTGATTGAAGGACATAATATTTGGGGCAAAAGCTAGGGGGACTTACACATTCTAGGTGCTTAAAACACTTCTGGTTCACAAAAGATTTTCTTGTTCATTAACCCATCTGAATTCCAATCCATCAGTAAGTCAGCTGAAATAGGTGTTTTGTCAGTTTGCTTCTGTTGGGATGAGATCCTCTGTTACCATCTTTCGGGTTGGGGTTGAGTCACATAGACTGCGGCCCATTGGCTGGTCTATGTGGCTCCAACTGTTCTCATTTGTCCATGAGGTGATTTCTGATAAGTCCCTGGGTTTCAGTTTCCTCTGCTGGAAAATGAGGGTTTTGAGAGAGATGATCTTTCAGGTAATTCAGGTGTGAAACATGATTCTTTTGGATTCTTTAATGTTTCACAACTTTCCTATTGTTGGATAACATTTAATTTTAAAACTTAATGAATGCATTGTTTCTACAATGACAGAATCTGGTCTTGGGATGCTGGAAAGACGGGAAGCTGTGGTGTAGACCAAGCCCAGGGAAATATCTGGGGGTCAGGGAGACCGAGGCTGAAGGAGGGCCCAGCCAGGAGGTATTAATCCAGGGTGGCTGGACCCAAGGGGCTGAGAGTCCAGAAAGTGGGAACAAGACCACTTCCACCCAGGGAAAGAGGGGAAAATAGTTTCACTGGCTGAGTCAGAACAGGTCCACCCATCATTCCAATCTAGGTAGGGAAAGGACTTGGTAAGGAGCAGCCTGGAAAGGCTAGAGTAACAGGGGCTAGGGACAGGGAGGAGAAAGGAGCCACCTGAGGCCCTGGGCAGGCTACTTGGTGCTCCACTGAGCCCACGATCTTTAAATTTGGACTCCATATTTGCGGGAGAGGTGAGACCATCTACTAAGTGAGGGGAGGAAAGAGAAGGGTTTGCTGTTCCCCTGTCCTCCTGGCCACTTCAGCTCCAGCAACCTAGAACCTCTGCCTCAGTTGTAGCAAAAACAGAAGCCTTGCCTTCCCCGGGTAAGGATCAGGTGTTCTTGTTAGACCATGCCCTTTGGGGGTCTTACCTTCTACTCCAAGGAGAAAACACAAAATACTTCTAAATTCAACAGTTTTCTGTCTCAAAGGAGTTCTAGAGGGAATAAACATAATTTTAGCCTTTTGCTGAATTTCTAGTCATGTGTTTGCTGCCCTTGTGAATGGGACCCCTCAGACAATAGCCTTGCAGGCTGCCTCTTCATCTGATCCTGGTCGAGGACCTGGTTGGGGGCGGTGGCAAGACTGACTTGATGCTGAGGGAGGAACTCATGACAGGCTCCTTGCCTCCCCTTCCTTCTTTTGGGGCCAAGACTGTGCAGGACGATGGGGGCTGGCTGAGTCTATAGGATCAATGACCTCTCGGAATCCACCAGGGTCAGTGAGTTTGAGGAAGTGAGGAAGGAGCTTGCTGACCATCCCTGGGAGCTTTAATGTTTACTTCTATCTTGCAGAGTTTTTCACTGAACTTCACCCTGCCGGCGAACACAGTAAGTACAGCAGCCCCCATTCACCAGGCAACGCAGAG